>NC_000010.11:129416667-129728148 GCF_000001405.40 Homo sapiens | reverse complement strand
CTGGCTCCATGTCCCCTCCTCCCTCTCTCACCCAGCACCTGGACAGTCCAATGAGTCCTGTTCAAGTCCAGCCTGGCTCCCATCATGCCTTGAGTAGCTCCTCACTGTCCCCCAGTGAGACCTGATGGCCTTCTTGGCCTGGAGGGAGGCTGGCAGCCCCTCCTCACACCCTCCCCTGCTCCAGCCAGAAGGGATTGCTTGCTGTTTCACACACAGGCCCAGCCTCAGTCTATGTTGTTTCCCCTTACTCCATGTGTTCAAATCCCATCTACCTCAAAGTCTGGTGCAAATGCTACCTCCTCCATGAAGTTCTCCCCAGCCCACACAGCTGAAGGCTACCTTGCTGCCTGCAGTGCTGGCTTACCCGGGGCTCCTCATATACCTTTCTGGCAGCACCAAGCCCAGGCATTCTTGGGGGATGCTGCGAGTCACCTTTGCATCTCCTACAGCATTTGTACACAAGAGACAGCCAAAAACAGCTGGAAGGAACAGAGGGCGGGTCTTCACAGTCTGTACTTTACACCAGAGGAAAGGACAAGGACCAGCTATGAAAGGAAGTGTGATGAATAAGTAACTACTGGGGAGTGCCTCACATCTTGTGCCAGTCACTACAGACAGGTAACAGATAATCCCCAACTTCGTGGCCCCAAACAACACAAATGACCTTTCTTTCATGGCCTTGAATTCAGAAGGGTCGGGCTCAGCAGTTGTCACTTGGGGTCTTCTGCATAGCTGCACTCATCCGAAGGCTCGACTGGGGCTGGAGGATCTATTTCCAACAGGGCTGACTTCCCTGGCTCCTCACCACATGGGCCTCTCCTGGGGCTGCCTGTATGTCCTCTGACATGGTACTGGCTGCCCTCACAGCAGGTGACTGAGGACACTGGGAGCTGCAAGGCCTCTTATGACCTAGCCTCGGAAGTCGCACACCATCACTTCCTCCATATCCTGCTGTAGCTTGGGGCCAGACCTGACTCCATCCGAGAAGGAACAAGAGTGGGAGTACCAGCAGTGAAGCTCACTGGGTGTCACATGGAGACTGGCTAACCCATGGCTCTTCTCTTGATAGCATCATGGTATTTCAGAATTCAGCAGGGAACCCTGGGCCAAATGTCACAACTTCATCTATGACTTCACTGACTGACTCTAGTAATACCAGGTATATTACACCAATCTTAAAATCAGCTCCAACAGTTTTTGCAACATCTCCCAAGTTCTCAAAATTAGAATTAATTATCTAAAAGCTGGGCAGATGGACTTTAAACAGTAACAAAACCTATAGTGACAGAAAGGACATGAGGACAGGGTCTCCTAAGTCCCCTTAAACACCACTACATTCCCATTCAAACTTAGCAACTTAATTCTGATGCTTTTAATTAGGTCAAAACTCCATGACCATATTATGGAGTAGGGGAAGAGTGAGAAGATTTTTCATTTTGAGCAGCAAAGAGACAAAACTGAAAATGACTGATATTTAAATTTACAATATCAAGTTTCCATGCATCACTTAAAACTTTAAAAAGTGTCATATATACATGATCAGAAGTTCAAATTCTTCCAAAAGATCTGTGGAAAACACCAATGCCACTGTTCCTGCTCAGTCTGCGTGAGGCTGCTCCCTTCTGGTGAAGAATCAGACAAAACACTGAATGTGACCTGGGGTGGAACCTAAGACCCCTCAGGGCACGTGGGCAGCAGTGATGCTGGAGAGCGTCCTCACAACACCCATGGGCGGGCAACCCAGGACTACAGTAGCTTCAAAACCAGCTCGTGTTCCCAAGGACAAGTCTCGCCTGGACTCCACCTGCACGTGGCCCTGTGCCATCAAGGACCTGGCCAGCAGAGATCTTCCCAGTAAATTTACCCCTTCCTATGAGCTTGCATTCTGGAGTCAGAAGGACCCAGGTTCAAGTCTCATCTGTGCCAAGGATCAGCTGTTGGAGCTCAGTCACTGTCTAAAGTTGAGTTTCCTCCACTTGGATATGAGGATCACAAAGCACTTGGCAGAGGCCCCGCCACTTGGAAAGCACTCAGCAAGCAGAAGCTACTCATGGTCCCTCATTGCACTGAGAGTCTGGAGCTGACCTTGTGGACCTGAGCCATGGCCAGGCTGTGTGACAGAACACACTCCTCTCCCAAGGCTCGTTCTGTGAGAAGAGGGAAACTGTAACGCAACATGGTATTGGTGGAAGATGAAGGGAAGTTTCAGCTAAAGAGAAACTGCCCCAGGAGCTAGAAGGGGCTGGTTGAGAAGGCAGAACAGGCTACAGTGCAGACACGTGACAGCAGAATTGAACCCTAGGCTCCTGATCCCGGTAGTTTACATGGAGGACCGTGGAGCCGACTCCTCTGCCTGCAGAAGCCCCTCACTACTGCTAAGGACAAGAGTTACGTGGATGTGTGAGCTGTGCTCCTCTTGAGGGCACAGGGTGCTGCTCCAATCTGGGCATCTGCATCCTGCAGGCTGTAGCCTGCCCAGAGCATGGACAGACCTCCGAGGAAGTGGGCAGACCCCAGCCCTGGGCGGCACTTTGGAAAGCTGTGGCCGTGCTGGGGCAATAGGCATGCCATGTGCACAAACTCAAACCACCACCTGGAAAAGGTGGAGAAGTTGACACAATGATGTTTCAGGTCCAGGAACGCTATTAATTTGACATTCTAAGTAATGAATCTCCATGTTCCATGACAGCAGCAGGCTGTGGAAATATTAGAGAAAACACTCCGTAATTAGATAACTCTGCCTTCATCATTTGATCCACGGCTACTGACATGGAACTTCGGGCCAGACAGGGCAGCGCTGACCCACATGCCTGGTCTAGCAGAGGGGATGGCAGCGAGGGGCTGGGCAGGGTCTCTGAGGATGGGCACCCTGTGCTCCACACACAGGTGAGAGCAGCTGCCTGGGCTGTGGATTCTGTGTGTCTTCCACTTGCGTGGAAGCTGGCTGGACAGGGACGGCTGCAAAGCTGAGTGCAAGGCTGCAAGGCGACACCACACTCACCTCCCAAGGCCACTCGCTTGGCTGGAGAGAAGAAGAGTAAGGCAACAGTGTCCAAAGGTCTGGCCCAGAGGCTTCCTCTTCCTGTCCATCAGGTCAGTGTATCCACCCGATCCTGCAGGGCTCTGGAGAGGACCGGGAGGTCCACTGACAATTCACAGACCTCCCAGACTCACCCTGCCCTCCAGGTGCAAACTGAGAGTGCACTCAGTATCTCGCTGAGGCCATACTAGGTTGTATCTTCACCATCTGGGATAAGGAGGCCACAGTTTTCATGATCTTTCCCCCAAATTTGCTTTCAAGGAATAAAAATCCATAATATTTACTATTTTCCTCCAACATATTATGAAAAACCCCAGCCACATAGAGTTGGAAGAGTTTTACAATGAATAGCTTTATACCTCAGATGATATAATTGACATTTTAGCCTGTATTTGTTTTTATCATATATCTATCCATCTCTCCACCCCATATCCATTTTATTATTATTTTTGCTGCATTTCAAAATAAGCTGCAGACATCAGTGTACTCTCTCCAAGTCCTTCAGCACATATACCATTAAGAGTTCAATGTCCATTTATGGTTCTTTTTTCCTTTAAGGTGGAATTTACACACACAGTGAAATGTACCATCTTCAACATCATTTGATGAATTCTGACAAACACAGATAGATACCTATGTGACCTAACCTGTTAAGATATAGACCATGGCCGTCATGGTCTAGAACATTCCCTCATGCCCCTTCCCAGTTTCTCACTGCCTGCACAACCCCAGAAGCAGTTCCTCTTCTAACTTTTCCCTATCCAGATTGTTTTTGGCAACTGCAGAGCTTCAATAAATATAATCAGAGGCAGGCTCTTGCTGTGTCCGGCTCCTTAAGCTCAGCATGACGTTACCGAGACTCATCCACGAGGCTGTGTGTGTCTGTGGATTATTCCTTTTCAATGCTAAGTTCACAGATAGGAACAGGCTCTACATGGATATCCCTCAGGTAATTTATCCACTTTCCTACAGATGGACATACAAGCAATTCCCAATTGCAGCAATTATAAATAAAGCAAGCAAAGCTGCTGTGAACACTCTTGAATACGTTTTTGTGGACGTAGGTTTTAATTTCTCCTGGATAAATGCCCTAGAGTGGAATTGTTGGGTAGCGGGGTAGGAGAACACTTAGTTTTATAAGCAGCTGCTAGACCTTTTGCAAAGAGGTTACAACATTTTAACACCCACCAATGTATACGAGAGGCGAGGCTGCGGCAGTCTCTGCGACACTTGGTGGTGTCTGATCTGAGCTGCCCTGGGATATATGCAGATGTCTTTCACTGTGGTTTTAACCTGTACTTCCCTAATGACTGATGATGCCGAGCACTTTCTCATGAGCTCAGGGGCCAATCTGTGTATTATGTGTCTTTGCGATGAAAATGTGAGATATTTTGTCCAGTTATTTACTGGGTTGTTGGTCCTTTTATGGAGTTATCAGAGTCTTCATATACCCTTCTTAGAAGTCCTTTGTCAGATATGTGTTTTGTAAAAATTTCTCTCATTCTGTGGCCTGTTCCTCATTTACTTAATGAAGTCTTTTAATAAAGTTTAATTTATTAATAATTTCTTTCATTGTTTTTTATTTTGGTGTTATAAGAAATGTGTGCCTACCCAAATCAGAAAAATACTCATGTTTTCTTCTAAGAGCTTTAGAGTTTCAGCTTCTCCTTTAGGTATATGATATAGTTCAGATTAATTTTTGTGTATGGTGTGAGGTCAAGGTCATGGTGAATAATATTTATCTGAAAATGGTTATCCACGGGAGCTAAGCTATGAGGAGGTAAAGACATAAGAATGACACAATAGACTTTGGGGACTCAGGGGGAATGGTTGGGAAGTGGGTGAGGGATGAAAGACTACATATCACGTTCAGTGTATACTGCTCGTGTAATGGGTGCACAAAATCTCACAAACCACCACTAAAGAACTTACTCATGTAACCAAATACCATCTGTTCCCCAAAAACCTATGGAAATAAATAAGTTATGGAACAAATTTCTAACCATTAAAGTGATCTGAAAATGGAATGGAAAAAAAAATGGATATCCAGTTGCTCAGCACCATTAGTTGACAAGACTTTTTTTTTTTTTTTTTTTTTTTTTTGTGATAGAGTCTTCCTCTGTCACCCAAACTGGAATGCAGTGGCATGATCTCAGCTCACTGCAACCTCTGTCTCCTGGGTTCAAGTGATTCATATGCCTTAGCCTCCCGAGTAGCTGGGATTACAGGTGTGCACCACCATGCTTGGCTGTTTTTTGTGTTTTTAGTAGAGACAGGGTCTTGCTATGTTTGCAAGGCTGGTCTTGAACTCCTGGCCTCAAGTGATCCGCCTGCCATGGCCTCACAAAGTGCTGGGGTTACAGGCGTAAGCCACCATGCCTGGCCAACAAGACTTTACTTTCCTCATTGATCTACTTTGTGTCTTTCTCAAAGATACAAGAACTGAAAAAACACTGGTCTCTCTCTCTGTTGCACTGTTCTAAGTTTTGATCCTTACTGCAGTGTCTTGATTACCACAGATTTGTAGGAAGTCTTGAAACCAGGTAATGTAAGTCCTACAAATTCATTCTTCTTTTTCAAGATTGTTTTAAATATTCTAGGCTCTTTGCATTTTGAAATAATTTAAAAGTGTGACTGAACTGAATGCAGAGGGCAATTTGTGTAGATGTGACCTCTCCGTAACACCGCCTCTTCCAATAACTAATAAAGATCCATTTACTTAGGTCTTCTTTAATTTCTTTCAGTCATGTTTTTATGCTGTTTAGTAGAGAGGCCTTGCATATCTTTAAATAATAATCTTTAATAATGCTAATGTTAAATACATAAAGCAACTGTTTTATAATTTACTTTTTAATTACATTATATAAAAATAGAATACATTTTATGTTAAAATTGTATCCTCAAACTTCTCAAATTCACTTATTGGTTTTAATAGTTATTTTCAACATTATTCAAGATATTCTATGTAAATAATTATGTGATCTGAAAATAAATACAATTTTACTTATATCTTTCTGTCAATGTATTCCTTTTTTTTTCCTTCCATCTTTACATAGGACTCTGTCATCATTTTACATTATTTTTGTCTAGTAGAAAATATATAACAGGCTCTGGCTTTTTAAACCAGTCTACTAATCTATGTCTTTTTATTTGAATCTTAAAACATTTACATTTAATGTAATTATTAATATGATTGGGTTTAAGTCTGCCAACTTGTTATTTTTCCCATCTGTTCTTTGTTCCCCCTTTACCCTATCTTCTTTTACATTTTAGCATTCTAATATGCTAATTCTAATAAAAGAATTAGCATTCTATTTTATCTTTTCTGTTGGCCCATGAGCTATAGATTCTGGTTATTTTTACTGGTATTCTAGGATTTTTAATATGCATTCATAATTTATCAAAGTCTGCCCTTAAATATTATACTTGTTCATAAAGTAAGAAACTTAGAACAATGTATTTCCATTTCCCCAGTCTCATCTTCTATGCTATTGTTGTCATATGTTTTCCTTCTACGTGTATTATAAACTACAAAATACATCTTTATTAACTTTATCATGAACAGTTAATCATCTTTTAAATAAAATAATAGAAGAAAATTTTCATACTTGTCCACATATTTTCTAGTTCTAGTGAGGTTCACTTATCTGAAATTTGTTCAACTTATAGTTCCCCAATAGTTGTCTGGTTTCATGTGGTTTACAAATGCATGTATGACTTTGTAATCTGCAACAGACTCAATGGGATACCATGCAGACCTCTGGAATTCTTTCTCTGTATAGTTCCCTCTTCTCGCGAACTCCGCCCATGAATTCCAGCCAGCTGGAGCACTAGGGCACACAACCTAGAATATCTGTAACATCATTAGTTTTAAAGGCAAAAACTTCAGAACCCAAATGTCTACTGACAGAAGGGAAGAAAACAAATTATTACATCACCTGGGTGGCATATATATGACTTTGTCCTTTATTATTTATACCTCGTAAGTCAGTTTTGAATACTCCTTTGTCCAAAGTAAATATTTCATAATAACGAAACTATCAACTTGCCATCAATGTGCTCAACGATTACTCTGAATGTAACTCTTGAAACCGCTACCCTTCTCATCCGATAACATATGATTGCAAATGTATTTATTTACATATTTTTCTTGCTTTTTTTTTTTTCCCCCTGACATTTAAATTTACAACAGAAGAGGGAAGAGGAGAGACCCAAGCGTTTGGGGTCCATGCCCTGAGCTCTCAGTAGGGGCAGGGAAGGCCCATTCAATGCTCACTCTCAAGAGAGATCCAGGTCCAGGGACATTAAACAAAACTCTGAAAATGGGTTGACATTTTGCTTATTCATTCGTTCATTGTCACAGCATTGGCAGGCACTGCTCTGAGTGCTCAGACAGAGAAGAAAGCTCTCCGGCCCCAGTTTCAGGAGCACATGCTAGCAGGGTGCAAATGCCAACCTGCAGTGCACCAGTGACTACCACAGTTGAGTCAGGCAATCTTTAGCTGTGTGCTCTTTGCCCCTCCATTCCCCTTACTTGCTGCCTTCCTAAGAGTCCATTTTGTCCATAACTGTATCCATAGCATATCAGAGAATGCCTCCTGGTACTCAGGAACCAGCTAGTGCAGAGTGAAGCACAGAGCAGACAGCCCGGTGCTGTGGGAGGGTTGGGGGAGAGTGACCCTGTGGGCCCCCAAGGCCGCGAGGGCTGTGCTGAGCCAGGAGGGGCCGAGGCTGGCTCCCCAGACCCCAGTGACCCCACTCCAATCATGCTTACCCTCTTGCAGCAGCCTACATGGGCACACGCTTTGAACGTGTCATCCCAGAGTGCAGGAGTCCCAGCAGGCAGCCATTTATTGTGGCCTAGAGCTTAACAGTGAGTAGGGAGAAGAAATAATGGTTGAAAAATGTTCTTTTCTCAGTTACAGTATGAATTGGCTCCATTCATTTCATGTGGAGATGACAAACCAAAACACTCCTTCTGAACAGCTGCGGGGCTATACCAGCCACACTTCCTGTAACTCGTACACATAGCAAGCAAGGGCGGAGGGCGGGCGTCCTTGGGAAGTTCTGTTGGCTGCAAAGAGCAGCACTTCCTAATAACGGCCCAATCTTCCCTGAGTTCCAAAGGACCAGGTGGAGTCAGCTGTCCTGACTTGCTAACTACCACTGGGATTTTGGAGAAAAGACTATCTGTGAAATAAGCAGGTATTTCTTTTGCTGACTGTTTGGTGGCCTCATTTTACCCTCATGACATTTTACACATTGTTACTACTGTCCCCACTTTACAGACAGATAATCAGAGGCTCGGAAAGGGTGTTATGGGCTAAACTATGTTCTGCCAAAATTCGTATGTTGCAGCCCTGACCCTCGGCATTTCAACTGTATCAGCAGATGGGGTCTTTAAGAGGTGAAGAAGTTCTCATTCGGTTGTTCAGGTAGCCCTAATCCCATCTGACTGGTGTCCTTCTAAGAAGGGGAGATTATGATATAGAGACCCGAGCGATGCACGCCCAGAGGAAAGGCCTAGTGAGGACGCAGCAAGGAGACGGCCATCTGCAGGGCAAGCAGGACAGCCTCAGCACCTTGGTCTGAGTAGCTGACACCCTGCCGCACCTCGGTCTCGGACTTCCAGGCTCCAGAGCTGAGAAAGATTTCTGTTGTATAAGACCCCAGTTGGCATCACTTTGTTTTGGCAGCCTGCACAGATCAATACAAAGGCTAAGAGTGTTTCCCGAGGTTGCCCCAGCGCGCACCAGGCAACCACACAGCATGTGCCAGCTAATGGCCCTGACACAAGAGTAGGGCCCACATGGTGACAGTATATCTGAGCAGGCACACGGACTGGCTCTAGACAGCCTGGGAAGGTGACGTACCTGAGTGGACACACGGACCAGCTCTAGACAGCCCGGGAAGGTGACATGCCTGAGCAGAAGGTGACACGCCTGAGCGGGCACACAGACCAGCTCTGGGCACCTCGGGAAGGTGACATGCCTGAGCAGAAGGTGACACAGCTGAATGGGCACACAGATCGGCTCTGGACAGCCTGGGACGGTGACACGCCTGAGCAGGCAGACGGACCGGCTCTAGACATCTCAGGAAGGTGACATACCTGAGCGGGCACATGGACCGGCTCTAGACATCTCAGAAAGGGGACACACCTGAGCGGAAGGTGATGCACCTGAGCGGGCAAACGAACTAGCTCTAGACATCCCGGGAAGGTGACATGCCTGAGCAGAAGGTGACATGCCTGAGCAAGCATACAGACTGCCTCTAGACAGCCTAGGAAGGTGATGTGCCTGAGCAGGCACGTGGACTGGCTCTAGACATCTCAGAAAGGTGACACACCTGAGCGGAAGGTGACACGCCTTAGCAGGCATGCAGACTGGCTCTAGACAGCCCAGGAAGGTGACACACCTGAGTGGGCACATGGTCCAGCTCTTGACAGCCCGGGAAGGTGACACTCACCAGGAGAGGACAAAGGAAGGGCAGGAGGTGTGTCTGGCTTCATCCCTCAGATCCTGGAAGACCCATGAAGAGAAGTGAGAAGGTGAGGGGGTAAGTGACTGAGAGCCACAGCTGCTCAGAGACACTCACTCTCGGGTCAGCTGTGCAAGCCTGGAGTGAAGAATTGCCCTTCGAAATGGAGGGCAAGCAGGGCCAGGCCTGACCTCACTTGCCCAGGGTGGGGGTGGGGGGCAGCCACCACTGCCCGCACTCAGCAGTGCCATTCTCTAGTCCCCTTGGTTTTCCTAACTATACGATCAGACGGAGCTGCTGGATTCCACAGGTCTCCGACACAAGGAGACACCTAGCCCGAAGCGCCACTGCCTTCACAGACTGTCACTGCATGCCAGGTCGAAGCCTAAAGCTCCCTGTGCACATTCAGCAGATGAAGCAGAAGAGATGAGCTTTGCCTTGTAGCTCTGGTCGTGTAAATCATATTCATCTTCTAGGGCATTAGAAGTCCTGGCCTTAAAACCAAGACATTATCTCAGAGGCCAAACCAAAGTCAAGTGTCCCCACGTTGGGGTCGTGCTGTGGTCAGCTGGCTAACACAGAAAGAGCTCTGTGTGTCTCTCACAGCACATGGGTTGACAGAGAAACATCCTGGGGGCAAGGCCAGATTCCATTTCCAAAATCACCAAGGCCAGCCCCGCAGACCAGAGCAAGGCAGGAGCTGTGGGCACCGTCAACCCTAACACTGGTAAGACCAGCTTTTTAAATACACATTGGGCCATGAATAATATTTAAATGCATTGCTTTAATACAAATAAACACCACCTTCTGATGAAATTTTCAAAAAGAATCCTGTTTTCCAGAAAAGGAAACAGGCATTACTGCTGCTCACTGTCCTCAGAGAAGAGTCAGGGTCCCCGGCCAGGTGTGCGGCACGGAGGGACCACAGCCGGCCAGCCATGTGTGGGTCTAAGATGCAGACTGTACCATACATCAAAAGGTGTTAATGGTTTCAATATTTATCTGCTGCAGGGAAGCACTCTAAAAAGAAGACAGAAAAAAAAATTCTGCTAATGGCTGTGTCTTTGCCATTAAAATGAAAAGCTTAATGCATCTTATAATCAGAGGACAATTTGCAAATCATTAAGAGAAATGTAAAATTCCATTAAAATACAAATCAAGAGACTCTCCCTGGACTAATAATCTTTTTGATATTATTTTGCATTTCACTATTTCTGTTCCAATACCCAGGTCCCACAAATGATCAGCTACTGAACACGCTATTTACCACAGCCTACTTCTTTAACGAGAGACTGGGAGAAGGATGATCTGCTATTCAGAGCAGGTACTAATGAAGAATTCCATATATTCTGAAATTTAATTAAAACCCCAAAGATTTCAAATTAGATGCAATTTGAAATGCCTGGGGCAGAAATACATGCACTTGCGTGGCAAGGGTATCACACTGAAAGTTGATACCGTAATTGGTCTTGATGTATTTTTGTGTTGCCGGGCTGAAGCACAGAACTCATAACCATATAAAAATTCTCTGTAGATTACCTGCTCATTGAAAATGCCATCACTCAGGTAGTCCTCTACTAAATTACCATGCTACTAAAATGCACAAAGTGATTCGGAGAGTGGAGCGGCACAGCTGGCCGACGCTGCCAATGAGTTATGCATGCGTCAATGCGGCCTTTTTTCTTAGTAAAATATGCTCAGTTGAATATTAAAATATAATTGGCATTCAACCTAAGTAGCTTAAACCATTTTGTTATCTTCTTTTAAACCGATTTGGCTCCTTCACAGTTATTTTCAAGGATGCGATTCACAAACTAATGATACCATCACATTCAGCTAGATTTGTGCTGTTTTACATTTGTCATAAATAGGTACAGTTTCTACAGCCTTCTAGGGATAGCCTTTAATATCAGCTGCTCTTGAACATCAAAGGCCCAATTCTTGGGGAAAAGCAGGGGAATGTGCCATTTCTGTTGGTTCTTGCATATTTTATTCTGAAAAGAGGAAGAGACGCGAATTTTCTATGAAAAGTATATGTCTTGGGCAAGCAGTAAGTCCTGACGTGTCTCTTGAGCTCGGTTGCTAGGTCTTACTAAAACCATCTAAGTGAGGAAAGGCTGAAGAGAAAATCAGGTTGCTTGGCAGGCGGGGGATCGCGGAGCCCAATCCAGAAAGGAATGTGCATTTTTAAAGAAAGCAGACAGTGTGGGCACACACATCCACACGTGGAAGACTATGGACAATTCCCCTTTCTTACACAATATGTGTTTGTGCAACAATTAAAAACAGTACTCAAGAAAAAAAAGTCGTTGTCATAGTAACAGCTACACTGTATATATTTACTGGCGGAGAGGGTGGGCTCGCCAGAGTGGGTGCTTCCTGGGCGTTACCAATACCTAACCTGAATCTTTGGAAGGGCAGAGAAGGCCTGATCCGAACTAAACGGAGTCAAGTGTTTAAGAGCTTTCAAAAAAGGACTTTCTTTTCCTCGATTTCGTTCTTCAATTTACTTCTTTGGGAGTAACTTCTTGTATGGAATTAAAACGTGCTACAGAGCTGGAGACGTTCCGGCTGAGCCTCCAGGAAGTCTGCTCTGTCTTGAGGATGTTCCCATCTCCACGCGGCCTCAGAAGCTACACTGACCGCCGCGTACCTCCAACAGGAGGGAGGAGTTCCCTCTACGTAAATATTTGCTTTTTCCATTCTGACACATGAAACAACATATAAAGAGGGACAGAGACTCATGAATCTTATATTCCGAGTCAGCCTGAACATAAGGATTGCAGGCAAAAACCGTATGTGTGAAAGCATTTACATTAAGTCATAGTTCTTACACTTTCAGCTCCTGCAATAGTTTTTCAGCATTATCACTATTAATTTTATACTAATATTTACACATTTAACGTATTGATAACATAGTCCAATTCTATGCACACGTTATTAAAACATCATTTTCTCTATAAACACAGGTAGTGGAGATAATTCTACTTATTATTGCTGGAATTATTTCAAATGCACGAACATTACCTGTAAAACATGAATGTGCATTTATGACGACAAAAGAGACGAAGGTTAACATTCTCTTTTGGAGCGGCACATGTCCAGCTAATGACTACAGTGGAAATAGAAATTTAGAAACATATTTAAGTGAAAAGTGTGTTTTTTACTTTAAAACAGAGAGAAAATTCCTATTTTTCAAAGCCCATTTAAAATGAAAATTTATTAAAGGAAGCAATGATGCAATTTACATTTCCTCACAGGCAGAAACCTGGTTACTTCTACTTTTTGAGAAGTCCACTCAAGGCCAACGCCAGGACACTGCGGAAAATCCTTCTAAAGGCATTCACATAATTACGATGACTTAATTTTTAATAGAAGCCATCACTGATTTACTGTTTAATTACTTCACCAGAGTTAAATTATATTTTAATGTGAATATTTTCCCATAAAAGCAGCACTCATAATAATTTTACATATTACAAGTCCTGCTTATTGTAGTAGAGACCCTCGTTATGTCCACCAAGGTTTGGAAGTGGCTGACTCTCAAACAGTCCTCTTGGTTCCCTCTCAGGCTTGGTAAA
This sequence comes from Homo sapiens, assembly GCF_000001405.40. Taxonomy (NCBI): domain Eukaryota; kingdom Metazoa; phylum Chordata; class Mammalia; order Primates; family Hominidae; genus Homo; species Homo sapiens. The sequence continues at coordinate 129,715,050 of NC_000010.11, read as the reverse complement.
TTACTCTGTGTGAGGGCTGCTTCCTTTACCCCCGACTCACGGAACCTCAGGGAACTAAGGACCTGGCCACCTCTTACATTCAGGATAAAACTCTCACCTAACTATGCTTCTGCTACAGGCATTGTGGGATCGCTGATTAGTCAGAGGGCTCTGCACAGGGACATCATGAATTTCCTGGGATTCAGCAGGCTGTGGTTCTGTTCCAGCCACTGCCAGTGGACCAGGAGCCGAGCACCCCTTTCCTAGGAGAGGGGCTGGCATTTCCTCAACGGCAAAACATTCCTTCAATGCGCACAGTTTTTAAGTCTCAAACAAAAATAGCTATTAAATTAGGAATGTTAGGCTTAGTAGAGGGTAAAGCACACAGCAAAAGCATTCATAGGAGCTACATCCATTTTGATAAATTCCTTTAGAACAATAATTCTCAGAAACAGGGTATGTGTGTGCGTGTGCCCATGCTAAGGTTTTAGTGTATCTTGAGGAGGGGTAAGAAGTATAAAAATTTATAGGTAGAATATTATAAATGAAATGTCTAGAGGATTCTGATATAAATCCCCCAACCCCATTGAATGAACTGAGATATGAGTAACTTGAAAAAGGAAAGTGCTTGAATGAATCATTGTTGAAACTTTAAAAACTCTCTCCTAGCCCAAGATGTTGTTCATAGTATAAACAGCAAGAAAGTACTCATGACAATTGCTAGGTAGGAAACTGCATATTCAAATATGAAACAATGAACTAAGACACAATCTGAACCTCAGGTTCTTTGGCCCATGAAATTCACCAATATGCCAGAGTATAGCTGGTCAGCCAAGCTCAGGAGCTGAGAGTGGTGTGCTTCGCTGTTACTGGGCTGGCCTGGCCAGGCAGTCCACGGGGCCAGCCCGTGCAGGCAAAGCCCGGGCAAACCAGGAGAGCTCGGGGCGCCTAGGGGCTCTGCGGGCATGCCCTGCTGAAACCAGGCTTTTGGATGCTGGGGCTGCGAGCCCCCAACCTGGAGCAGCTCTCAACAGCATTCTGGATTATCTGACATTCTTGTTCTGCTGAGGGGCTGGAGGTGATGCAGGTATTCAAATGAGCCAGGACGGGTGACGGGAGCCCACTCACTGGGAAGGGAACAGCATCAATGGGGACTTCCCATGAAAGTCAGGCCGTGTGCCGGCAGATGAGACCCTGGGAACTAGTGGCATGCTCCTCCAGACAGCTCTGAAAGGGAAGGACATTGGCGGGGATCTGGTCTTCTGGACCCACAGGGGATGGGTTCTTGGGAGGCAGGGCTGGTGTAAGTAAACGTCCCCAGCTCAGAAGACCCCTCACCACCTCCATCCCCACCAGTGCTCACTCTACCCTTGTTTCACACACATCCTGCACTTTCACTGATCTCTGCCCTATTTTTGCTTTTAAACATTCCAGCTTTTCTCTTTGTGTCAAGTTTCTGAACCACAGAAATGCACTGGGCTTTCCTCTCCATGGTAGAAATGACAAGTGTTCCTGGTGGCGGCCCCGGTACTCATTCCAGACATCGGACAATCCTACTGGCCACCTGGAAACCCGCGGGCCTGCCATCCACTCTCAGCTGTGGATGGGTTCTTCTTCTTTTCACCTTTCCTGGTGAAGGTTCCAGAAGGCCACAGATCTTGATTTCCACATTTGCTCTCCAGAAAAGGAGCACAGCAGCCCTAAGGCTGAAAGAATTACATTTTTACCAGCTGTTTTTTCCACTTAAGTGCAGTGTTGTTAGCTTGTTCTAATCAATAAACGGGCATCGGAAGAAGGTTTACAAACCTTCCAGCTCCACCAGGTAATATCTCAGCAAGGTCAACAATATTTATGAGCCCTCGTTTAAAATCAAGGGGAACAGCGGTGGCCACCCACACGTGGTGGCAAATGCATCTCCTATTTTAGCTATTCTCTTCTCTTTCAATTGGTAATTTTTTTCTTAAGTTCAGGGAAAATATCGGTACAAAGTGCTGAAAGGACAAAGCCTGCGTGCTGCCGTGATCTATGTGGAAGCTACAAGAAAAACATCCCCTCTTGGCTGCAGTGTCTCTGTAGAAAAACTCAGGCTGGATCACGACTTATAAGGCACATTTTAAGAACACCCAAACGGGCCCTAGGACCCTCGGGTGAGGAGGGCTAATATGCCTCTTTCCAGGGGAGGCCATCTACTTGGGCACCCATCAGGGGTGGGCTCTTTCCTGGATGTGAGTAGGCAGCAGGATGGGGTTGTAGGGGGCTGGATGAGCCTTTGCTTGGCTCTTCAAGAAGGATTTCTAATCTTAAAGGGCTGGCTCCGGTGAGGACCCAAGTAATGACGCCACTCTCTTCTCCTCTCCTCCCTCGTCATCCTCTCCCGGGACATGCCCCTTCCAGGACCCAAGCAGTCCTCACTAGAAGCACCAGCAAAGAGGGCCCATCTTCCAGGACACGGTGGGAACCTTAACGAATTCACCCTGAAGGCCCTTTCCCTTAACTCTGGGGCAGGGCTTTTGTTAGAGGCGCTTTTGAAATGAGGAATTCGATGGAGACACAAAAATACAAAAATATGAATCCTTTCTGAGGCTCTATAATAGAAGTTACAAAAACTTACTTCTACCAGCAGGTGTTAAAAAAGGGAGATTTTACTGCTGTCATGCAACTGGATTTCATAGCTGTAAGCCAATAGCTGTGACGAAGGAATTATTAAAGTGTTAAATATTTCATTTAAAAGGGAACATTGCAGTCACTTTACAAAGAAAACTCAGAACTCGTCCGTTGAACACCTTCAACTGTGAGAAGGCTGGGGTCCCAGCTAGGCTCCCCACAGTCTCGCGTGGGCAGCCCCAAGGCCTGGTCCTGCCTTGGCAGGACCTCCCTCAGCAGCCTGGGGTCAGCCATACCTGCTGGCAGGGTTTCCATGGGTGGGAGGGCTCAGGGACCTGAGGACGTGCCCAGATGGGTTCTGTATCTGAAAGTCCATCCTCGCTTTCCGTAGGTCTGCTTTTCTTGAACTCATTGTAAAAAGCTGCTTTTGGCAAACTAAGGTAGAAAGGATTTCTTGTAGCTGCATTGGCTGCTGACCCCTACAGCTTCTCCAGAAGGCACATTATATAAAGAAGCTAAACATTTTCATAAATAAACACTAAGAAATCAGGGAGTGTTCAAAGTTTAAATGATATTTCATTATAAAAGAAAAAAGTAAAAATGTATTTCAAAAATAATGGCTTCATTAAATAAGTATTTCTTGAGGAAAAATGAATTAGAAATAAATACAAAGCTGACCCTTGCGAGAGGCTTATGGGAAAAAATTACCTCCTTAAAAAGCTACGTTGTACGACAAGATGCTAGCCCTCGGTCACACAGTAGCTAGAAAATGGATTTTGTTGACACTTTAAAAAAACCAGAATAGCAAACCAAAAAAGCCAAAAAACCCCAAACCAAGAAAACTTTGACTAATTTTATTTTAGGAAATGACCTGACTAAAACAACACTTGAACGAGAAATTAGAATATGCTTCACTGGACAGCTCAGCTTTCCTCTTAATCCCTTCAGCAGAACAATGAGGCTTCCTTCCAGAGCCTCAGCGCCCTCCCACTGGGAAATCCCACCTGTCCCAACCTCACAATGAGGCAGCCCCGGGGACCTCCGGACACCCGGTCGGGAAAGGCAGCTTCACTGTCCCTTGGCAGAAATACTTCAACAGCTACCTAGCTACTAACCTGTCTTTGGAAATTCCCCAAGATAAGAAGTTGAACCATCTGAAATTTCTGGTATTTGATAAGTTTTAACCTAAAAAATAGCAATTTCATATGGTTCAACGTAATGCATATTTTTGTGGTTAGCCTTAAAAAGCAAATCACAAACAGCATGTTCGTTCCAGAGAGGAATCCTGGAAGGTGAGGTGGTACCGCGAAGAGGCCGTGTGCAGGAGAGAGGGTCTTTCAGCAGCAGGACAGGCCTGAGGAAGGGATGAGGGCTTGGTACTGCGCAGTCAGAAGTTTTACCAGCCAGGCCTTCAGAAAGAAATGGTCAATGTGCTGGAACTCAAGGATGAGCTCAAATACAATCACATTTTTAAAAATGTTGACATAGACAAACCAGGTTGAAATAGATAAACCTGGTCTCAATCTCAGAAGTGAGACTATGGTGAAAAATGATATGCAAAAGTATGTTAAACATATACAGAAATTAAAATGTGCAGAAAAAGGAATTGGTCAAGGAAATGTTCATTCCATGTTACAATGGACCCGCTCCTCTCAGTCTGCAAAGCAGGTTGATTTCTGTTACTCCACAGCTTCCAGGCGGCTCTGAGATGTCAAAAGACTTTTCCTCTAGAAGACCTGCCCCCTCACTGTTGATTTCACTGATGTTACAAGATAACAACCTGGACAGAGAGCAAACCAAACTCATGCCAGACAGAGAGGGGCGTATCCACATCTGGGAGAACCAATTAACTCCCTGTTAGCAACCATCCACCATCCACCTCCCCTTCTTCAAACAGTAAAATCCATACACCTGGCCCCTGCCCAGGAGTAAACGATTGAGCTAAATGTTAAAAACCTGGCTTACACATGCTGTGGTGGGGAATCCCAGCCCCCACAGCAACCACTAACCATCCGCAGGCAGGCCTGGCCCAGGGGACTCCAGCCCCTACCCTCGAGAGAAGGCCCTGAGCTCAGCACCCTGGGTCTGCAGCCAGCCTCAGAGTTCTAGAACACCAAGAGAGAAGGATGTGAGCGGCTGTCGCACTACCATCCCAAAACTTGGCTGGAGTGGACCTCGTCCCAGCTAGAGGTATCCACCCGCACTGTAGGGCTTTCCAAGAGGGGCAGGGCCACGGGGGAGCCAGACAGCCTTTACCAGTATCCTGGCGGCTACTCTGAGGTCTTCCTGGTCACCAAGACCTATCATGACCTGCCAGCCCAGGAAGCAGCCTGGCCTGGCGTGGGCTGAAAGCCAGGGAGGCAGGGGTAGGTGTGGCCAATCCCAACTCTGCTTAAGCACTAGGGACTTGACTGAGAAGCCCCAGGGGCCCGCCTGTCCTCGGCTCTAGGAGCAGCAAACACTGCCATGGGCAGAAGTGAGGGGGAAAAGGCTCAGCGGGGGTTCAGTGCTTGCAGGGGTGGTTTGGAGAGTGTCTGATTATTTCCGGTGCCACCTTCCTTGCTGGCCACTCCTGCCCTGGAGCTCCTGTCAGCAGCTGCGGAGGCCTCCTCCTCCGGTTCTTCCTGGCCTGCCTGAGAGCACACCACTCTCTGGACCCTGGTGAGACCAGGCCAGCAGGGTCTAGCTCCATGGCCAGGGCCACCATATGACTTGGAGAAAACTAACGATTTTCATGGAACTTTTGCCCCTATGTTTTTCATGAAGTTGCCCAACAAACCTTAGGTAAACTTCAGGGGTTTGCAGGCTCATTCTCCCAGCCTCCATATGATTATGCAGATACCTCCTGCCCTGGTTTTGTAAGAGAACTTTTCTGTCCTGAGACCTTACATTTCAGCTCACATATTTCACAGGCTTAAGGAGAAGAAAAGCCTCTGGACAGCTCTTCAGCCTTGCTCCTCCTGGCAGGCGAACCCCCAAAAAGAGATCGTATAGAGAAGAGTTCACCACTCTAAGATCCCCAAGCCCCAACTTTAATAAACAAAACCAATCTCTGACTTCCTTGGGCCATTCAGCAACATCCTGCCCTGTGCCCGGCCCATCAGGTGCACAGTGAGCAAGGTCCCCCACACCGTCTAATTGGCTCACTGGCTTGTGGCGCTGGGGAGAGGTGGCCCCCAGCTGGCGGCAGCCCAGGAGGCTTTGGTAGTGCCTTTGTCCTGGCAGCAGCCCATTGGTGGGCAGAGATGATGAGAGGTTTCTTGGACGTTTGTGGTTCCATGTAAAGGCCCACCCACTCTAGCTTCCTATCTGCCCATCCTAGAGATCCCCACTGAACCCTTCTGGAGACAGTTCTGTATGATTCAGAGGACAGCAAGGTGCCTGGTTCATTATAGCTGCACAGCTTCAGTTCATTATGCACAAAACGTGCTCATGACTTCATATGTTCGCCTGTCTGACTTGGTTAGTGAACTCAGGTATTAGCCCAACCTTCAGGGGTTTCTTTACCTGCTTCCCTTGAAAAGTTCTCTCCATTTTCAAGTTTGTTTTGTGCTGAGAAGCACCGCAGCAATTAGAATACTGTTAAGCTTACCCAGCAAATCTGATCTGAAATTCAAAATTGCTTTAAATTCACCACATCTAAAATCTCAAGGTAATTTTTCCCTTTAAGGATATATAAGTGTACAACTCCATATATACATCATATATGAATATATGTTCATTTATACACAAAAATGATTATGAAAAACTCACTATGCAAAATAAATTTCTGGCATGTGTCTGGAATGATTTTAGTTGCTGTAATTAATTTCTGTATTGAGCAGAGCCAAACACAAGCTTTAAAAGAAATGTCTGGGAAATGTTTTAGATTATCACAAGCCTTAAGCAGGCTACATACAGGTAAGTTCTCAAGTCATCTCTTAAGAAAGAATATGTCTAACTCTGGTACGTTTGAGAAATTAAATGTAAAATTATTTGAGAAGCTCCAATGCTGCTACCTGCTATGATGTAAGTGTCACCAACAGAGTGTATGGAAATAGCTAAATGTCCACGCACAAGTCTCGTTTTCTGTGCTGTTGGCAAGCAGATAGTTGAAGTTCACAATAAGCTTATTGAAAAATTTACTGCCATTCAGATGTGTTCCTATTTAAACCTTTCAGCCAGCGAGAGTCAAGAGTCGATCTGCATGCTTCATTTTTATTGCCTTTGCCAAGAATTATGCAACCCTGTGCCAAAACTAACACAAGTGTTGGAGTGGGTGGAGGCGGCGAACCCCCGTCCCTCCAGCTCGGCCAAACGCTGCCTCTGTTTAGCTGATGTAAAAATACCAAGTTGGTATACTCAATAAAATGAACTGTGATGTCAGCGATCGTTAATAAGTCAAGCTCCCCAAAGGAAACACCGCAGATGGCTTAGTTACCGACCTTGCTGGAAAACGGGATGGTGAAGAGCCGGCACGGGGAACTCTTCGATAGCCTCGGGCTGGTGGAAATAGGCATTCAGCCAGGCTGTGCACTGCATCAGGGGCTCCGGACCTCCGAGAACCGCAGCGGGGGCTGGGACCTCCACGGCACTGCAAAAGTGAGAACAGGGGCTTAGTAAACCTCTGGGCCCTGCCTCCACACATCGGAAAAGCAAACACCTACTGCATCTAAACGGGCAAACACCTGTGGCTGCTTCATGGGCACACACGTCTCAACTAGCTGTGCAGCAGAAAGGGGGACTGGTGAGGCAAGGACGCACCGAGGCCCCGCAACCACTCTCCACCTTCAGGCCTCCCAGGACGTGTGTTCTGAGAGTCTGCATCACAGCGCAAGGCAACCCAAGTGACAGTGTCCCTTTGTAAGACTTACAGATGGCACGGCTGCACCTAAATCATCAAGCACTCACTATTGAAAACAGTTCCCAGAAATATCGACACAGTCATTAGACTGCACCACACGGCCCACCCCACCCCGAGTCCAACAACGCAAGGCCACATCCACGCGTTCTGCCTCCTCCATGGCCGTGTGCTGTGTTCAGGGGATTCCTCAGGGTTTACCTGCAGTCCCCTGATTCCCACGCTCCAGAGGGCCTACTCTGTGTTTCCTTCATCGGTGAGTCTGTCCTCTCGGGGGCAGCCCTGTGCCTCGTGTGCCTGTGTCTACTTGGTTCTTTCTCAAACCTTCCTGGTGTTTGTTTGTTTGTTTTGAGACGGAGTTTTGCTCTTGTTGCCGTGGCTGGAGTACAATGGCTCGATCTTGGCTCACTGCAACCTCCATATCCCGGGTTCAAGTGATTCTTCTGCCTCATCTTCCCTAGTAGCTGGGATTACAGGCGACTGCCACCACGGCCAGCTAACTTTTTGTATCTTTAGTAGAGATGGGGTTTCTCCATGTTGGCTTCATCACGTTGGCCAGGCTGGTCTCGAACTCCTGACCTCAGGTGATCCGCCCGCGTGGGCCCCCCAAACTGCTGGGATTAAAGGTGTGAGCTACTGCGCGGCCCTCTTGGTTCTTTCTGGACACTCTCCTCCCTTTGATTTCCTGCAGTTTGAACCTGTACCTCTGGGAGTCGCTTCAGACTGTTTTGTGGCTGCTTCTGTTTGGGGTGTTCATTCATCTGTGGCTTCGACCTGGTGGGCCCTCATGGAAAGGATTCCCCATCTCCAGCAGGGGTGGATTTTCTGGGGCTGTGTTCCACGGACTGAGGACATGGCCCTGAAGGGGAGGTCTCCCGCTGCCACCTGGGGCTGTGGAGTGCATGACACATCCCGTTGTGATTTCAAGTGCTGTGGACCCCCGTGGGAAGCCCTGGCCCTGGGTCCGATTTCTTCAGGTGACTCCCTTCCTTCCTTCCCTGCCTCTCGAGGCCCCAGACAAACGGCATGCTTCCCCGGGACTTCCCAGGCTTGGAGCACGGAAGTTTTCTAGTTTCCTTCTGCAGACAGTGCTGCTCCTCAGGCTTCTGTGAAAAGGTGGGAAACGTCACTGCACTGTGGATGCTGTGGACGCACAGCTCCCGCGGGCCCTTCACCCTTCCTTCCTGGGCTGCCTTGGGGGGCGTGCGCTGAGATCTACAGAATGTTTCTCCTCGACACACCCATGCTGCTCTGGGAGGGTCCCAGTGAAGGCTTCACTTGCCTGGACATGTGGCCCAGCACAGGCGGCCGATGCAGCCGGGAGCACCGTCCCAACTCTGTCCACACAAGGTATGCACGGCCAGTCCATGGAGAGGAGGCAACAGAGCCATCCCGGACGTAGGACAGACAGTGTGAACGTAGACGCAGAGTGGAGGCCTCGGGGACTGAGACTCACAGAAAGGTGGGCAAGGACTGTGCGTGTCAGGGCGGGAAGGGCACTTTGTCCTATGAGTGCGGCCCACAGTGTGACTGGTGGGGGCTGGGGGCCCCTGGCAAGAGGCAGAAGGCACCGCAGCTGCCCTGACGCAGGGCTGCAGCAGTAAGAACATGGCAATGGTGCAGGGAAGAGCTGGAGGACCATGAAGCTGGGGTCAGGGATGACTCTCAGCTCCAACCCCAGCTCTGTGCGGATTCAGCCTGTCTGCCCGGCCCTGTGTGGATGGGGCTGTTGCCCTGGCCCCGTGCTGATTCTGCTGGTCTCCCTGGCCTTGTATGAATGAGGGCCTGTCTCCTGGGCCCCGTGCAGAAGGGGACCTGTCTCCCCAGCCCTGTGTGGATGGGGCCTGTTGCTACCGCTGGTGTCCAGGAGGACCACAGCCCCGGAGCTGCAAACAACTGGCATTTCACTTTGTATCACAGAATTGGAGGCTGTTTTAGAAAAGAAGATGTAGTCACAACTTCTTAAAACACCTTCACACAAAGAGCTCAGATGATCTCTGGAGCGATTAGTTCTCGCTTTTCCTGTGAGGTAAAAACCAAGCTTGTACAAATCTGAATAAAGTCAAAAGTACATAATGAGGCAAGAGATAAAAGGAAGCCGAACACCTTCCTTATAGTTAAAAAGGTTTCCTCTCTTATGCAGTTAAAGCGGAAATAAAGATAACTATAGCTTACACGTCTAGTTAAACAAACACAGCCTTTCGTGTTTTGGGTTTGTGTTAAAGATGATACAAATTACTTTGGCTTAAAGTGTACTGTGGGCGGAAATACCCTGGCACATCCATTCAGAAAAGAAACCAGGGCCTCAGCAGCACGAACCTCTTTTGCATTCCATCTGGGATACTCACATTTTAACAAGAGACAATTAAAAACGGCAAAGCTGGGATCTAAAGTTCTGGAGCTTCTGCCTGAGTAAATGCCTATGGTGGCGTTTCCATTTCCCCAGAAGACAGCAGACATGCCCAGGGGCACACACGGCCATGGGCCTGCGTCTGCGACATCTACAGTGCGTGGTGACACCATGACCAAGCCCACGGGGCGGCAGGGAGAAGCTAAGGAGAGGCACAGAACTGCACCCGTGTTGTTATTTTCGTGTGGAGCGGTGCTTGCCTTCCATTGTTGGGGGAGATGTGGGGGAAAGAGACCCAGTGAAGGGTGTGTCCAGGGTTACTTCGCTTTGAGGTCCTGCAGGTGCAGAAATGTGCATGTCATCCGACAGCAGGGGCGGCGACGGAAGACCTCGGGCCAGTCTCACACGCTGTCCTGTGCTGGAGGCTGGGTCTCTGGGCTGGAGCATTTTGTGGGTGTAAAAGTCTCTGCCGAGATCCTCGGGTCTTTCTAAAAATGGACCTTTTTGGGTGAGATGCACATAGGGGCCCCCATACACTGTTTTTCACGGTGGAGCAGGAGGGTGGTCAGAGGTTTCCAAGCACACAAATCCTGACGGTTTTAAGGAAGGAGCCAGAGAATGAAGGGAAAAAGAAGGAAGCTCACTAGGATGACCGACAGCCACGGATAACTGTGACCAGCAGTCGGACCTGTGAACCAAGCCCAGCAGAGCCGGCTAAATTACGCTGACCCCGTGGACACTGCGGCCAGACAGAACATGCCCCGGTCTTCTCCAAACTGCCGCCTTACCCAGATCCCTGCCCAAGGGAACTCACGCAGACAGTGCCCTCATTCAGCCCAGTACCCTTAATACACAGGCTGAGGTCTCCACAGCCCAAGCCACTGCCTGGAAACCCTTGTCGGTCCCGTCACAAAGAGGCCCTGGGGGAAGCCGGGCTCACTCTGCAGGCAGAGAATGGGCCTGCCGAGCAGGCAACGAAGTGGCCTCTCTCAGAGTTTCCTTAGGGCATGGGAGTGCTGTCTTTTCACTGCCCAATTTCCTTCCCCGTTAGTGAGGTCTGGCCACGGAAAGGAGAACTTCTGCTTGGCTTAAATATTATTCAATTTCAGAGACACACCTTCAGTCATTCAATTCTTGCTCTGCTCTTTGCTAACCGAATAAACAGTGTACTGATGCTATCTAAGAAGAACGATGGAGAAATATGTAATGTACTTTGCTGTCCTGATCCCTGGGGAAGGCGGCCGAACAGAGGGGTGGAAGCCCTGTGCAGTGAGGGTTAGCCCCGGCTCCCTCCTGAGTGATGCAGAGCTGGCTGCTGTCAACCACCACTGCCCAGACAGGAAGAGCAAGCGTGATGGGGCCCATGTGCCCCGACCTTCAACTGAGGAAACAAAACCCCTGATCAAGCCACCTGGGCCTGGCACCTCCTGCAGCAAGAGCTCAGCTGACATCTCCTTCAGGGTTCGAGGGATGGGACAGGAAGGGGCTGAGGCGCTGGGTGAGGGTCTTGTCTCCTGCACTACCTCTGCTGGTGTCATGAGCTGGCGTCCGTGGTGGCACCTGGGGCTGCAGGATTTGGGCTCCGAAGCAAAGGTGCCCCCCCGGCGAGGATGGAGTGGAGCACAGGGGCTGCCGTTTCAGTGGTGGGTGAGTTGTACGGTCCCCGGGTAAGACTGGGATGTGGGATTGGTTGGCGAGGCATGCACCTCAAGGTCAGGGTTAGTCTTCAGGACTAGCGGGGTCTGGCTGGCCATCACACCCCGCAGATGGGGTTTCTCAGGGAAGCGAGGGTACACTGTGGGAGAGGGGGCATTCTACCACGAGAGCTGGGAGGTTCTGTGCCCCCAGCAACTGCTCAGACTCCAGAGTTAGGATTCCTTCATCACCCCTGAGCAAAACGGGGTGCACACCAAGCCTCTGCCCACGCGGGCGTCCTTCTCTCATGCTGCTGAGGGAATTGAAATGTGAGCTGGCTTTCCTAGCAGTTCCCACTCTTAAAGGGATATTTGAAGAATTTTTATAGTAGTAAAATTCATCTTAAATTGATTTTTTATGCTTGTGCTGAAGATCTCAACCTCTGATTTACTCTGTAGTTCTCCTTTTTAACTCTTTCTCTATTGGCATTAGATAACTATTCATGGGTGAAATGTAATTAAACAGCTTTGATTCTGAAGCAATGATTTATGATACTACATTTAAAATGAATGGCATTAAACACACACATAAAACCAGATTTTTAAAGCCATGACACAAATTTCCATTTCTACAGTAAAATGAAATTTATTCTCCTGCCCTGCCCTCTCCTCCTTCCCTGCCGCGCTCGGCCCTGGAAGAAGAGCTGGGGTGATGGCCTCTCTCACGGCGGCGCTTATCACGGGGGAGTTCCTCAAGCTTCCCCACTGGCAAACCCTGAAACACTAACAATTACGGGCTCCGTAGCCCACGCTCATGGAAATGCCACGTCCCAGTCTTCCCCAGGGGCCCTGCAACTCACCCACCACTGAAATGCCGGCCCTGTGGTCCGCCCCATCCTTGCCGGGGGAGCACCTTTGCTCGGAAGCCCAAATCCTGCAGCTCCGGGGGCTGCCACGGATGCCAGCTCATGATGCCAGCAGGAGCCAGTGCAGGAGACAAGACCCTCACCTGGTACCTCAGCCCCTTCCTGTCCCATCCCTCAAACCCTGCAGGAGACAAGACTTTTGCCTGGCACCTCAGCCCCTTCCTATCCCATCCCTTGAACCCAGCAGGAGACAAGACCCTCTCCCAGCATTGGTGGGGAAACACTCAGAGCCCATCAGAGTCGCACCTCCCCTAGGCCTCTCCTAGGACATCACGTGTCACCCACAGAATAATCCCGAGGCAAATATCATGACACTGGTGGCTTTCACTTTCTTTGACTTGGCACGAGAGGATGGTGGCTGGTGGGTGAAGCAGCCCAGCTTTGCTGGGCGTGTGTACATGTGACAACAGGGCGTCGGGCACCTTAACACAGCAAAGCTAGAGCCATGTGGACCTGGCTCAAGGATTTCTTTAAGAAAAACACAACTGTTGGCAATGCCAGGGGTTCCTTAAAATCAAACCGGACAACACTGACCTGCCCTGGGTAGAAGCTCCCGGGGCTGCGGCAGACTGGAAGGCCCCGGTGATATTCTCCCGGAGTTGCCGTCTGTGGGAAGCTGCCCTAACCCATTCGCCTTCCCCGGCTTGGAAAAACAATGTCCCAGTGATGAACTGCCTTGCAGATTTATTTTGATTTAAATCGCCTTCCCTTCAACCCAAACCAGGGCACAGAAAGGTGGTTAGAATGTTCCAGCACAAACTCATATGAGCACAGCAGCTATTCCAGGGAAAAGCGTCCTCCCTACCTGCAAGAAGCTTCCTTTCAAGACACTGATATTATCAAGAACGTGAAGGAAGAGTGGCAGCGGCCCACCTGAGGCACAGCAGAGCTGGGGGTGATGAGAGAAATTTAAGGGAAATGGCCCCTGTTGGACACGGGCTTCCTTTGACTGTGTGGGAATCCCACCTGGCCACAGACAAAGGGTAGAGGAAGCAAGTGCCCCAGGAGTCTTGATCTCAGCCCAGCTCAGCATGAGGAAAGCAGCAAGCAGGAAGAGTGAGTGTTCCTGGTACCACGGCTACCAGGCTCTTCCCAGTTTAGAGTGCTCAACATTCTAAAACTTGACCAGCCAGCTGGGAGATTTGGGTATTCAGATTTTTGGGTGCCTTAAGATTCCACTGGCAGTAGAGAATCACTAAATGTCCATTTCTGAATGAATTCTACTCCCCAGAGACATTAACACACGATGTACTTGGCTTGAATCCTGTTTGATTTAAGAAAATCGGCCAAGAGTCCTTCATAAGTTACTCACATCTGAGGCACCATCGGGCTGACCGTGGGACACTCCAGATGGGGAGTGCTGTGTACCCTCTGCCTCTCCTGTGACCCGAACACCTCCTCTCTCTCTCCATGGACGACGTTTTCATCTTATGGTCTGGGAATGCTACCTGACCACCCTGGAGGGTCACCCAAGGAAAGAGTTCGTTCCAAAGACAGGTGCTCCTCTGAGTTCCTCTGGAATCTGGCAAGGTGCCGAGCTTGGACGCAAGGCTTCCATGAGGCTGTGAAGGAGGTTGCACGGAAACTGGTGGGGATCTGAAAAGCTTTTAGTGGCCTCGCCACACACAGCACTTCAGATGCTCAGGTGATGAGCAACATTTTCCAAACCCAGCTAGTGAGCACCCCACCTCCTCTGGCTTCCAGAACCTGGTGTGGAGGGCCAGGAGAGGCTTCGGGACTGAAGGGCAGAGCAGCAGACTCCGGGGCTCATGTAGGAAGGAACATGCCTTCAGCCAAAGATTATCCACGCTGCATGGAGACTCTTGCTAAATATCACTGGTAAATGCACAATTATGTCCCATTTAGAGATCTCTAGCAGAGTGTCTTGTGTTTGATGGATTTGTCCTGCATTTAATTATAACTTCCTGCTAAAGCTCAGATGTTTTCTTTCAGGGGTAAGACTGAAGAAAAGAAATAAACTATGCTACCTGCTCTTAATAAAGATCATTTTATTTTAAACAGGAGGCTGAATAAAACCTTTTGACTCTGTATTTCAGACAAATGCAGTGGCTTAATTTCATTCAATCATTTACTGAGGATCTGAAATGCATGCGGTTAGTGGTGAGAATACTGACTCAGGGCTGTCCCTTCCTCTGGAGTTGACAGCCGACTGCGCAGGAAGGGAAGGTGAGGGTCAAACACACAGGTCAACATCAGAAACAGCACTTCCGCCTTCCATTGGCCCCGATGTTTCATGGAGGCCCCGAGGAGGCTGCGAAGGAACATGGCAGTGACTGCTCCGTGGCTCTGCGTGGTGGCCAGCAACTGTTTGGGCACTATGACCATGTACGTTTGACAAAGCGCATGCAATTATTTGAATATTCTATAGTTCTTTTAGGAAACTGAGTAGAAACGGAAAATTAAAAGTGCTGATGTTAGTAATAGGAAACATGGATCTCAACAGTGCAACTGTGGCAAAGATAAAAAACAAACGGCATGCCAACGGGCTCATGACAGACACAACCGCGGCCTTGCTGGTCTTGAGCTGCCGTTGCTGATGACGATGATGACGATGGCACTGACCACACACCGTGGGCTGTTCTCAGTGATTCATGCGCCACCCTACTGATTTCCAACGCAACCTCAAGAACAAGATGTGTTCAACTATGAAAGGAAGAAGTGAATAAACACGCACAAAACATCAAAAATATGCTTAAGTTTACGTAACAAACAATGACAGGTATGAGTAATGTATTTTTTTTTTAAAACTTTCTGGTACAAGAGGGCCTCCCACTTATCACAGGTGAGTCTACTGATTGACTGTTATGTGTTTAGTTGTAGGGCCTATTTTAAAGATGCATTCTGTACAAAAGGACATCATATAAGACAGGGAAGTAAGTGATGAGCACAGCCCATTCCTAGCGCAGAAGTAAACAGGAGGTCTTCCTGGAGAAGGACGGGTTCCATGAGTGCTTGCAGGAGGGCTGTGAGGAGCTCTGGCTGTCAAGTCAGCAGATCTTTACTGCACTTTTACTGTGTGGTTCATAATAAAGGTGGACATAAATCTCACTCCTTGCTTTTATGCCTTCAACCCCATCCCAAAATGAATCCTATGTTTATGATCCTATTATAGGCCACCAACGGGTTCATGTACTAATGTCAATAATGTGAAGAGGAGAAAGAGGCCATTTAAAATTAAGTTAGGTTCCAAGTTACTTTCTGGGTGGTCGTAGGTATCTTGCTAAAACTGGATACCGATTTTTAACCGGCACGCTATGCCCTCAATATCTGGGGCTCAAATTAATGTCAGATCCTAAACAAAACTGCAAAGGTATTTACCATAGTATTTTAAAACACCCACCAAAAATACAGAGAACACTTTATGTAAATTTTCAACTCTTCCCCATAAGGACTATATATATTTTTCTTTTTAAAAATAATTGATTCTTAAAAATACAGGAAATAATGAAAATATTTTTAAAAGACAACCCAAATAGTATACTTGGCAGATCAGAAAGCCTTAAAAAGCCTATTTACCTCCCCCCTCCAAATGTTCAAATCATTAAAAGGAAAATTGTATTTTATCAACATTTTAACATATCATTAAAAGTCTCTACTATTTGACAGATGAAGATAAAAACACCCCAAAACTATAGATGAATGATCAGGTCCCTAAAGATTCCAAAACAATTACAGGATGCAGAGCAATCTAGTTAAATTTTATTCAAAAGCTTACTGCACTTGTGTTTTCTTTTATTTTTCTATCAAGAAGCCCATGAGGCTTAAGCACAATTCATTATGTATGAGACCCCACTTGCGGTGCCTGACTGTTGATTAATAGCAAAGTTTGCTGTATGTACATTTGCAACATTAGATGCATACAATATGCTAACTTATTCTTTCACTGAAACTAATTATTTACAAAAATGACTACGTGAGACTACAATTTATTAAATGCATGCATCCAGTCTCAATTTGGCCCCTAAAGACAGCCTGGAATGAAGATCTTTTACTTGATGTGACAACTTCTAGAAACGCTATTATTAATATTGTAAATGTGGCAAATAAAGAGTTCAAATAGCCTTATGTCTGTGTTGCACATGCCTTCCACCACCACGGCAGTGAACAGAGCTGCTTTCTAACGTTTTACACACACATGAGGGCACGTTCTTCTTTCCCAGCTTAAATTAGTTGCTTAGAAATAAAGTGCTTGTATATCTGTAAAGATATAAACTTTTAAAGAGTCATTCCATTAGTCTAAACAAATTGTTGAAAACTTGCACAGAGTAGCTATTTCTCAAAGGATCTTTGAGGCTAGGCAACTGTGCATTATTAAACAGTTCTCTTCCCCAGCCCTAGAGAAGAAGCCACGTCGATCTATACACAGAGATCAACACTGCATGCCTGGACATGGGCTTCAAATGGGGCATCTGGTCAACCGCTGGTGTCTGTCATGCAAACGCTATGACGCACACAGCCCAGAGTAGCAACCGCCTGCCCTGAGTACCCTCTGCATTCTGGTCTCTCTCTGCTGGGCCAAACTGCACACCTTGCAGTTTCCTCCTCAGATGCCCTCAAAGCCTCTGTCCTGGCTTGCCCTGCCCGGCTGAGGGTGGGTACCCCTGCAGGCTCTGGAGTGAGAAAGAGAGGACTCACTCTTTCCTGCACAGACCAGACATGGAGAGTCAACGTCCACGTCCACAAAAGGGGACAACAGTGCAAGTGGCCGCTACAGGCTACTGACCGCTTGGTGCCACTGGAGTTTTCCAAGGAAACCTGAGGCAAGCACCTGTGTCTCAACCAAGAACCTGCTCTGGGATGTAAGAATTTAGGGGCAGAGAAGAACTGAACCACCAGTGAGAGTAGATGAGACGGGCACAAGATGACCGACTTTGTGTCATGCAATTTCACATCCTCACTCTCTCAGGAACACAGCCAAGGTCAGCCACAGGCAAGGTGGCTGACTCCAGAAGTTCCAGGCAACATGGCGCCTCGACGTCACATCTCCATTACACAATATGGCACCTTGGGCAGGGGTACATGAACACGGTTGAGGATCAATGCACTCTGGGAAAACAGCTCGATGTAAGCTCTCGCACAACACTGCACAGCTGCTATTTACTGAGTGCCTAACATGTGCCAGGCATTCCATTATAAGCTGTTCTATTTATTCCTCCCAAAGACCCTTGGGGGAGGTACCATTATCTCTATTTCTAAAACAGGAAACTGAGGTCCGGAGGTTATGTAATAACAACTTACCAAACGCATAAGGGACAGACCCAGGAATGGAATGAAAGCCTGACTCCAAAGACCTTAGTCTGGGGCATCTCCGTGGAATAGAAGCACTCCAGCTCTCCTCTTTGAAATGGAAGCCAGTGGTCACTCCTCATCATGACAAGTCCACACGCCCACATGCTCTGCCCTTGATGGCATATATTCTACATAGAATAGCATTTTGATTTACTTTCTTTTACTCTAAGGTTACTTCTATGATCTCTATGATCTCTTCCCCAATCCACAGGACAACAATCCAGGCCCACTGCCCCATTATTCAAAGACAATGGGAATGAGTAACCAACCTACTTTCTATTATACACTAGAAGCTTCCAGAAAGAGATACTAGGTGTCCACATCATACAGTCTCAAGCTCCCAGACTGCTGCCCAATTGCTCTTAAAGGAAGGTCAGATTTACATTTAAACACATCAGTGACCTGTCCACACAACACACATCAGTATTCCACATAGGCAGGAGACCTGGGTCCCAGAATGCCCCCGGCCTGCCGTGTCCCCTACTGTCAACCCTCCAAAGCAAGGCCTGGAGTGATTCAGGCCACAACACTGCACTCAATGGCTTGACGAATGCACAGGTGAGGTGTGGACTGGGCTGCGTAAAGAAGTCCAACCAAGGGCTGCCCAGGAGGGCTGTTCCAGTGAGCCCTGGGACAAACAGCCAGGCACCATCCTGGGGCTGGTCCCAACTCTGCCTCCAGCCCTCGGCTCCGACCCAGCACATTCCCAGTGCTCAATCCCTGCCCACTGAGCGAATGGGTAGACAAGACACAAGGGTGCTGAGGCTCCTCCGGAGCACGTGCACTGAAAATACACCTACATTTCAGATTTCATTTTTCCAATGAATAATGTGCTGAAAACCATTCCCTAGGGGGAAGAAAAACTCACAAAGATTTTCTAAACAGTGAAAGCTACATTTCTCTGCCTTTTCAGATTTTGTGGTAGACTGCAGAATAACAAAGTTTGTGAAAGCCCAGGAAATGGGCATCACTTCCAATTTTGCTTACTTTGATAGGACTCTGCAGTCGGAACCTGGAAATGCTGCAGGTTTGAAGACACAGAACTTGGTGGGTTCTCCTCTGTGTCTGTTCCATTCCCCACCCCCTGATATAATGCAATCGACTTCATGATGAGATGAAATGAGAAAAATGAAACGAAGCAGCAAATCCTTCAAGCACCACCTTCATGCTGTAACTGTAAATAGTCTGTTGAGTTCCAGCAGCCCCACTCGTTACACTAAGGCATCTATGCTGTACCCTCATTTCTCCTCTAGGCTTCTGGGCCTCTGGGGAGGAGCCAGGGGGTCATTAATAAAGGGGGAGTGAAGAGGTCCCAGTGAGGAAAACCTTGCCTCCCCCCATGACACACAGCAGACACCAGCAGGCCCTGTCTGTAGGCATGCCTTCTCATCTACTGGAAACATACCGTAAGACCGCGAGGACAAAGCCACTCCTGGGAAATGGAAGCCAGTGGTCACCCCGAATCATGACAAGCCCACATGCTGTCACATGGAACAGCCCGCCCCTCCCCCATCCACCGGAAGAGCAAAGTGCCGAGTACCCCAGAAGCAGAGCACCTGATAAGGCCTGCAGGCTGTGCCAGAGCTTGGGAAGCCACGCCCGCCCTCTGAGCTCCTCGCCTGCACGACTGTTCCATCTCCCAGGCAGGCAGCGGTTTCTGATTTGTCGTCTCTATTAAAGAACAGGCTTGCTTTCTCCTGTGAGCCCATGCAATGAGAAATAATACTTTTGGTACCAACAGGGCTAAGATGTACCTACCCCTAATTGACACAATTCATCTCCACACAGCTTACAGACTAACTCTGTCATCATGCAATTCAGAAAAAATTATTTTTTGTCTTAGCAAGAGAATATATCGTAATTTAAATTTAACAATCATAACTAAATGTTCTGAAGACAATACTTTTCTTTCCAAAAGGCATGGATTATATGAGGATTGACCTCCACGGGGCTCGGTCCCATTAACTTGTATACTTGGGCTCATTAATAAATAATTCTGTCACTAAATTACCTGTCTTGTAAATTGGTTTGTACAGTTCTAAATAAATAATAGATAGTTCCCTATTATGAAACACAGTGGAGTTTTTAAAAGAAAAGCACAGCTTATAGAATAGTACTGCAATTTTATCCGGGAACAACTTTCTCCAGCTCACTTCATAGAAAGCCCTTGTTTTTCCTGTTGATTGCTGCAGCTGGAACAAGTTAGCTGGTTAGCAGAGTTGAGAATACTGCATTTAATCTCAGACAAGTATCTTGACTATCCATCAGTGGCCAAAAAAATCCTCAGCAACTATTAAATGGACAGTTAATATAATTGTATTTTAAAACACTGAGGTCATATTTAATTTTGAATTGAAACTCTTAAAACACGCTTTCTGGCAAGGATATAGAGTAATAAAACAACGTTAACTACAGAAAAAAATCTGAAACTCACATTATTAAAATAAATCTTTTTTCCAGAGTACTAATATTTGCAAGAAGTAGATTACAAGAAGCAGAAAACATTTGTACTTTTTCAACAAGTGTCGTCGCTGGCACTGAAACTCAGGGTTTTCAGTTTAAAGGATGAAATCATGCTGGAGGCCAGAGTTCAGATGCTGTCCCCCTCCCTTTCTCCTTTGAGCTGGCTGGTCTCCCGGCATCTTCTGTCTTCCTTCCAGGGTGCTCAAACTTGGTTCAGCTACACCCTCAGGTCTTCCAAGCAAAACTCTACCCAGCGAAGAATCCAATTATGTTCCAAAGCAGGAAAGAAAAGTAACTGGGGCTTGGAAAAGTCTCACAAGAACAAACAGGGGGGCTGGAGAGTTCTGAGAAGGGAAGGGGGAGAAAACATTTTAGCTTCGAAGCTAGCCAATTAAGATTCCCTTTAGGAAGCACCAATTTCTACTCAAAGAAGGCTGGCAAGTCCAATTTTGTATGCCTTTTTCCTCCTCTTCAAAAATCAATACAGCCCTCTGGGAGGCTGTCATGCTGCAGGCAGGCAGGTCTGTGGACCGTAAGCTCCATGCCTAGGCCAGGTCTCAGCCCTCCCAGGGGAAGGCAGGAGGTGGTGTCAGGATTTTCCAGCAAAACAATGCAGCATTTATTTCCAGGTGTTCTCTGACAGCCAGGACAAGGAAGAAGCCCCGGCATGCAAACCCCGGAGCCAGGGGTAGTGTTGCCAGGAGCCCTATGCCTTGATTTCACCCCCCAAACCCTTCAACTGGTACCTCAGAAGAGCAGAGGTGAAAGACAGGGAGCCTCCCGCTGAGAAGAGCTTCTGGGAACTCAAAGGCGCCATTCAACTAAGGCAACCAGCTTTATTTCCGTGGCACTTGATGCCCTGGGCTTCTCCCACCCCATCTTGGCAGCCAGCACGTCCTCTCCCTGCTGCCTGGACGTGGGGGCCACCCAGTCCCCAAGGACAGACTGTGGGCCTCAGGCCACCTCATTCTGAGCCACCTGCCCATGGGAACTGTGGAAACTGTCATCACTTTCAAAGTCTCACTTTTTTTTTTTTTCTTTTTAGATGGAATCTCACTCTGTCGCCCACGCTGCAGTGCAGCGGCATGATGTCGGCTCACTGCAACCTCCACCTCTCGGGTTCAAGTGATTCTCCTGCCTCAGCCTCCTGAGTAGCTGGTATTATAGGCGTGCGCCACCACACCCTGCTAATTTTTGTATCTTTAGTAAAGATGGGGTTTCACCATGTTGGTCAGTCTGGTCTCGAACTCCCGACCTTGTGATCTACCTGCCCCATCCTCCCAAAGTGCTGGGATTATAGGCCTGAGCCACCGCACCGGTCTCTCCTTCTCTTTTAAGCTCTGGTCCCAAACTGCTACCCGCTTCCCCAGCCAGGCCTCCCCCTGAGCAGACACACTGACCAAGAGAAGCCTCCACCTACTGCCTGGACATGCAAACCCTGCCGCAGCCCAAGGCCTTGGAGAGCTAGAGTTATGCTTCCGGCCAACGCTGAACCCTTCTTAGCTTAGACCGGGGTAACTTGGGGATCTTTTGAAAGGAAAGGATTCTTAGATGCTCAAGAAAATTCCAGTTTGAGAAACTTGAAAAAGGGGACTTCTTAAAAGAAAATACCTTTCAATTGCAAATTAATATTACAGAAGTGGCATTGACCTTTATAATAGTGAGATATTCATCTTTAAAAATGTTAACTGCAATGAAAACACTTCTTGGAAAAGTCTCCCAGACCCCACTGACGCCTGGAAATCCTCCACCTGTTTGTATTCGCATCAGTTCTCCTTTCCTGTGGTCCCAGGTTTGTTAACATGGACTTACACGACCATCAGACAGGTACAGGTACAAGAATAATCCATCAGAGATTAAAATCCTCTAGGCAATTCCATTTTCTACCATGTGTTAATACTGCACTAAAAGTACATTGGTGGATTTTTCTGGATAAAGACTGAGTGACACTTATTCCTTGCCCTGCTGGGCTTTGCCAGCGAGTGGCGTCCACTCTACAGAACTTACCGTGGTGCTGCGTCACTGCCCACACTGGGAACGACGGATGAGAGCAACCGCGAGGTCTGGGGCTGCAGCTGAGGGTGGCAGCTCCCTCCAGGCAGGCTTGCATGGACACTGCTCCAAAGACAGCCTGTCTCCCTCCATGTACATGTGAAGTGACCTCAGTTTGTCACTTACAGGCCAGTTTGACCCTCAGAATGCACTCTGAGCTTCTTTCCCCTTCCTTCCACTGCAACCCTGCAGCTGAGGCCCCAGATGCCATGGCCACGCTGGGCCCACGCCACACCCGGACCCACAGGACCTCCTCGCTGCCCTTGCGTCCCCATCCCTCAACGATGGGGCATTCCACGTCACCACTTGGCTCATATCTGTTGCCACATGGGATTTTCAAGGTGTCCATAGTCAACATGCCTCCACATACCAAACTGGCCCACCATCTGTTTTTGTAAATAAAGTTTCATTGGAACACAGCCACGCCCATTTGTTTACTCAGAAAGCAACGGAGCTGAATAGCTATGACAGAGATCTTCTAGCCCACTAAGGCTGAGATAATTCTTTACCACCTGACCCTGCATAGAAGGCGCCTGATAGGCCCCTGGTCTGGACTCATACTGCCCCGAGCTTTTCTTCCCTGCCTGGAAGCCGCCGCTCAGGCTCCCCAGGTGTGTCCTGTCATTCCTGATTCCTGACCACTCTCTGCTGGTCCTCCCACCTGTAACGCTCCAGACCTAAGCCCTTCTTCAAACCCTAATTCAACTCTGAGTCTGTATCATCTCCTCTGCTAATTCTATTTACAACCACCTCAGACCATATATTTGGGTGGTATCAAAGCATTCAGTCCCAAAAATCATGGCAGCTGCCATCCCCTGAGCACCCACTGGGTGCTGGGCACTGTGCTCGGTGCCCCCACGTGCACCGCCCACGTCTAGTTCCCATAACAAGGTAGGAGGTGAGTATCTGGATTCCAGTTTGATTAACGAGAAAACCAAAGTGCAGAGGAGTGAATAACTCCCAAGGCCATGCAGCTAAGTGGCAGGCACCAAACTCTAGAGCTTTAACTTTAGCACCTGAGTGGTGGCCTCTCCAACGTGGCTTCTAACACTTTCAACCAGGAGAGGGCACGGACACCCCAAATCCTCAGATGAAGATGCCCCTGGAACAGAGAACTCAGGCCCTGCAGGATCCAGCCCAGGAAGCTGCGTTTGAATTCCTCACTGTGGGCTGCCTCAGGGTGCACCTTCGCTCCAGTGTCCATGTGGCAGGCACACTCCCGGGCCCCTCCTTCATGAAACCCCTGACACCTGTGCCACTGCCAGGCCTGGCTTCTTTGTGCTCCCCCCGGCCACCGCCGTTTATTTTCAAGCCTCTCTGCTCCCTCCTCCATGATGTTATTTGAAACCCACAGCCCCAAGGAACCTGTCCTCTTGAAGGCTGCTCAGGAGCCCCAGTTATCCGAGCTAACACCCTCTTCTTACTCGCGATGCCTGCACTGCCCAGGTGCACACGCTGCTTCAGGACACTGCCTGGGGCTGACGTCTGGGCCCAGCTGCCTGCTGTGCTCTCCGCCTCTCCCAAGTCCTGTTGCCAGCTCCTCTTCTTGCTTCCACTCACCTCACCCTGACTACTGGACAAGGCTCTGTGTGGACTGGGACAGTGTTAGGTGTCACTTTCTGAGGACCGGCAGGGGACAGACACAGCTGTGCCACACTGGGGCTCCTGCCCCATGCAGCTGCCTATCCAGATCAGCCACCTGGAACCTGGTCATCACCTCTAACTCCTTAGGCAACATCAACGTCAGCCTTCTCCCCACGCCGGGAACAGCTCCCAGTTCCCACTGCTGCCTTCAAGTTCTCCCGCACTCCATGTCAGTTGGTTTCTGCTTTGCAACATCTCTTATTTCCATTCCCTTTTGTTGCCACTTCTGAACAACCTCCAGAGCCTCTAAACTGGCCTCTTCACACTCCAGTCACATCCAGAGAACCTGCCAAAACCAGACAAACCTTCCTAAAATCCTGCCTGGTTGTCACCATCCTGCTCACAAGCCTCCCCGAGTCATCACCACATACTCAGAATCAGATCCAAACTCTGCATCCAGTGCTGGGCACAGCCCTGCAGTCTGGCCTGGGGCTCAGGCTCTGTCCTGGCTGAATCCCAAGCTCCAGCCGATCTGGCCAACTTGCCTCCCCCTGACCTTCTCCCCTTTTCCCCCAGGCCTTCCCACTCCTGGGACTTTCCTCCTCTTATCCCTGTACCTGGAATGTGGTCTCCCCATCCTGGCCTCAGACAAGTGCATGGCACCCACGGCTGGCACCTTTCCAGCTCTCCTGCGGCCAGAGGGTCACCTCAGGACCAGCATGCGTGCAGCCCAGCCTCCCCTCCATGTGCCACCCTTAAGCAGCATATGGCACCTCCAAATGCTCTGGGTATGGTCCTGTGGTTTCCACAGGTAAAGCCACACCTTTGGACATCTCTATATTACTCACAGCAATGGACGCCGCAGTGCCTTTTGTACATACTCATGCCACAAACAGCAAAGACTGATGAATTATTAATGAGTGAATAAGTGAAAACCTCAAAGGAAGGAAGGTGGGGGCAAACGGGTGTTACTGAATATACTTAAAATGATTCAGAATTTACTTTAAAATTGACAAAATATAACTACTTTGCTATATTCTCTTGCCTATTGTACTCCTAGACTTCTTCATCCATTCTCTAAAAGACATAATTCTACAACTTAACCACTTAAGACACATGGAAGTAAATATGTGATATAAACTACCGATGTTTTAGACTGGGCTTCTACTGCGTGTCTGTTTTGATCAAAACTTGAAATAGCTAGGAAATGACTGTCTGAATAAGATCCAAAGGACAGAGGGGGAATTTCATGTTTTTCAGCTTTCGGTTCCACCCAGAGCCTAGGATTCAACAACAAACATTCACAGACCTAGGGCCTATCTGAATGAGTTTACGACTTTGGCACACAAGGACTCAATTTTAATATCTTGCCATCTACATGGCCAACTCAGTTAATTCCAGTATTACGCAGTTTTAGTTTTATCACGGCCTATCATCTCTCTTTTCCCAGGCATTGTTTTGTTGGTCTAGCCCAGAAAGCACTGGGAAGCCAATGATTTGAAACCCCACACAGCAGCATGAGGCAATTCAGAGCAAACTTGTCAAGTCTAGTCTTGGCCAAGCTGATCAGAGTTGGATCAAGAGTTAAGCCAAGAATCTTCTCAACAATTCCAACAGAAATGGCCCTTTGCCTGGGAGCATAATATTTTTATAAGAGCTGGCACAATCGACCAAGAAAACAAGCTATAAGACTACAGAGAAAGGGTGTGTGCTTGTGGTAACCGAAGGACCTGCTCCATCACACCACTGTCTTCTTGACAAACATTTTTAAGAATTAAAGTCAGAATCAAAATAAATATTTGCAACTCTCAAGCTACTATCTCCAGCACTTTTTTGTCCCCATGTTCAAGACTGAATGCCTTCCTCCTAATTATGATGTACATGATTGAAAAAAGTCACTCCTATCTCTAAGAATCAAACCAGAAGCTGGAGCTCTGTTGGGTGTGGAGCTGAACTCCTCAGCTTAGAAACACTGCAAACTGCCATGGCTTGCAATTTTCAATGAAATATTTTTATGGGACAAAGTGAAAGCTAGAAGTGACTGACTGTTGAATATTGTAAGAAACAAAGGACAGGGTTGGGCTGGGCGCAGTGGCACACACCTGTAATCCCAGCACTTTGGAGGCTGGGGCAGGTGGACAACTTGAGTCCAGGAATTTGAGACAAACCTGGGCAAAGTGGCTAAACCCCATCTCTACAAAAAATACAAAAATTAGCTGGGCGTGGTGGTGCACACCTGTAGTCTCAGCTACCCAGGAGGCTGAGGTTGCAGTGAGCTGAGATCTTGCCACTGTACTCCATCCAGCCTGGGTGACACAGCGAGACCCTGTCTCAAAAACAAACAAAAGATAGAAAAGAACACATTTTCTAAAAAAAAAACAAACCCATAAACAGAAAACCCACTACATGACACTTAAGTGCATTCTGAGCTGCAAGGAAATGATGATGTCCCTCAGGTCTGATGCTTGCCGTGTCTCTTAAAAGGATAGAGGCGTGCTGGGTTCCCTCCTTGATGATACAGAATAAAAACGTTGTTCTTTAGTTTAATTAGATACCATTTGTCAATTTTGGCTTTTGTTGCCATTGCTTTTGGTGTTTTAGACATGAAGTCTTTAAACTAAAGAGCTTCTGCACATCAAAATAAACTACCATCAGAGGGAACAGGCGACCTACAGAATGGGAGAAAATTTTTGCAATCTACCCATCTGACAAAGGGCTAATATCCAGGATCTACAAAGAATTTAAACACATTTACAAGAAAAAAATCAAACAACACCATCAAAAAGTGGGTGAAGGATATGAACAGAGACTTCTCAAAAGAAGACATTTACGCAGCCAACAGACACATGAAAAAATGCTCACCATCACTGGCCATCAGAGAAATGCAAATCAAAACCACAATGAGATACCATCTCACACCAGTTAGAATGGCGATCATTAAAAAGCCAGGAAACAACAGGTGCTGGAGAGGATGTGGAGAAATAGGAACACTTTAATACTGTTGGTGGGACTGTAAACTAGTTCAACCATTGTGGAAGTCAGTGTGGCGATTCCTCAAGGATCTAGAACTAGAAATACCATTTGGCCCAGCCAACCCATTACTGGACATATACCCCAAGGATTATAAATCATGCTGCTATAAAGGCACATGCACACGTATGTTTACTGTGGCACTATTCACAATAGCAAAGACCAAGCCAAATGTCCATCCATGATAGACTGGATTAAGAAAATGTGGCACATATACACCATGGAATACTATGCAGCCATAAAAAATGATGAGTTCATGTCTTTTATAGGGACATGGATGAAGCTGGAAACCATCATTCTCAGCAAACTATTGCAAGGACAGAAAACCAAACACCATGTGTTCTCACTCATAGGTGGGAACTGAACAATGAGAACACTTGGACACAGGAAGGGGAACATCACACACCAGGGCCTGTTGTGGGGTGGGGGGCTGGGGGAGGGATAGCATTAGGAGATATACCTAATGTAAGTGATGAGTTAATGGGTGCAGCACACCAACATGGCACATGTATACATACGTAACAAACCTGCACGTTGTGCACATGTACCCTAGAACTTAAAGTATAAAAAAAAAAAAAAAGGGCTACACATGTGAGTTTCCCAGACATGCCCACAATGAAAAATTTTGTCCCCTGACACATGCACAGTAAGGGAAACAAAGCAATATGGAGTAACTCAAGCTAAGGGCCTACGTGTGCACTAGGAGGACGGGGTGGAGCTACCACAGATTTGCACCGTATGCAAATAAGATGCCCAGCTCTCATCAGTTTCCTATAAAAGCCTTTGCATTCAACTGTAAAAACAGCAACCCTCTTCTGGGTCCCCCCTGTGCACCAGAGAGCTTTCTTCTTTTGCTTATTAAATTTTCAGTCCAGTGATACCCTTGGCGTCGGCGCTCCTTAACTTTCTTGGTCGTGAGACAAAGAACTTTGGGTGATACGTCGGGCTATGAGAGACTGCTACGTTGTGGTGCATTGGTGAGACATAACAATTCAATATATGTACCTAAGGTAACTGTACACCTGTCTAGAAAAATGAAATAAAAGTTCATCCCTATTATATATATCTCAAAAAGAAAAATTCCAAATGGATTAAAAAATAAATGTAAAAACAAAAAATAAAAATAAATTAAATAAAAAAATAAAAACGTTGTTCTTACCCCTTGGTTCAGCACACTTGCTGAGAACCTACTATTTGTGACACAGGGTTGCAGCGACTAAGGAGATGGGAGGGTGAGTGCAACAGAGCCCTACCCCAAAGCAGCTCAGAACTTCCTCTCTCAGCTGTGCCCACCAAGGATGGAGGCTGCATCCTGAGGACAGGCTCGTGGTCAGTCATGTTTTTGTTCTTAGGAGGTAGGCCTGAGAAGAACCCCCACGCCCTGCCCAGATCAGCTGACAGAAGATGCTGGCAACAGCTGCAGGCCCAGGGCAAGCACGTTCTGTTCTCACTTCTCTCCCGGCCTTCCTCTATCACAGCCTTCAAACTCATGACTTCTGTATTCTGAACCATCACTTGTTCGCATGATGTCACCTATGCCAGGCATTTAGGAAATACCGTCCAGGACAGGTGACCTCCTTAAATGGAGAAATCCTCATTTAAAAACAGCCCTGGCAGGCCGGGCACGGTGGCACATGTCTATAATCCCAGCACTTTGGGAGGCCCAGGTGGGTGGATCACTTGAGGTCAGGAGTTTGAGAGCAGCAGAAAACCCCATTTCTACCAAAAATACAAAAATTAGTCGGATGTGGTGGTGGGCGCCTGTAATCCTAGCTACTTGGGAGGCTAAGGTAGGGGAATCCCTTGAACCCGGGAGGCAGAGGTTGCAGTGAGAGGAGATCACACCACTGTACTCCAGCCTGGGCAACAAAGCGAGACTCTGTCTCAAAAAAATAATAAAATAAATACATAAATAAAAACAGAGACAAGGCCTCTGGTCTTATTTATGTGGAATTATCTTACTTGCCCATCTTAATGGCAGCTTGGAAGCTGATTTAGGGATCTCTTTTTTTTTTCTTTCCCCTGACTCAATTTATTAGCAATAGCATAACATTTTTTTTTTAACTTTGTTTAAAAAAAGTGCTTCTGTTCACATATCCACCAGTCTGTGCCCTCCAGTTTCTGTTTCTGCTGCTCTGGACATTAACTCCGAAGAGCTGCCAATTTTCTCAGAAGAGATTTAAATAAACTTCTGAAGCCAAAGGAGTAATTTTCTTTATAATTGACATTAAAAAGTCACATGAACTAGATGAAGGATGGCGGTTAAGCACATCTGCCACTGGGCATTGTCTTAAACTTAAGAATAATCAATGGCAAAAGGGAAGAAAAGGTTTATTGGCCAATCCTCAAAACTAGGGAATAATTAAATACAGTTGCACATAAATAAGAATATAAATAGAAACGTTTCTTATTCAATTACTTAGAAACCCAGAGGAAGATGTGGGCATGCAGACTATTCATCAGCAACAGACTTCACTTTCTGTGAGGTGTACCTGCCCATCTCCAGAGATAATGAATGGTTTCTTCATTAGACTTCTTGCAATGATTAGGTCTTATTTACATGACTTTCTTTGAATGAGCTCAAAGCGGAGTCAGGAACCTGAAATTCACTGTTCTGAAAACACCTAGGATTAACTCATTCACTGCACAAGCTACTTAACGAGTTCCTGTTATGTATCATTTAGCTACAGAGAACACAAGTGGGTGAATAAGAGAAGTGGGGCTGAGCCGAAAGGGCCCCGGGGAGAGGAGCCCACAGAAGAAGGTCTAGGACTCACCTCCACGGCTCGGGGAGGTGGAGGGTCGAGGAGGCCAGGAGGTGGCAGGCTCAGCGGAGACGTTAAAGGCACTAGACAGGGAGGGGAAGACAGGACTAGCCCCTTCCAGATTCACACTGGCTGCCTGGCAGAGAACTGGCCAGAGGGAGCCAGGACAGCTGCCCAGGCCAGGCAGGAAGTTTTGGAGACACCAGCAAGATTCTGTACTTGATCATCAGTAACCAAAACTAAGCAGTCTTGTTCAAGTCATTACATGCTCCCATTAAAGCTGCGAAAGTGTTCTTGTCCATCATCACAATTCATACATTTGACACATATGGCATATTTAAAAATCAGCAAATCTTGCATGTTTATCTGACTTTCAATCACCTGCTTCCAATTAAGCTGACCAACGACATTGGCTCAATCTCCTCACAGAACATTCTGGAAACCTTTATGTGATGCCACTGTCACAGGTTTACCAGGACAGGCACTCAAAAGCTTTTCCCACGTAGAATTTCATCAGCTACTCGGGCCTGTCATAGAACTGTAGCATCACATCAAGATGCAAATCGCTTAGAAAGAATCTGGTTCCTCCAGCAAGTTCTAGGAGGATGGCATTTGGATCTCCCGGATGTCTCTCGCCATGAACTGCAATTTTTACAAATCCAGGTGAGAAATCTAAGAATTCCTAACATTTATACAGAATTCTGCATTTCCTCCTGGCTGGTGATGTTGAACCATGAGAAAGGTGTCCTTGTGACATGGATCTGTCTCAGGGCTTTGGAGCATAACAAAAGTCTTGGGGAACCTCCTTTCCTGTGGATGTCTCTAAATGAGCTAGGTGGTGCTCATCTCAACTTCAAGGCTCCATTCTGATTTTTGTGTTTTCTTCCTTTTTCCTTTCAATGCTGTTGGCTGGTGTAGTTACCACATACACAATCACTTACGTGTATTCACAGACTTTATTAGATGTTTAAGAAATTATGAGATTTGAAAACACACAGAAAAGATATCTTTTGAGAAGTGTCCAATTTGGAGAGGATTTGTATTTGTGGAAAAAGAAAGTTGGTCTCACGCACATACAAGGCTGACAAATTTTCCCATAGCCAGAGACCCTCCCTGACTACCACGTGCTGGGATGGCCCCCCTGCATCTCCCTCTATCCCCAATTAATGTGGAACTAATTCGTATTTCAAACTTCCCATCAGCCAGTCTGAACCCAGAGTCTTCGGCAGTTATATTTCTTCACAATGCTTGATTTATGCACCCAAACTCTCCAACCCACAAATACAACACTAAAAAATGCAGACCAGGGATGGAAATTTGCAAGTACACTTGCTCATTCCACACTAGGTGAAGTGGTTTAGATAGCTGTCGCTAACACCAAGGGGTTTATTAATAGGCAAAAATTAATTGTATGTAGACTGAATTAATGAGATGGAAAAACATGCATATTTCAGCAAATACAGAGGGGACCAGCCTCTGCCGAGGCATCTGTAATGAAGTGTCTGGGCTGTGGGATGAGTGGGGAGCAGCTACCAGCAAGCCAGGGTCCTTTTGTGATGATGGGGGCTGGAGGTACTGTTAAAAAAATACACTGTGAAATGTAAACATCAGGCAACTGTTTTGAGCACAAAGTTGACCCCTGACACATCTTCTGCAGACTGCCATCTACAGATTTATAAATAAATGATTAGATGTAAAATCTCCAGAGGGCTTTCCTTTTCCACAGCAATTATAGGAGCAGATTATTACCATTCAAGTGGGGTTCCAGGGAAAGTTCCTTGACTGGCAGGAATCACTCACTGCTGTCCTCCTGTCTTAAGTCATCATGACAGGAAACCCAGTGTTCACATGTACTGTGAACATTTCAACAAGCCAAGTCAATATACACTGAATGAACACATTCTTGAGTTAAAATATATTACTGTCAATAAGAGGCTGAATTAAGAAAGTATGAAGTTTCAACTGTGATCAACGTCAGGAAGTTTTCCATATTTCATGGCTGCACGTTGTTAAAAGCTGCCATGTGTATGGACGCCTAGCACTCACCCGGGCATTTTCTCTTTGGCTATTCTTAACCAATTTTTTATGTTGTTCAAATACTAGGTAATGAGGCTAATCAAAGAACCATCAAATGAACAGTATCAAGTTCAGCCACATTTTTCCAGCCTAAGAGTTTCCTTTCTTTCCTAAATTTCAGGGGGAATATCACCTTTTGGCTTTAGGGCTCACTTTCATTACAAGAATGCTGCCCCCGTACTCCTACGCAGGCACTTGCACTGGAAATGGGTTTTCCAAGACTCACAGCAGCAAAGCCAACGCCATTCCCTGCTCTCTTGTCCATTTTCTCTTTTTAAAAATGGGTATGGGCTGGGCGTGGTGGCTCACGCCTGTAATCCCGGCACTTAGGGAGGCCGAGGCTGGTGGATCACTTGAGGTCAGGAGTTTGAGGCCAGCCTGGCCAACATGGTGAAACCCCATCTGTACCAAAAATATGAAAATTAGCCGGACATGGTGGCGTGCGCCTATAATCCCAGCTACTTGGGAGGCTGAGGCAGGAGAATCGCTTGAACCCGGGAGATGAAGTTTGCAATGAGCCAAGACTGCGCCACTGCACTCCAGCCTGAGTGACAGAGTGAAACTCCGTCTCAAAAACAACAAAAAACTGGTATGTAAAAGGCACAAATTTTTTTAAACTTTATAGTTTGAAATTGAAGATTCACAAGAAAAATATTAGTGACAGTTCCCAGGCACCTTCATTCAGCTTAACTTTCTACATAATCATGCGTTACCAAAACCAGGAAGCTGGCATTGATACAATACATCTAACTAAACTACCTATCTTATTTGATGTCACCAGTTTTTACAAACATTTTAAATTCTTATGTATTTTTATTTTTAATGGACTTTTAAAAATTATGTTTTAAAATGAAATTTTATAATGTGTTTAGATTTACATGCACAAAACCCCAGACAGGATACTGAACTGTCTCATCACAAAGACACCTGTCAGGCTACACCTACGAAGTCATCTGTCCCCAGTCTCTGTTAACCCTTATCTCTTCCCCATCACTGCTTGTCATTTCAAGAGTGTTACATACAAAAAAAATCCTATCTTTTAGGATTAGCTTCCTTTACTCCACCTAATGCCCTTTAGATCCATCCAAATTGTACCGTGTATCAATAGTTGGCTGCTTTTTATTCTGTTTTCATAAGTATTCCATTGTATGGATAGACCACAGTTTGCTTTTTCTTTCATCTTTGGAAGGACATCTGAATTGCTTCCAATTTGGGGGTCACTACAAATAAAGTTGACATGGACACTTGTGTACAGTTTTTGTGTGGACATAAGTTTTCCTTTCTTTAGGATACAAGAGCAGAAGTACAACTTCCGGTTCCTGTGGAAACAGATGCTTAACTTTCTGGGAAGTGGCCACGTGGTCTCCGAGTGGCTGTAGGAGTGTGTGGTCTCTGCGTGGAACCTCACTGAGGCTCTGATTTGCATTTCTCTGTTGGCTAACAATAAACATTGTTTCCTGTGCTTATGGTCCTACGTATCTCCTCTTGGATGAAGTCTCTGTTCAGATTGTTTGTCCAATTTCTAGCTGGAATGTTTATTTTCTTATTTTTGAGTTTAGAGAGTTGGTTTCATGTTCTGAATACAACTCCTCTGTCAGATATGGGATTTGCAAATACAGTTGTTCCTCGGTATATGCTGGTGAGTGCCTCCAGGATTTCATGGATACAAAAATCTGCACCTACACAAGTCCTACAATCAGCCCTGTAGATTCTGTGTATATGAAAAGCTGGCCCTCCATATACACGGTTTTCATATCCTGTGAACACTATATTTCCATCCACATTTGGTTGAAAAAAATCCACATGTAAGTGGACCCACAGAGTTCAAGTCTGTGTTGTTCAAAGGTCAATGGTATTTTCTCCTGGGCTGACTTGTCTCTGTTCTCTTTTTACAAGACCTTTTGCAGAGCAAAAGTTTAGGAACAGAATTTTTTAAAAATATTGATCCTTCTGGAATTCTCCTGCTCTGACAAGTTTCCAGGATGAGTGATCTCTCTTATAGCTGAAGAGTCACCTTGGCCGTCTTTCAGCAGAGGTAGCCAGGACCATGGGCGTCCCCACAGGAAGCATGGTCTCTATGGGACGGAAACATGGCGTGCTGCTGAGCCATACTAAGGAAAACGTGATTCACATGAGAAATACACTATATATCATCATGGCATTTAAAATGTCATTTTCCTTACCAGCTCAAATGAATATTTACAGTGCCACAGCGGGGCACACGTGTGGAGTGACATGGAAGTGTCCCAGTCCACAGCGCACCCGGTGCTACGGCCACAGGTGGAGACCATCGGACGACAACGCCGCCTGCATGGTGCTTCCTGTCCAGCACAGGAGACAGACAGGTAGCAGCCGGCGCTCCAGTGTTAGGCCACAGGACACAAAGCAGGGCCACAGCACAGGCAGCACTGGTGGTGGGAGCAGTTTCAGAGGGAAATTCAGGATGGCAGCTACCACATTGTCTCAGTACAAGGACTGCCAGCAGCATTGCATGGTGGCGACGCTTTACTGATGGGGTCGCTCAGGAAGCACGCACAGGCAGCGTCCACACAGCGTGCCCAAGGCCCCTGTGGGGAGGCATCAGACACGGCCGGCACCCACATCTACCCTCACGGAGTGGCGATGGCGCTGGGCACAAGGGGCCACAGGCACACGGGGGAAGCAGCAGCCACGTCCCCACGGGGGCAAAGGAGGGTCAGGGAAGGCTTCCCAGAGCGGGTACCTGAGGAAATACCTGACGACTGGTTAAAGGAGCGGGAGGCGGAGAAGGCGGGGGCCAGTGTTTCAGATCCAGGGGAGAGCATGCTCCAAAGTCGGTAGAATTCCTGAACCTTCCTGAATCTTCCCTTCCACGCCTGGATGTCTTAAGGAGTGGTGGGTGGATAAGACGGGGGCCAGTGTTTCAGATCCGGGGGAGAGCATGCTCCAAAGTCGGTAGAATTCCTGAACCTTCCTGAGTCTGCCTTTCCATGCCTGCATGTCTCAGTGCTGGCGGGTAACCAAATACAGATGCCTAGGAGAAGGTGGTTTCTCCTCTCAACAATTTCCACAACCCACTGCAGCGCTGGAAAGGGGGCTTTATTACAACACAACTACAATCTAGCACGGGATCCCCAAAATCATGCCCGCGAAATAAAATCTGAACTCAGGCTGACCTGTGTGCCAGGAGATTTTAACTAGCTTGTCTTGGCTTTCCTCAGCTTGTACAATTCACCAACCTTAATGAAAATTCACAGAAAAGTCTACAAGTCATACAGTCGGTTAAAAAAACCTCTTCCTTGTACTACAATAGCATGTGATCGCTGTCACAAATCGATAGGATATGAACGAGAGGAATGTATGGGGTCTGCGACTGCTGGGCTCGTTGGCCACTGAATTGCACCATTGTACAGCACTCGCCTGTCTTTCCTTTCTAAATCGAAGACATTTTCCAGCCTCTACACTTAAACTATGGGATTAGGATCAGAATGGTATAACGGAGCGTGGAATGATCTGTTCAGTCACAGTAATTTTGGAAAAATTCCTTTTAATTTTGTGACATTTTTGTATTCCCATGAAGTACATAGGAGTTCTCTCTATAACTATAAAAATGATGTGTTGTCTGGTATATGCGACACTTCTGACTGGAACTTGCAAAGGAAGGCATTAGGTTTGTTTTCTATGACTAATTTTTTTGTTTCAATGGCATCGAGGTAAGATAAGATGGCTGTAAGTCCTCAATGCACCAATGCTGAATAAAAAATAAAATCTTTCATTAAAGGATAAAAGTAGAGCCTGGATTTGTTTGCTGAATGTTAACACCTAACATAAAAATACCCCACAGCACGTCCCGACATCAGGCTTCCTAAAGGATATCCTATTACTTCATTCAAGACAGAAACTTTTAATAAATATTGTACTAATATTCTTAATTACATACATTTCCATTGAAACATACCAACATTTCTCAAGCTGTGCTTTGCGGGTCCCTGGAGTCACATGGGCTGCCTCATGTGTTTGTGAAAAAAACGCTCTTTGGTCAAGTAATATTGTGAAACACCGGGACTCAGACCTCATGCCAGTTGTGGAAGCCCGCAGGGTCCCACAGCGACTCGGACCTCACGCCAGTTCTGGAAGCCCGCAGGGTCCCACAGCAGAGGGGACCGGTGTTTCCCCAATCACTTTGTTCCTAGAACCCTCAAGCACACAAGGACCGCATAAATTTTGGGGAATAGATAAAAAGTATGAAATTTAATCAAATCAAGTTTTCTAAGAAAACACATTAATCTGAACTGCTTGCTTGTAAGAGCTTAGAATAAAATCTTGTAATCCTATGACTAACATTTACTTCCTATCAAGAATATCACGATTCTTTTTTTTTTTTTTGAGATGGAGTCTCAGTCTGTCATCCAGGCTGGAGAGCAATGGCATGATCTTGGCTCACTGCAACCTCTGCCTCCTGGGTTCAAGCGATCCTCCCACCTCAGCCTCCCGAGTAGCTGGGATTACAGGTGTGCACCACCACGCTCGGCGAGTTTTTGTATTTTTAGTAGAGACAGGGTTTTGCCATGTTGGCCGGGACTGGTCTCGAACTCCCGACTTCAAGTGATCTACCCACCTCGGCCTCCCAAAGTGCTGGGACCACAGGCATGAGCCACCATGCCCGGCTCTTCCTAACAGTCCCTTATGGCTTAGCACCACATGCACTGGACCAAGTCTACACCCGGTGCACACGTAGCATAGTGGATCCTGTGTCATTAAAACATTAGGGAGTGGATTTCGCCCCAGGCACTGAGGGTTTGGTTACATTTTTTACATGCAGTTTAGGGTTCAAGATAAATAACTTACAGTGTGTCTCCTACAGTCTCAACCAAAGGATGTATTTTCCCAGGGAAGACGCTTGTTTAGTAGGTTAAAAGTCTTTCCTGCTGCCTGAGGTAACTGGAGGTGATGCATGCTTTCTAACACAGCCCCTCCAAGAGGCAGAAGCAGCTACACAAGCTTGGCAAAATGCGGCAGGGAGTCACCCAGCCCTGGCAGCCCTCCAATCTGCACCAGCAACAGCATCGGGCACTTGTTCCTGCTCAGAGAAGGAAACCCAGCCAGGGCAGCGGGGCCTGGAAAAGTGTCCCTGACAGCAGCCCTGGCAAGCTCCTGCACCTGCAGGAACTGAAAGTGCAGAAACAAAGGCAGCCACCACTGGTGGCTTCATTCTGAGCTTGGAGACACAGTACTCATCACTCCAGGCCTCCAAAACAGGGGCCCCAAAGTCCTTTCTCTCTCCAGCTTGAAATCAGAAATAATGTTTCCTGCATGGAGCCACCGAGGCGTTCTTTCCTTGAGCCTCCTCTTTTCAGTTTTACGCCCAGCCTTCCCGAGAGGAGCGTTTCTGGACAATGATGAAGGACGATGCCAGGCAGCCCTCCAGAGTTACTGTGGACTCGGCATTCACAATCTGTCAAGGTAACTTTATGACCTCATGGCTGGCTGGTGTAATTCCAGTAATGACCTACAGACACCAAAACAATCTAAACTTATCACCGCTCCTCTTATGGCCAACAACCGGCCTCATCAAAAAGCTGAAGGGCAGTGCTGCTGGTGGGGACAGAGATGCCCCCGGAACCTGGCCTGATTCTTGGTGGTGCTGGCAGTGGCCTCGGTGACCTGTTCCTTCGCCCCCGGCTGGCCCACACCCTTCACCTGCTCAGGGCTTTGTGGGGGGCAGTCCGATCACAGCCAGTACCTCCTCCCAGCAGACAGAGCACTTCGCTGGGCTGTGCGCCCTGACTAGTGTTAGAGCAGGGACGAGGAGGCAGGCAGGTGTTGAGCTGGCCTGTCAGGTGGGGACATGGTGGGGGCAGAGGCACTGCTTACAAACAGACTGGGTGAAAGACAGGCCCTCAACTCCAGGTTACATGGGATTTTTCAGATCTGGACATTACCCAGGCACCTGCTATGGCTTCCCTTTAGAGAAACAGAGAGATGAGGCATGGCTGCGAAAACCTGAGGTTGGCTATTCTCTACAGGGCAGAGATGAATACAGAAGTTAGGGACCTGCTGATTTATGGTAACCTTGGGAATTAGGAAAGCTTAAATGTGTTAGCATAGGCCAACTCAGGTCAAGCTAGAAATAAAATGGTATTACATAAAATCATTAAAAATAATTATAAATAATAGAAAATGCTTATAAATAATATAAGACAATTTAAATCACAAAGGCAAAAGACATAAAACACTATAAAGCTGAAAATGAAAATATGTGCATTAAAATTGTCTTTAAAAAAAAAACACATGTGTTTCATGTAAATCAACTCCTATCAGTCTTCAGCACAAGGGCCTGTCATTTCCCTTGGCCCATCAGAGACACCCACATACCACATGCCCAGGCTGCAGAATCAGCCGCTTTGCCCCTGGATGGTTACTACTAGCACGCTGATGGTGGAAATGGCTTTGGCATCCCAACTTAGCTATGGGTAAGATGGTCACCATTTCAGATTTACTGAAATAAGGACCTTGAGGACTCCAATTAATAACTCTGCTTTTTCAATGTTTTTTTTTCCAAAAGAAAAATACACTCATAATGCCCAGTATCTGTGATTTACTGCTTTATGCTATACAGAATTCTCTGTGCTAAAAAAGTAAAGTATATGAGGTCATTTTACTTCTAAAATCTAAATGTAATGTATGTATCTGCTTGCATATTTACCAAGAAATTCCCAATGAGATAGAAAATTTCATTTCCTCATGTGCTTTTTCTGCAGAACAATCATTCTTAATGGTTTCTTTTATTTAAAAGAATCCATTTATCAATTTAAAAGTGATTATAATTATCAAATGGTTATTTTTTATTAAACAGACTGTTCTTCCAGCTGCAGGCTCCATGTCACGTGCAGAGCCTGGTGTGGCCCAACCCCTGCAAACACGTCGTCTTGCTGATCTCAGCCACTTCCACAGGGACCCTCGCAGAGTACGCCGCAG
Organism: Homo sapiens; assembly: GCF_000001405.40. NCBI lineage: Eukaryota > Metazoa > Chordata > Mammalia > Primates > Hominidae > Homo > Homo sapiens. Next base: position 129,676,480 of record NC_000010.11, on the reverse strand, counting down.
AGACGCAGAGATGCACCTCTTCACAGAAGAACACTGGCCAGAGGGAGAGGGTCCACTGCGCTTGCTCTGCCATGAGCCCTTCTCCCCGCAGTCATCCCCATGGCCCCAGCGCTGTTGCCATCAACCTGTATGTTCACAGAAGGAACTGGTGGGTGCCGCCCACACCGAGCCTGGCCAACCATGACAGCGGCCAAAGTGTCCCATTACCAAGGAAATGAAGGTCGGGGGGCGGCCACAGGGAAGAGGAAGTGAAGGAGGCTCAGTAACATCCGGCCCAATGCCCTGGGGAAAGGCGGGGGTGAGTCCAGCCTTGCCTTCCATTGATTCACGCACAGGATGGTGGCTTCACCCCGACTCCCCATCTGGGTGTGGGACGGCCACTCCTGGGAGTTACAGGAGAGGTAGGGTGCACCCTGCTCAGCCAATGGAGCCCCTTCCCTCCCTCACTCACATGTGCTCATGAGAGCCCGGCGCAGTGCCAGGTAGCAGCTACTCAATGGTGACACATGGCCGGGACCTTGCAGAGGCCACAACTGAGCAGCGCCTGCCCCTGAAATCCACCAGGTTTTGATTTAAGGAAAAGGGACCTGGTGGGTGTTGTGAGGAGGGGGTGGTGGCTGCCACAGGGAAATGGGCTCTGGCACCCTTTTTCCCGATGGTTCCACCAGCCTCTGTCACCACGGCCTGCTCCCTTGGCGACACCACCTACTGGGTCTTTCTCTCTTCTCCCTGATGCTCTCACCCAAGGAGATCACAGCAGCAGCAGTGGGTGTGTGGCTCTCAGGCCATATCTCTGACACATGCTGCTTCTCTGAGCTCCATGCCTGCATGCTCACGGATCCGACCCACTGGTTCCCTGGACCTCAACAAGAGCAGGCCCAAGGTTGAAGCGTTGTTCCCGCCACTCCTGGCTTCCTGCTCTGTTTCCCCTTCTGATGGGGACTCCCCTCCTGCTAGTCACACATGCCAGCAACACGGGCCCACGCCTGCCTTATCCTCCTCTTTGGCCCTATTTAATCACAAAGTCCTCGTTTTCACTCCTAACTCTTCCGGCAATCTGTCCACTTACAGACGTCACTGCTGTCATCCTTCTACTAGTCTAAACCCAGTCATTCCCTGCCTAGACCACCATGATGGTCCAGTAACTGGCCTGCCTGCATCTGCCTAACCTCTCCAAATCCAATGTGCTCACCACACTACAGCCAGGGTGAGGACTCGAGACGAAACTCCTCTGGTTGCCCGTGGCTTCTCCATCCAAATGGCCTCCTGACACCCTCTCAAACCTCCCAGTGTGCTGGGCCCTTGCTCCCGCCTGGCCCTCAGCTGGGTCCTCTGTCCTGCTGCTTTGCACGGCAAGCACACAGGTCCTCCTCGGGTCCCCCAAGTGCAAGGTGGGGTCCTTCTTCACAGGCACTCGTGAGCTCTTACTTGTTCCACGTGGTTCAGATCTCATTTAAAAGCTACCTCTCAAAGAAGCCTCCTCTGACTCTGATAAATGCTCCCACGATGCCTCATACTTCTCCTGGGCAGTGCCTCTCTCAGCTACGACTGAGCCACGCTTTGTTCATTAGTTGTTGAAAGTCACCCTCCTCCCCTGCACTGTGGACTCCAGGCGGTCAGGGAGGCCACATCTTCATCTCTCACTGCTGTGTTCCTAGCACGGACCCCAACAGGTACTGATGCTGGAAAGATATGGCCCACAGAGGGCTATGGACCAAGAACATGCAGGATAGAGCCCAGGGGAGGCGAAAGCTGGGGGCATCCCAGCTACTCCACCTCCCCCAGGCTGCTGTCACCAGAGGACAAAGCCACCAAGGTTTTCCCATGCTTCCTAGAAATGTGTCTTTTATTTTTCCTTTGGAAACTCTTTTCACCTTCCAGGACTGCACTTGGTTTTGGTATCTGGGTTACCAAAGAGAAACACATTTGCATTTCCATCAAGGCCCTGCTCTCAAAGATAAGCAAGGGGGTCCATGTGGCCATTAAGAGGTCAGGAAGGAGCAAGAGTCCACTCAAACCACAGCTGTCCCTAGAGCCACTTCAGGGGCAGGGGCAGGAGTGCAAAGCCAGATCCCTGAAGCAGATAGCCGATTCGTGACTGGCTTCCAGTTCCCACCGCTAACGTGTGTGGCACTGAAACATCACATCCAAACAATGCAGCTTCCAAACTACCGTCAGTGAGGAGTTTATACTATTTTTTTTTTTTACAACTGGCTTGCAAAATCAGTGAAAATTTACTAATTTTAAGGAATTGGTAACCTCAGAATTAGAATAAAAAAGCATTTGAGTGGTTTCTAATTGTATGACTTTGGTCCCCAAAGCAATATGCATTAACATCTTATGATGACATGAAAGAATTCTGGCATTTAGTTTAATAAAAAGAGACAGTGGCAACAACTTCCTGTAGAATCAAAGAGAGCTAAATCAGAGGAATGAGGGTGCTGCCTTCCTACAACAGCCAAGACAATTGCTATATGTAAGAGGTCTCAGGAATTAAAATTCAGTTACTTGTTCAAACCCAGACAGAAGCAACCACACTGCTGCTTCAAATCAATACTTTAAAATATTAGTAAAAGGACTGGGTTTGGCAGAAAGGTAGGAAAGAAAGGTAGAAAGGCAGACTTTTTTCGCACGAGCATCAACTGAGATATTAACAAAAGTCATATTTAGTAAGCATATTTAAACTCACATTAAATACCACATAAAACATAGTTTCATATGATCCAAAAAATACATACATCCCATTAAATTTTTAATTCCCACTAATTTGAAATTACGAGGTGGCAATTTCTTCAACTAATAGATCCAGACCAGGAGAACTTGCAACCCCTGAATGGGCATCAAGCCGATGTGGACAGAACCAGAGGGCTGGTCCTTGGCCAGTGCTCACCTCCCCCAGCCTCCAGCAGAAGACCAAGGCATGGGGTGGTGCATCAGGCAGAACTGGAGCTCAGCTTCATTTGCCAGCTGGGCTCGACCGCAAGGTGGCAGGCACTGCGAGGAAGACACCTTAACCAAGACACAGAGACTAAAATAAAGTTTGGGGTGGGAGGGTGTGTTTGCACATACAAAATTTTGCTTGTTGCAGAGAAATGCTGCATGTCTCAGAAAGGAAGATGGGGAGGTGGGCAGGGCTGACAGAAAAGTGGATTTGTTGTTAGTGTTGCTTATAACATGATTTTTTTTTTTAAATTGGGATGTGGGATTTGAACTCAGCTTTATGAAAGGAGTGGGTCATATTCTAAGAGCAGACAGCGACAATTTTGGGCCAGCGTACAGGAGGAAACAGCAGCACAGGAGCTGCCCCTACCCTGGGATGAAGCACCATTCCTGCGAGGTGACTGCCCTGGGGCAACAGACAGTGTCTTGCAGGGTCCTTTGAGCACCCTCAACTTGGGGGAAGAATCTGAATGGCCACCTTGTAGGAGTAAAAGTGAGCTGTCACTAGAGCAAACCTCAAAAGAGCCACAGCCCTGCTCTGATCGTATTAATCCCTAGGGTTAGAATGAGCTGATCCCACACTGCCGGTGCCCCAAGCACTGCTAGAGGAAGAAAACATCCTCCCGGGCAATACGTCATTTCTACACACTGTTTCTCCAATGTACTAATATGGCACAAAATAAAAAACAACTAGACCCATGAGGAGATAAGACAATATGAACAAAAATGGCAGAAATAAAGACAAAAAATAGATCACAGGGATTCCAGGTGTTGGAATGTAAAATAACTATGCTTTACTACCTTCAAGCAGGAAAAAAGCTAAGATCTCAAATTCAGGAAAGAATCACCAACTATTTAAAAAAATGAAAATACTAGAATTGAGAAATCATTGAAATAATGTATTCTATGAATGGGTTTAAAACCAAATTAGGCACAGTAGCAAAGAAAACTAATGAACTGTTAGAGCGATCAGAAGAAATCAACACAATGGACCCCACGGATATAAAATAATGGGAAATAACGGAGAACAAGAGATTTAGAAGATACAGGGAAGTGTACCGATGCGTAAATGGGTTCAAAGAAGGAAATTCAAGGGAATGGAGCAAAAATAACCTCTGAAGAAGTAAGAGATGAGAACATTCTGAAACTGTTGAAAGACATTGAGCTATAGATTCAGGAATCCCTGTGATCTCAAAGCAAGATAAATAAAAGGTGTCCACACCTAGTCAGATCTCAATTTAGAGAAAAGACATTACTTGAAAGAAGAGCTGACTTCTCAAGAAGAATGATGGAAGCCTGAAGAAAAAGTCACAGTATCTCTGGATTCTGAATAAAATAACTGGAAACCTAGACCCCTATAACAAATGATATAAAAATACAGATACAATTAAGACATTTTCTAAAAAAGAAACTGAAACCAGAACTTGCCAGCAATTCCCTGTGAAATGAAATAAAGGCAATGGTGTACTGATAAATGTTTAGCTGGCATTCCAAAACAAGTATTCATGTAGATGTGCATTTCTTAAAGAATAAACTCTACTGATATAAAGGATGTGAAGTATACAATTTACAAATAATTCAATACACAATACTCTTTGTTGTAAATTCTGTATAGCCAGCTGATTCTTATAGCATGACTTTGTTGATATTTGCCAAACTCATGTCCATAGCCAATCTGAGGTTGCAACTGGTGAACACACAGTTCTACATGAATGCTGCAAAGTGACGAGACAGAGGTGATGAAGATGTTATGTCAGAACTTCACGTGTTCGGCAATGACGTGAGCGATTTCTTTGTTGAATGAGATGATACTTTTAACCACTGGAAGAGGGGCTAAATTTCTGGAGCTATTCAAAATGTAACAGTTACACACAAGACATCTGAAAATGAATGCACCTTACTAACATCTTCTCCATCACATTTTGAAATCTAGATTTTGGTTGGCAAACATTTTCTCAAAGGGCCAGATAGTAAATATATTGTGTTTTGTGGGCCGGAAGTCTCAGTTGCTCCCACTTGACTGCTACTGAGCTATGAAAGCAGCCACAGACAAGACATAAACAAATGAGTGTGGCTGTGTTGACAAATACTTATTTACCAAAAAAAAAAAGATGTCCAGCCCCAGCCCCAGGCCATAGTTTACCAACCTCTGGTCTAGATAATCAAATAAACTTCTAATTAGTAGCATTTGCTAATTTCTGCTGTGTAAATATTCCTACCAGGACTGACTTCAAGCTACCAAGGTGACAGCACTAAATGTGGAGTATCACAGCATCATAAAAATGGCCTCCAAGGTATGGATAACAGCACAATTAGTACAATAATTGGAAGGAATCAGTTTTGAATGTGTGTTCTCTTTCCAAACATAATGTATTTAACTGTAAATTTATGTAATTCGATTTTTACTAATGGGTGTGTTTGACAGCCAGCTCATAAAATTCTCGTAAATTAAAGAACTGGCTCTCGGAGCTGGCTGGCTTCAGCTTGCTGCTGCTGAAAAGGTATTCTTCAGGCAGAAGGAGGATTATCACATAAAGAAGGCTACAGACACAGAAAGGATGAAAAGAATAAAAATGGTAAATCTACGTGTAGCTCAAATGACTGACAGCATTAAACAATATTTTAAAGTCAAGTAAATTGAGATAATTTTCACATACAGAAAAATTAAATCTTTTCATACATACAGTTCAATGAGTACTGACATGTACAGTCATACAGGCACCACAGCAACTAAGTTACGAATTCCTGAGAGAGCTTTGATAGTTTGTGTCTTTCAATGATTCTGTCCATTTTGTCTGTTGTCACATTTACTGGCATAACTGTTTATAATATGTCCTTCATAATCTTTTAATGTCTGTAGGATCTGTACTTATTTCCTCTTACCACATCAATTTGGGTAATTTGTAATCTCTTTCTCAGTTTGAGTTTTATCATTTTTATTGATGTCTTCAAAACTGAAATAAGCTATTGGTTTCTTTGATTTTCTCAAAAATTTTTTTTATTTCCATTACATTAATTTATGCTTTTCATTATTGCCTTTCTTCTACTAGGTCTATGTTTCAATTTTCTCTTCTTTGTGGTTTCTTATTTTGAAAGCTAGATTAACAGCTGGCAAACTATGGCCATGGCAAGAATATTTTCAAAGAAAAAATTTTTAAATCCAAAGAAAAGATTTTCAGAAAAATGAGAAAGTACTACTTCGGTACAACCTGAAGTGGAATCTGCTAAGATGTGTTATAAGTGGTGGTTGTGAAATTGTGTGAAGCAAAAAAGGATTAGTTGGCTAAACTGAAAAACTTATGAAAATGTTAAGGCCTATGGTTACTATATTACCTACTAGCAGGTACTCTGCATAAAATATGTGAATCTGAATCTATTGCACATTATTTAAAGAGTGTAATCAATGGTGTACTTCATTGATGCTCACGGACCTAATGACAATCATTTCTATGAAATTTAGTCAGAAACTGAAGCTGGATATCCTGACATACTGTATCACAAAGCACTTCAATGACTTAGCAGAGGTAGTAACGTTTTACTGCAATTTTTATGGTTCAGGTTTGATATTAAAATTTTTCTGAATCAAAAGAATTTCCTTCAACTATTGTTATCAAACATTAAATAGCTTTGTAAATCGGACTTTATATTTTTTAAAAATAAATTCAACCTAAAGTTACAAGGCAAAACAGTAATTATATGCTTAAAATTCAGTAAAGTTATTGTGATGAAAAGTAACAACTGAATCATAAGAAACATCAGCTGTTCATTTACTTCTCCAGATTTCTATTCCCACAGAAATTTACAGTGGATATAATTTCTGAGCACAAATTACTGTTCTGGTAGTGTTTTGTTTTTTGTGGATCCCAAGGCAAGTACAAAAAGAAATCTCCATATTTCAAAGTCTTTTTAACTGTGCAATTGAAGAGCTTCCACCCAACCTTTAATTGGAAATTATTAATCTGCAGTGTAATGCCATGCTGAAAGAAAAATGTCGAGAAGAATTTAATAAAATTTTATAAATGCTTTCTAAGCAATACAAATGCTCAAATAAAATTGTATGTCTGTGGGTTGATCTCATATAGGAAACTGATGAAACAGAAAACAAACAAAAAAATAAGAAAAAGCAGTAAAACCAGAAGTGGGGTCATTAAAAAGGTGAGTAAAATTGGTAAGCAACCAGCCAGAAAGATCAGGAAAAAAAGGAAATTAGAGGTGGGCACAGTGGTGTGCATCCATAGTTCCAGCTTTTTAGGAGGCTGAGGTGGGAGAATTGTTTGAGTCCAGGAATTTGAAGCCAGTCTGGGCAACATAGTGAGACTCTGTCTCTTAACAAAAAAAAATTGCAGTAAAACAAAATAAGTTGATTTTTAAAAAAACAAAAATATCAGGAAACCTAGTGTCCTATAATTTTAAATCTTCTATGGAAATGTATAAGCCAAGATGCTTTCAGCAGCATGCTCCAACAAACACTTAAGGAAGCACTGCCAATTAATAAATGCATAACACTTACAATAGATTATATATATTTAAATATTCATCTACCTAATAATAAATCCAACAAAATGTATGCAAGACTTCTGTAGGGAAAGGCTTTAAGTCATGATTGGGAAAGATTAAGACAACCTCAACAAATGGAGGACTATAATATGTTTACAGATTTGATGACTCAAAATTGTAGAGATGTTTCTCTACAATTTCAAGAAGAAAAAGATTTTCTAAAAACCTTCTCTACATTTCAAAAAGAAAAAGTTCTTTTAAAAATTACTCTGAAACTGAAATGTGACAAACTGATTCATTTATATACTAATGGAAATGTCTTAACCAAGAATAACCAAGACAGTTGTAAAAAGAACAAATGAAGTACTTTCTCTATTAGATTTGAAAATTTGTTATAAAGCTACAATAATTAAAGTAGTGCGGTATGGTGGGAGAATAAGCAAATAGGACAATAAAATGGAATAGACAACTGAGAAACAGACTCATTTCACTTGTGACAAAGGGGTCACTGCATAGACATGGGGAATAAATGGACTTCTCAACATGAATAAATATCCATTTAGAGATGTCCCATGTCTCATGCTGTAAACCCAAACAACAAAAAACAAAACCAACTGCAACTGAAATCATAACTGTAAAGGTGAGAGCAAATAACTGTGACTTCTAGAACAGGAACAGGCAAAGTACAGCCTGGCCCACTCTGGCCCAGCATCTAAGAATGGTTTTTATACTTCTAAAGGTTATTCTTTTTTTTTTTTTAAGATGAATATGTAGCAGAGACTATCTGTGGTCCACAAAGCTTAAAATGTTTACTATTTAGTCCTTTACAGAAAAAAGTTTGCCAACCTATGGTCTATAAAACATAGGAGAATATGTTTTCTTCACGTTCTTATGGGAGAGAAAAGACTTCTTAAACCTGACAAAATGCACCAATCATAAATGAGGGGATTGACTAAAAACTACCTTGACATTAAAACCTTCTGTTCAGCAAGACACAATTAAAATAATGAAAGGCAAGCCAAAGAGTGGAGATACTTTCAACATATATGGCCAGCAAAGGATCCATATCTAGAACATAGAAATAATTCCTATATAAGGCAACACAATAAGAGAATGGGTGAAAGTCCTGTACAAATACTTTAAAAAGAGCAAATACAAATGGCAAATAATCATACAAAAACATATTCAACCACATTAGTCATTATAGAAATGAAAATTAAAACCACAATGAGATACATGAACACAAACACAAGAATGGCTGAAGAAGCTCCTAATACCAAACGGGCACCCGAGTGGAGCAACAGGCAGCCTCAGACATTGCTAATGGGCGCTAATCTGATGTTTAATCACACTGGAAAACTAACAATAATTACATCCATACCGTATAACCAGTGAGTCTGGAACTAGGACATACCCAGCAGAAATGCGTGCCTGTGTGCATCAAGAGGCAGGCAGGAATGACCACAGGCAGGGGCATCATTAGTAATGAAAATTCCAACTACCAAATGTCCATCAGAGTGGAAGATACTAATAAACTGTGATAAATTCACATGAAGGGACACTACACGACACTGGAAATGAACAAGCTACGGTGACATGCAGTTGTATGGGTGCGTCTCCCAAACATAACACTGGATTAAAGGAGCCTGCAATAAAGAAATATATAACATAATTTATTATATGTACAGTTAACAAAAAGTACAAGCAAAACAACAGTATCGTGTTGAAGGGTGCATACTTAGGCAACAACTCTATAAAGAAAAACCAGAAATTGATTACCAAGAAAACCCAGAAAAGTCGGAATAGGGTTACTTCTGGGAGCAGCAGCAGGAAAAGATGGGAAGAAACACGTGGCAGAGTTCTGAGGGGCCGCCATGGTTTGTCTCCTGATCTGCATGATGGTTACACAAAGATTCACTGCAGGCGCTTCTCTCTGTGTGTATTATCTTTATAACAAAAATGGTTAGAAACAATGGGTGACGCTTCAAACAACTGATTCTCAAGATGGTATGGATACAACTTCAGGGTTTGAGTCCATTTTTGGCAATATGACAGTCAAAGTGAATCTCAATTATGTAAGGCTGGGAAGCCTTCAACATGCACTGGTTTTCAGTAAATCACAAATGCTTTTCAGGTGTGGGAACCAAGCCAAGAACTTCCAGCAATCACCTGTTAATTACCATCTTATGTTTCATAAGCAGCAAACATTAGAAACAAAAACTTCTACAACTGTTGGGTAGGCACACCCCATCAACAGTATCACTACTCTCAGCATTGTTGTCTAGGTTCTGGTCAATGCATGACAAGACAAAGAAATAACAGATAAAAATATTAGGAAGGAATAAACAAAATTATCATTATTTCCAGGTATTATTAGAGAAAGTTAAAGAGAATAAATTGATGTTAGAACTAATAAGAGAATTTAGCAGAATGGCCAAGTACAAAAGTCAACAGCTTTTCTGTATGTCAGAAATAATAAATTAGTAATTTCAATGAGGTGAAAAGAGCTCATTTATAAAACAAACATTAAAAAATATATATGGCTAAACTTAGCAAAAAATATGAGTTCTATGACTCATAGTATAAAATTTTATGGAAAGACATAAAAGAAGTGCTGAATAAGTGAAAAAACAGCATATTCCTAGATAGGAAAATATCAGAAATATAAATTTTCTCAAAATTAACAGAAATTCATTGTGATCCCAAATTAATCTACATAGTGAATGCACCCTGAATCAAAACTGTAACTGGATTTTTAAAACGTGAAAGTTGACAAATGCATTCTAAAAGCATGGAAAAAGATATATGATCTAGAACACTGAAATAGTTAAAATTTGTTTCAAATAACGTTAAACTTGCAGAAAAGTTACAAGAATACAGAGAACACCAGTATATTCTTTACCTAGATTCACCTGTTTTTACCATCTTGCCACTGTTTTTTCTTTCTCTCCCCCTCCCTCCCCACACAAACATTATTATTTGTTTGTGTGAACCATTTGAGAGTTACTTTGGGTATATCACACATCTTATTTCCTAAGAATATTCTCTTAGGTAACCATAATACAGTACAGTTGTCAAACTGAGGAAATTCTACATCAACACAGTGCTTTTATCTAACATATAATCCATAGCCAATTTCATCAATTGTCCCAATTAAGTCTCTCCCACAATACACTTTCCCTGGAGTACAGGCACACGTTGTATTCAGTCGCCATGTCTCTTCAGTCTCCCTCAAGCTGGAACAGTTTTACAGCCTTTGTCTTTCATGACATTAACATTTTTTACATGAAGTAAAACTCACCCTTGTTGGTGTTTAGTTCTGTAAGTTTTGACAAACACCTACAGTCACATGACCATCACTAAGATCAAGCCAGAGTTCCATCATCCTAAGCACTTCCTGTGGTCCTTTATAGGAAACCTCTTTCCCCCTCAATCCCATCCCTCGCTACCACTGATTTGCTGTCCCAGTGGTTTTGCCTCCCACAGTCAGTCCTGTAAGTGGAGTAATGTCATCTCAGTGTCTGGCTTCTTCCACTATCAAATGCATAATGCCTTGAGAGTCATTCATGATGTTGTATGTATCAATTGTCTGCTCCTTTCTCAGGGCTGATCTGAACTGCATGGTAGGGATGAACTACAGCTTATCTACTTACTCAGTTCTCCAAGTGAGGGAATGGCTGTTTAAGGCTTGGGGAGACTCTGAGTAAAGCCACTTTTCTGAGTTAGAGAGAGAGAGAGAGTTGGGAGAGAGAGAGTTGGGAGAGGGGAGAGGATGGGTGGGTGAGCGGGTGTGGGGGTAAGTGAGTTGGGGGGTGGGTGGGGGAGTGAGTAGGTGGGTGAGTGGGTAGGTGGGGGGGTGGGTGAGTGGGTGAAGAGAGAGAGAGTGATGGAGTGGGTGGGTGACTGAAGGAGTGGATGGGTGGGTGAGTAGGTATCTGTTTTTGTTCACTTGAGTAAACATTTAAGTCAGATTTCTGTGCCATATGGTAAGTGTATGTTCAACTCTATTTTTTAAACCTGCCTGACTGTCACCCTGGTGGCTGTAATTCAGCATTTTCCCCCGCAATGGACTCTGGCTGCTCTGCATCTTCATCAGCACTTGGCACTGTCAGTTCACTTTAGCCATTCTAATAAGCATGTAGTGGAATCTCCTTGTGGTTTTAGTTTTCATTTGCTAAGGGTGAAGATGTTGAGCATATTTTCATATGCTTATCTTCCATTTATATGCATTCTTTGGTGAAGTGCCTGTTCCAATGTTTTGCCCATTTTAAAAATTGGCTTCTCTTCCCCCTGCTAATTCTGGGCTCATTTTGTATTCTTCCTTCTCATCCTGCTTATCATTCTTCTTGTTCTAGGCTCCTTTTGTGTCTTTGCTGCCCCCATCCTGGAATCAGCCATTTCTCCAAGCTGCACAAGATCCTTTTCAGTGGTGCATGGTATTTTGAAAATAAGACTGGGAACTAGGTGTGTTCTTTGTGACTGGGGTATTACTGCCTCTAGGCCTTTTTAGTTCTAGCTAGAGCTGGAAGAAGTGTGTACATATGTGCATGTTTGAGAAATAATGAGTCCATATAGATGATGCTGATTCCAAGTCAACTGCACCAACTTCTTCCTTGATGCCTACTCCATGTAAGTGTCCCTCTTCTTCACAGGGGGTTCTCCCAAACATCAACACACTTAGTCATTTTCTCAATCCACATACACATGAAATAATTCCACATCACTATGAAAAACAAAGTTATTAAGAAGAATATTTGTAGTTTTCCCCCTACAATTGAGTACATGTCATCAGAGTACAGTGTTTAAGTTACTTGCATTGGTACTTTTTTCCTTCCTTTTTGCATGATTATATTATTCATCTGCAATGCAATGAACAGATTTCCTAATACCAAACTACCCTTGCATTCCTGGGCATAGAAAGGTTATATTTGTTGAGGTATATTATACTACTAATGAGGTGTCGGAATCTATTCACTAATATTCATTGGGATTTCTGCATCAATATTTCCATATTATATTAGTTTTTATTTTCCTTACAATATACTATCTTTACCAGGTTTAGGTTTCAATTTGTACTTGCTGCATAAAAAATATGGGACGTTTCCCTTCATTTCTTATGCTTTTAAACAATTTATGTATCATTAGAATCATCTACACAAAAGATTTACTAGAATTCCCCTGTGAAAGCAACTGGGCTCAGACCCATTTTGTGAGGTAGTTCTTTGAAAATGTTCTCTGTTTCTTCCATGTAAATTGGTTTATTTAAGCTTTCTATCTCTACTGGGGTTAATTTTGCTAAAACTGGATTTTTCCTAATTATGCACTTCAAAAATGTTTTCATATTTATTTGCAAATTAGTCTCTTGTGCTTTTTAAAAACTTCTGTATCAATACTTATTTCCCTGTTGTCATTCTCATTTTATATATTTGTGTTTCCCCATTTTTTTCCTTGAATAAAATAACTAATGATTTGTCTGTTTAAATTTTTTTCAAAGGACCTAGAATTTGATTTACTGATTAAATAAATGCTTTTTCCTTCTCTACTTCGTTATTTTCTGCTTCTATTATTTCCTTTCCTATACTTTTTTGGCTTCCCTTTTAATTTTTCATAGTTTTCTGAGTTTGGTATTAATTCCATTTATTTTTCTTCCCTCATTTTTACTGATATAGGTGTCTACAGTCATGAATTCTCTAATCACTGCATTAACTATGCCTTTGATACACAGAGTTATTATTTTACAGACATTCTATTACGTTGGTTTATATTTACACTTTCATTCAAGAATAGGTTTTAAGTCTCTAGGTGGATGGGCCTTGTTTTTGTTAACAATTTATAGTTTTATTGCACTGTGATCAGAGAATGTTGATTGTAACAATTCTTTTATGAAACTTTTCTTCATAACCTAATTTTTGATAAGCTTTTGTAAATATTCCATGTATGTTGAGAAACAGACGTATTTTCTACTCAGCGAATGCATTTCAATACGTATCTGTGACGGGATAGGTTGTTTGGGTCTCCTGTATCATTCCTTACTTGTGGCCACTTGACCTGTCTTGTACTGAGAATAGTGTGTTAACATCTCTGACAATTTCCGTGTTGCTATTTATTTCTCTTTGCGTATGCTGTAGGTTCTGCTTTATACAGGTGGTTTCTGTGTTACATGGGTTTTATCTTCATTATGAGTGTGACTTTTAGCATTTTAAGGTGTTCTCATCTGTCTCTTATAATGCCTTTTTAGCCTGATTTCTGCTTGGTCTAATCCCAAGATGGCAACCCCTGCTTCCCTATGGTTTCATTTGCCTGATTAATCACCGCCCATCCCTTTGCCCTTCCCTTGTGAATCACTGTGTTTCACATGTGCTGCTCACATGTGCTGAGCTACGGGCTGCCTTACCAAGCCAACGTGAAATTTCATTTCCAGAAGCAGCTAAGCCCCCTGACAGTTCCTGACACAGCTTCCGCTTTGTCCTGTTGGCTGATGCTGGAATTGCAGTGAGGGTTACTGTGTCTCTTTAGTCTTCTTTGCTTTTTCTTTTAGGTTAATATTTTGTAAAGTGTTTTTATTCTAGTGGTACCTTTGTGTGTATATCTTTTATAGCGTCTGTAATCTAGGGTGACCAACTTGTCCCAGCAGTTTACCCAGGATTTTCCCAGTGTTAAAACGGAAAGTTCCGTGTCCTGGGAGGCCCCTCAGTCACAGGCGAGCTGGGATGACTGGTCACCCTATTTTAATTCCTTTTTTTCCTTGCCTAATCTTCCACTTCCTGGTCTGTGAGCTTGAAATAGTTTCCTTTGATTCCTACCTATGACCTATACAGTAGGGCATGATCTTACTCTACTTCCCCTAACCCCCTTTTTCTTTAAATTTTTATTATCCCTGTTCTGTCAGGCTATTTGTTTATGATTCTGCCTCCCGTGTCCCCACCCCCATTCTTATTTACAAACAAGAATGAAAAAGGACACATCCTCTACACGTGGAACTGTCTGCAGAGCCACATTACTATCAGGGAAGAGCTGGCCCAGGAATAGCAATGGACAGAACAGAGCCTGTATCTAGACCCACACACAGGAAAGGTCAGAATAAGATGAAGGGGACATTTCAGTGATGAGGGTAGATGACAGTGAAGCCTATGGAAAGGGTGTAGCAAAACCATCTATGTAGAAAAACCTTATGTCAGATCATTCTCAGGTCACACGAAAGCAAATTACCAGTAAATTAAAAATATTAAAACAAAACCGTAAGTCAAGATAGTCCTTTTTCGAAATCTTACAGTGGCGCTTCAAAGCAGGACTCAAAACTGGAAACTCCAGTAAATTGATCGTCAGATTAAATTGCGGAAAACTTTAAAACTCCAGCGTGACTAAAAGACACCACTAAACTGCTAAGAAAAGAGACTAGAATAAAATATGTATAACTTGTTAGACAAAGGACTAGTAGCCATACTGCAGAGTTACTAAAAGAAACAATCGAAAAAAGCAAAGAATATGTATAAGTAAATCAAAGGAGAAAAAAATATAATTGGCTAATAAACACAGAAAGTTGCACAACATCAATAGTTGTCAAATGTAAGCTTTTTGAAAAATAAAAAGCCATTTTAGAAATCCTCTGCAGAGGTGTGAGAAATGGACGCGTCTTTATTACTGCTGAGAGTATGAGTTGGTACAGCCTTATGAGGGGGGTCTGGGCTGCATCCGTGAACATTTAAATGTGTATGCCCTTCGGCCAAACAATTCCTCTCCTAGACGTCTATCCCACAGAAATACTTGCACACAGCACAGAAATACAGACATACACAAATGTTCATAACACCATAAAAGCAAAAAAAAAAAGTTGGAAATAAACTAAATTTCCACTCAAAGTGGGAAAAGTTAATAAATTACAGTAATCCATAATACAGAACCAGCTGCGGAAAGCCTATGATATATTAGGAAGTTAAAGTCCTACTCACAAAAGAATATACTATGTACTCTCCAGGTAAAGGCAGGTAAGAACAGGGAAGTATATTTACAACAGAAACAGATTTATAAGGTTGCATTCCAAAGGACTAAGACTGATTGCTTCTGGAAAGAGGATTTTACGGCTGTACTTCCAGAGTTGAAGTTTTTAAAATAATAAATTTGTGTTACTTTAAAAATTTTCAAGTCAAAGAAAGGAAAAACAATGTAAAATCAACAGTGACATACGAACATTCCCCAGAAAGAGATACTCCCTACTCCGGCTATGCAAACTGTGCATGTGTGTGCGTGTGTGTGTGTGTGTGTGTGTGTTGGGGGTGGGGGATCTTCCTCTTTGTGAAAAGAAAAGGTCTCCCTTGAAGTCTTTGCATATTTCTGAGGGGTTGGCCCCCCGCAACCTAAGCACATGCATTAATTTCACATTATGGAAACCCACAGCAGAGGCAGGAGAGAAAGATGGAATCAATTCAGATAATGGTGGAGGGCTCCATGTCCCTCAGCATGCTGAAGAGGAAGCAAGGCTGCTGGGACAGAAAAGCTGCCCTTCCCAGCCGACTCCCCACTGACTCTGTCAGAGGGTCCCAAGGCCTCTCTGCAGTGCTCTGTAGGTTCTTGGGTTTTTTGTCTGTTTTAATCTCAAGTTTGATGGGGTATCAGCTTTGTAAGGGCAGAAACTATGTTTTCTTCTTCCCCAAGGTGCTCCCCCACACCTTAGCCTCTGAAGAAATGGCTGCAGGACGCCTTCCAACTAGAACCCCTGAGACAGACCACAGGCGAACAGCACTCGCCCATCCGCCGAGATACCACCCCATGCTATCAAAAAGGTTAATGTAATACTTTAACTGCAAAAAGATTTACACCAGCACGTGTTCTGGGAAATGAAAAAGAAGGATTAATAAATGAGTGCTCAGAAACGAAACCACAATTGGCAGGGAGATGAAAAATCAGAATGGGGTAAAAGTGACAGGAGAGAAAGGAGGAAGTTATAAACTTAGCTCTGAAAAGACAAATGGCTGTTGGAATTGGCAGTAAAAAACCAAAATGTCGCAAGAAATAATTGTTCATTATTTAGAAGAAAAGCACCAAAGACCACGCAAATCCTTCACTGCACGGGTGATGAAAGAGAAAACACGGCCTCATCTTCCAGCATCTACTAATGCCATAGAGAGCTGGGGAGTGGGGCAGGGATATTCGGATGACCACCCTACGTCCTGTCGCCCGTGCCCAAACATCAGGTGCTGGGCATCCGCCATTACTCAATTTCAAAGGCAATCTTTAAGGAGGACTTTGGTTCAATTTAGACTTTTACTTCTGTTTTCGTGTCAGTCTATAAATGTCAGAACACTTTTTCTAAAGTTTAATACTGTTCCAGAAAAGCTCTCCTGGCAGCTACTCATGGAATATTTTCGGGCTAAACTGCTCTTCAAAATTTCACACAGTCATTCATCTTCAGGGCCTTTGTACATGCTACTTCCTCACCCCTCAATTTGCACTAACTCATCATTAAATAATAATGCCAGTAGCCTCGGAACTAATATGCATGCTGTGTGACTTTCACTTCTGTTCTCATGAGCAGGTACAATGGCCTGTGTTCTCCAGAGAGCTTGCCATGAAGCTAACTCCCTTACGCCGTGGATAGAGGCAGGATCTGTTCTATCTCCAGCCAAACGCATTTAGAAAACAACCCAGGCAGAGACAGCTACATCTGAGTATCTTTTTTTTTTTTTTCCACACAGGGAGTCTCGCTCTGCCACCCAGGCTGGAGCGCAGTGGTGCGATCTTGGCTCACTGCAACCTCCGCCTCCCAGGTTCAAGCAATTCTCCTGCCTCAGCCTCCCGAGTAGCTGAGACTACGGGTGTGCACCACCATGCCCAGGTAAGTTTTGTATTTTTAGTAGAGATGGGGTTTCACTGTGTTGGCCAGGCTGGTCTCGAACTCCTGACCTTAGGTAATCCACCTGCCTCGGCCTCCCAAAGTGTTGGGATTACAGGTGTGAGCCACTGCACCCGGCCTTGAGTATCTTCTGAAACAACATGAAGTCATCAGAACCAAGGATTTTTTTTTGTTATTGTTGCAGCCACAAAATCCAAAGCTAGTGTATTAAGATAACATTGAATGGTACCTATGCCACAGATGGAGCTAAAATGTATACAAGAAATTACAGCGACACCTGGGAGGCCTTGAATGCTACAGCTTACAGTAGCCTACAGGGGGCGTTTTCAGCCTTAGGGTTGGGCACGCGAGCTAAGGGCGAGAACAGCAGTTAAGGACACTGAGGAAGGGGCCATCTAGGCTTCAGGATGTTTGTAAACAGGCTGGAATCCAGCTAGCCAATCAGGTTAATACATTATGACACAGAAATGTGGTGTTAATTTCATTTCAATCAACTAAACTTACTTTCTTGCGAAGATAATTTCTTCCAGGACATGTCAAATCACTGCAGAACTCCAGGATGTGGTGAGCTCCCTTGCTTTTAAAGAGCAGGCTGGGCTTCAATTCTCAAAGCATGATATTAGATATTTAGATATGTGAAAAACTCACTGACGTTAATGGGAATAACATGGACTTTCAAAGCAAGATTTCAAAATGTTGGGGTTAAAAATCCTACTGAATTAGAATCAAATAAGTCTCTAAGAAATACTGGCAAGCTAACGCAGTGCATACCAGGCGTGCTCTGAGGGTCACCTGTCATTCAGCATTTTGGTGTTGCTCTCAATGCATATTTTATAAAACAAATAGAGTAGCAAATCCCTGTGTCTGTTTTAAGGTGGCAAGGCAAGGCGACGCTGTTCGTCATTAGTCAATAATAGAGCTGTGTTAGTCTAATGGTGCCGCTCTCCCTCCCTTGCAGACCTCCAGGGCAATCACCTGTAGAATTATCCCATCTGCTGCAGCGGGAGCCAGAAGCCCGTCTTCCATTTTAGTTCCTTACTTGGGATTCATAGAAGGGGGAAAAAACTCCACAATTAGGTCTTTCAAGAAAAAGAAAAGAAGCAAAAACAAAACAGCATAATAGGACCAGGGAGATCACCTTTAGGTTTTGAAAGACCCCCAGAGATTTGATGATCTTTGGGGGATGGGGGAGAACTACCAATCTCAACACCACATTAAATATACATTTACGAGAATTTCCTCAGCCAAAGAAAATAGGATAGAGGTGCCAATTAGGGAAGGGCCGGTTCAGGCTTTGCACTCATGGGATGGGGGCTCCTCACTGGAGGGTGGCAAATCCTCCCATTCCCAGCATCTCCATGACAACGGGGGCCTCATGAAGTCAGGCCACACTGCTAAGGGTCAGTGTGATGACTCCACACACGCTAAGAGGCCGCAGTCCTTGTGGGTCCTTGGGGGAGAGGGGGTGTGTGTGTGTGTGTGTGTGCGTGTGTGTGTGTGTGTGTGTGTGTGTGTGTGTTGGAGGAGCTGGCCAGCCTGTCCCCCCCCCAGCTCCAGCTCCTCCTCCAGGCTGTCAGAGGCCATTTCTTCAGCAGTCACCACATTTAAAACTCACCCCATCCCTCCTCCCTGCTTTAGAATTCTCCAAGACACTGACCAGCACCTGACTTTGAACTGTATTTTACCTGTTTCTTCTGTCTCACGCCTGCCCCACCTCCACCCCCAGACAAGACAAGGGGCGCCTCAGGGCAGGGTTTATCTGTTTTGTTTGTTGCTCCCCCCCCCACCCCCACAATCCCTAGAATGCAGGAGGTCCTTGCTAAGTATTTGTTACATTAATTAAAGGAAGCTGGTAGATTTCTGGCCTATTTCACAATTACTTGCCAATAAACAGTCACATACATGTGTATTCCTGAATTTTCAATGGAATGCATCAGATGGGTAGGAAAATCCCGATTCGAAGCACTTAAAACCAGCATGAGGAAAGGAAGCTAAGGGACAGTCGTCTGTGTCAACTCTGGGCAGGTAAACACACTTAAATCCCCAAGACAGGGTATCTGTCCCCAAATGAAACACAATTTGCAGTCTATGGGATCTTTTACAGTTACTTAGAACTTGCTAAGTGGTTGCAAATCCCTAGCCTAATTCATAGAGCTCACCTAACTCACAGTCATTGTGGCAGCTTTAGATGTCTTAGAAAATGAAGTGCACTATTTTCGCTGCCTTCTGCGTGGAAGTTCTTTTGGGTTAAGAAGCCCGAGAGTTGGGTCTGAGACGTGTGGAAAAACCCTCCTCCCAGCATGAAAGGAGAACCTTGGGGCCCCCAAATTACTAATCTAAAGGGGAAAGTCAAGCTGGAAACTGCTCAGGGCCAACCTGCCTCCCGTTGTATTCAGTCATCCCTCTGCTCACAGAGAGAAAGACATCTCTGATTGCCTCCTTTGGAGAGGCTTATCAGAAACTCGGTGCAACCACTTGACTCTCACCTACCTGTGACCTGGAAGCCCCTTCCCTGCTTCGAGTTGTCCCTGCCTTTCTGGACAGAACCAATGTACTTCTTACATATATTAATTGATGTATCATGTCTCTCTAAAATCTATAAAACCAAGCGGTGCCCCGACCACCTGGGGCACGTGTCATCAGGACCTCCTGAGGCTGGGTCACAGGCGCATGTCCTTAATCTTGGCAAAATAAACTTTCTAAATTAACTGAGACCATCTCAGATATTTGGAGTTCACACCAGAAAGGACATGCCGATGCTGCTTCCAGAGGCCTGGAAGTAGGCCCCACCCCTCCTCACCCTGCAGGAGGCAGTACCAAGGAACTCCCAGGGAGATGCCCAACCAGGAGCCCTCCCATGCTCGGGGCTGAAGCCCATGTTCACTGGGCAGATAGTGGCCACAACTGGTTCCCAAGAGAGGGGCTCTTGCTGCCCTCATGCCATGGATGTTTGTCACCTCCCGACTGCAGTCCAGACTCCACTGAAGATGAGTCCTGGGTGACAGCTTACATAGAACTGTAGTGCCATAGTCCTGAAGGGACTCCAGGAGGGGCACCGCACCAACTACCTCACCTCTCCTTGGCCTTTCACCTGGGTTCCCTGGAATCAACAGTCTGCATCTGTGATGTGTCTGGTTAATTCAGGGGTTGTCCGGTGAAGAGCTTGGCTAGCTGACCCTTCTGAGACCTTAGCTCAGTCCCCAGGCCAGGGCACCTCTGACTGCTGCCCGGCTAAGCTATCTGGGACCGCTGTTGCCAGTTTATTTAAACACGTGGAACTTCTCATCCACGTTCTTTCAGTGCAAAATCAGTGCCTGCTCTATATGGACACTGTGCGTTTCCTCCAGAAACACATGCGCTGTGTGTTTACCATGTGCTTTTGCAAGATTTAGAGAGCATGAGCATGAAGAGAAAATCCAAATCCATCCAAAGTGAAATTCCCTCCTGCTCACGTAACGACAACCCACAGCTATACTGAGGAACAGCTCCCTTCCTGCCTTCACTGTTAAACAGTGATTTTCATTTATATTTTTCTCCTTTTCAAGGGATTACAAAGTGTTTTACAAACTCATCCCTGTTTGTTTATGCCAGTCCCTCAGCCGGGCGAGTCACACACGAACATGCACAGAAGCCACGAGAGCTCTCCTGCAAGGGTCACAAGGAGACAACAAAGGTCTGGACGTTTAAAACTCAACGGGGAAGATTTTCCTGCTCTCCCCACCAGCTTCCGGGATGAGGCCCTCTAGAAGCGTCAGGGTCAGCGCCTTGGAAAATCAGACCTTAATGGGTTTTAAAAATGGTAATGTGTGAAAGAAATGTGTCTTCAACTGAGTCTAAAGACAGATAAACATTGACTTCCAGCCATGCAAACCACTTCTCCGCATGCTCGGAGGCGGCCCCTCCACACCAGGCCAGTGAGGCTGCTCAGGTCTTCACTCCTGGCAGACACACAGGAAACCACGGCAGTGCGCAGCCCTGCATCTGCCCAGGCCCTCCGCGGGGCCCCCACGGGACTGTGTCCCACCCCTACACTGGCTGGGGAATGGCTGCAGTGCTTTCTTTCCATGCATACCTCCGGGTGGGTGCACAAACGTCCTTAAACCAGGAGCACCTCGGTAGTGTGCTGACACCAGGGATGAGGGTGCAGCGGTCACCCTCTCCATCGAGCCTGAATGGTTTCCTCCCACTGCTGCTCCACAGGCACTTCCTTAGATGCAAGGAATTTGCAAAGACCATTATAAGTGATTTCCACTGATTTTCAGTGGGAAATCCCACTTCTCTGAGTTAGAAGAATAGTTTTCTTCTCAGGCATTTGTAGAAACAAGTGACCCACTGTGGCTTGTGCCGTCACATTCCAAATGCCCATACAGCCCCCCACCCTCAGGTATCACGTGTCATGACAAGGGGCCTAAGGTAGAGGTATGGGCAGGAGGGGGCCCTTGTCCTGCCTGCCAGGGCCAGACAAGCTTCCCGAGACCCCGGCCACCTTCCTCATACCTCAAGAGGCTTGCACACCCCTGCCTCCTCCTGTCTCTCCAGGGACTTACCCACCCATACAGGCCCTGTGCTCCAGGCAGCAGGTCCCTCACAGCCCTCCAAGCAGCCAGTGGGAATGGGGAATGCCCTATCTCAGCCCCCGCTGAGGCTGGTGTCTCGATCTGAGGTTCACAGTGACGGTCAAAGGATGCAGGCTCAGAGTGAGCAGGGGTATGTGATTTCTGTCCACTTAACACAATACCAAACTACATACTAAGGCACAGAAGGTAAAATATGAGCACCTTCTCTTCTACCACAAGAGGCTTCAAAGACATGGGAGAGTGTGGCAGGTGCCCGACCCCGCGTGCAGGTCCTCCAGGTCCCAGGCCTGTCTCTGTACCCGACCTGGGCACCTGCTCCACGCCCTGCACCCCTTTCCATCCTCGCCCTTCCCCAGCATGGATCTTCAGGTCTCTCTTCTCATGAAGCTGAGGTCTTGCCGTCTTCTCGGATCCCAAACCACAGATGGGCTACCTCACCATCCAGCTTCCCACCTGCATCTTTATCAGCACAGCTACTCCAGCTGCAAGGCGGGGGTCGGCGAGGCAGCCACCGAGGTGGGCAAGGACAGACAGGCGTGGAGGGTGCAGTAGTAGGGTGTGGCCCTCGCTCTGGGCCAGCTGTGCCCAGCACAGGCCGCAGTCTTGTCAAGGGGGAGGTGGGGTCTCCAAGCAGGGGTCTCTGAGGGCCACCAAGTTCTCCCCGCATCCCCAAAGGTGGCTCCACCTGGCCCCTTGACTGCAGGGCCGCTCTCCTCTCATCCCCAGCACAGGGTCCTCCTCATGCTTCTCCTGCCCCTAGCCCACCTGACACTCTTCACATCTGGAAATCTGTGCCCTTCATCCTAAACACCCTGGGCTGTGGGGCCTCAGTGATGCAGAAATAGCCTTCCCAGAAGGCTGTGACGGCCACCACGCTGTGCTTCCTGAGGCCTGTCCATTCGGCTCCCTGCCTCTTGTTTAGCAGAAGCATTGGCCATCACATGATGTAATCTTGCAAGCTGCCTGAGACATCTCATAGGGTGGGCCAGTCCAGTGCTGACCACAGTCAAGGGCCACCATCAGGGAGGCCACGTGAGGCCACTCCATTGGTGATCAGGGTCGGGTTTGCAGGCGTTACCCCTCCCACACGGGCCATCTCTGCAGCACCTCGGCCTGGGGGCCACTCAGTGTTTTGTAGAGGGAGCAGCCTTGATTAGTAATACACACACATGGCAATTACAGGATCACCTCAAATGGTTTCAGGATGGGTGTGAAACTGAGCAGTTACTGTTAGCAATAAATCCAGAGGATACTGGCCATCCTGAGGGGGTGGAAAATGATCAATGTTTTCAAATACAAAAGGACAGAGACTTAGGGATGCTAATTTTCAAAGCCTATATGATTTAACTTTTTAGTTCAGATTATTTGACAGTTAACTCCAGAGCAGGCTCGATGACAGAACGAGAACTGCTTATTAATAACCGGACATGAAGTCCAGTGGAGTAGAGTCTTGAAATAAAGGGTGTCTAGAAATAAAGACAAGGAAAGGCTGTGTATAACCCGGACCATGTTTCTCTTTTGTCACAGCCGACCGGACGACCAAGCATTCTGGGACAAGATCAGTGCCACTGATATATTCTCAGCCAACCCTGGAGGGATCCCGAGAGCCACTGGATCGTGTCCTGGGGCGGGCATTCTGCTGGCACCCTCAGCCCACACTGCTTGGGAAGGAACTGGAAGACAGAGCTGCCAGCACAGTCCCAAAACATCATGCATCCTACCAGGAGGAACACAACAAATATTCAAAACAGTGGAGACTGCGGCCACAGCTGCATGGGTGCACGGGCACGCTTGGGAGGGTCCCACACGTCACCCCGTGGGTGCGCCCTGCATGGCAGGGAATCCAACAGGCACTGAGGCCTCCCAGAGGCAGGCAGGCCGGCCGGCCATCTGGCACCAGCTGACTCTCCGGCAGCTGACGTGCGGAGGACAGGGTCCTCTCCCACAGAAGCCCCCACACAGTAGGCACACCAACAGCAGCAGCCACTGCGGGGGACAGCACCGTGTCAGGTGCCCATGCCTGGGGACTCTGAGTGCCGATGCTTTCTTGCTCCCCTCCTCCCACCTTCAACTTTGTGATCAGCTCTGAAGTCTGCTCTCAGGCCTTTGAAAGCCTTCGCATGGGCGCACGCACATACTAGAATGTTCCCTCTCCAGTCTCCTCCGTTCCCTCAGGAGGGTCAGAAACGTGCCCCTCCCTTTGCCTTCCAGGAAGGGGGCCTGAGTCACCCAGGGGACCCACCGTGCAGGCAGGCAGCTCACCTCGCTGTCAAAGACACTTTTCCCTCCACTCTACTGGAACTCCAGCGTCTCCGCTCGGGGGCTGCTGGGGCCAGAGGAAGGAGGCCGAGCCCCCCAGTTCTGAAGCCTGGCTGGGAGAGGAGAGTGTTCTCCGCATGGCCGGCCCCCCGAGTGGCGGGGAAGCACAGGGCAAGCCAGGGACCTGTCTCCCAGGGGGCCTTTCTGTTGTCTTCAGTCCTGGTTTCATAACTCCCCCATTCACACAAGCCCCTCCACATCTACTCCTACACACGATCCCACAAACCCCGGCTTCCGACAGCAGCTTTCCCGGAACCTTTCCTCTCGGGCACTCAGTGTGCAGGCCCAACACCTGGGTGAAGCAAGTGATCCTGGCCAACGCTGAACATCACACCACGCCACCGGCCTCTGTTTCCAGCCCCCAGAGAACACCTAAAGGATTTTTAGGTTGAGTTATTAATGGAAATTCAGTTCAATTTGGGATCAGTGCAGCTCAGAAATTGGATTAAGATATCTTTTTTCTTTCTTTTTAACTAGCACATGCTCTCGAATGAAGAACTCACACTCTGCAGGGCCGTTCTTCCTTTTGATGGGTGAATTTTGTCTTTAATCAAACCAAATACGAAATGAAAAACATCTGTGGAGACAATCCAACAGGGCCAGGATGAGCACGTTCTCTCAGGCAAACGACCGGTATGGATTCTATAGGCGACACTTTTCCCCTCATGAGTTATAATTATCATCATGTAACTCTTGGTGTTTTCACATTGGGGGATTATGTCTTCCAGTTTGCAGAAAATTAGGTAGACAAATATATCTGGCTAAATGTAGCAGATGAAGACATAAACGGAATAAAAAGGGGCAATTTGTTCGCTATAGTAAAAAACATGTAATACTTTACATTTCACTTTGCCATTGAACATTTCTATAAAATGCTTTTTTTTTTCTTAAAAAAAAGGTTTTCCTAGAGCCAAATGACCTTTAAAGAAATTCACTCACACTAGTTCTTTCTTTAGCTTATTAGTCACCTGGGACCACCACATTACTAATTAATGCATAAAGAATGCAATCTAAAAGCGCCGGTGCTGCAGGTACTGGAGAAACGAGCACCTAAGGGAAGGCTGAGGCCAAGACGGGACCTGAGCTACGGGGCAGGAGCCTCCGGGTCGGGGCCCACTGGACACAGGCCAAGGGCTGCAGGGAGCATGCCGAGGAGATGCTGGGAACAGAGGCATCCAGGCCATCCAGAGAAATCAGACAGCATGTGGGAGCAAATACAGAGGTACGGGGTACAGCCAAAGAGGGTCCCCAGGATCCTGTGGCTCCCAGGTTCCAGCCGGATCTTCAGATCAGCCCCTTGCACACTCTGTCCCCAAGTGGAATGTGACCAGGACTGCGGCCCTCGGGCAGTACCACTGCCAGAAAAAGTCCTGGCCACAATGCGGGAGCCATGGCAGGCAGGGGCAGCTGGCACACCTGGCTCTCCTGAGACTAACCGTCTCTGCCCTAGTCCCAGGCACATCGAGAAAGGGTGACAAATTCCTCCTGCCCTCACCAAGGACATGGCTCCAAATGCTGAAATTGGGAAACTCACATCTTCACAGTGTGTGACCGAGAAGGGTAAATTTACCACCACCCAAAGTACTTGGAGACGGCCACACCAAGGAAAGACGTGCTCCTCGAGCAGGATCCCTGTCAGAGGTGGCGATTACACAGCTCACTGGTAACACTGCAGTGTTCCACTTCCAACATTTCATGTTCAGTAAGAGCCAACCCATGGATCTCTTCCTCGCAAAAAGAACAAAAGGACGCAATGGTGAGGGTTTTCTCCGTTCATGCGCATTCCTATTCCAATCACGTACCGGCACCTTCGGAGGCATCTGGAGGTAGGACCTTCACTCCACCAGGAGCTGGCTCTTTCTGGAAGCCCAAAGGTAAGAATAGCACCCTGGCCAGCAAGGGCTTTAGGTCACAGACCTGCACATGTGCTCGCGTCCTCTAGCTTGGCGAAGATGAATTAGAGGACTGGCATTGCTTCCACAGAGACACCAGATTTACAACAACACCTGCTTTGCGTTGAGGTTCACAATTACGAACGTGCAAAGCACAAAAGCACCTCAAGGCTGCTCAAGCCCCTCCCAGGGCGAGGCTACCCACTGGTGGTCTCAAAACCACTAGGACCCGTCATCCAGGGATTATTCGCTAGAAGCCCCCAAACACTCAGAAGTAAAGAATGAGAGTCTGCTCTGGCCACGAGCCGGTGAGTGCCCTTCCTTTTGTTTCTTGCATGAATTAATAATTATTCAATAATATCAAAAATATTTCTCAAGTGAGACCTTTTAAGGTCTACAATGCCGATCTCCACGAGAAAGGGACCCTCTCTAGATGCTAAAGAGGAAAAAGATTAATGCAAAGAAGAAAAAAAATACAGGCAGAATGTGGAGAAGATAAACAGTTTAAATATGATAATTGCTTCAACAGTGTCGGCAAAATTCCCAATTAAATAATTTGTCCTGTTTAAAAATGAAGACAGCATGTCACTTAACATCTTTCCTGGGTAACTTTTGCTATCTTGTATTGGCACCTCTATTATTACATTTCTTACAGGCAAATACTGCTTCTTGGAGCAACGTTAGCCTAAAATATTCCTTTATTTACATCTTCCAGATTTATAACTTTGGGCCCTGTAGTCCATGGTCTCTGAAGAGTCCGTCTTAATCTCTCTTTCTCTCTCTCAACCTGAGGAGATTCAGCTTCAAAGTACAGATGCCAATTGTGTCTCTGATGTGACCAATTACATTTAATAGTTTCCATAAAGCAGAATTATCTGCCAATATTTGCTGAACTCAAGAATGCCTCATCGCCCTAATACCACTGACAAAATCCATTATATCTTCCTCCCAACTTTTATTTTTTAAACAATAGCTCCCCCTGCACTGCCCAACCCTTGATTTTAAAAACTTGCAGCACCATTTCCATCTTATTTTTTTTTCTAAGTTTGCATTACCACGTCGCGGGAAGATACAGCGACACAGAATGTACATCAATCACAAAAAGTGGTCCAGCTAAAGCCATCCACTCGACATAGTTAAGGGGGCAGAAAGCTTGTTCCCAGTCCCCTGAGATGACCTGGCTGCAAAAACTCAAACAGATAACAGCCGAGTTCAGTCACTTGAAGTAATCCTTTAGTGACTAAAATGACTGGAATGACAAAACAGGGGGCTGTGATTTACGCTTCTGGACATTAATAAAACTGGATACTTGGAGTGTTCTATTGAAGGGCAGACATGGAAAAGGGTTTTGAAAAATCCCACAGCCACAGGAAAAGGCAGAGGAGAGCCATCAGGATGGAAAGCTCGCAAGCATGAACACGGTGGTGCCATTTTCCATTGTACTCAAAGCTCCCTCCGCCCAGACCACAGATGCTTTTAACTGGTCTTAGCAGGGCTTAAGCGGTGGTGTCCACTCTTCACTAATTTAAGAGGTCAAAAGTCTTTAGGAAGCCATAGCTTCAGGGATGATATTCAGAGAATCTCTAAGTGCTACCTTAACATGGGAGCCAGTCTGAACATTATTCAACTTCTTTTCTGGTCTAAAGGAATATGCAAAGATAAAAGATTCCAAATCATTCAAAATACAGATACAAGGACAGTTTTATCCCCTGGAACACTGCAAGAAGAAAAAAGAAAAGAAAAAAAGTGAAAGAAAGAAACTTAGCGGCAAAGTCAGAATCATTTCTTTTAGAAATCAATGTTAAACTGAACTACTGAAGAGAAAAATCATTTAATTTCTTCCTTGCATATTTGTTATTAAGCTTCTAACAGTCACTGATTCTACAGACATACATCATACACATTTTATGAATCTGGTTCTGAGCACAACTTAAGCAAGAAAGGAAATTACTTTCAACATAAAAATTTGAAATGCAAAGTCTGAAAATTGAATTATGGGTTCATTTAAAATGGTGTCTCGGAGGAATTAAGCTGTAAAAATTACCTGCAGTAATTTGGAAACATTTAGATGCTTTAAATGAATTGTTTTTTATGCATGATTTTACACAGGGAAAATTGTGCTACCTTACACACTATATTCATTTGTGTGAGAATATTGAGGTCAAAATCTCTACAGACTGGAGTTCGCGGTGCAAGATGAAATATTTTCCCTTGACAGCAAAAGGTGGAAAGTGTAATAAATAAAATATTATGGAGATGTGTTTCTAATATTGTATTGTCACAATCAATTTCCCATTACCTATCTAGATTTTGATATATACTATATTATTTCCTCCAGAAATTCACTTTATGAAGCAACTGACTCCAGTTTACATATAAACTGCTCTGTGAGCTGAAGGCTTGAAGGAAATGAAAAGCCTATGGCTATATTTATGGAATGAAAAGGGCATTTAAATTACAATTAAGTTAGTATGTAAACAGCACAGCACATTTATGTTCCTTCACAGACTCGCAGGCTTTATGTAAAAGAACATTTTTGTCATTTTCAGTAAAACACTGCAGAGGGAAATTGAATCAAATGGGCTGCTAGAAAGCTGATGAAATGAACCGTTCTGTCAAATCAAAAACCATAAGACGTGATTGTCATCTGTTGGTAAGAGCAGAACAAAATCACCCAAAGACACTTGTATTTCTGTTGCCGCTATTTAAATTGAACAGACACAAATCAGACCCTATAAAGGGAGATGAACTGTTTTTTCTTCTTGGATTTACAAAGATTATTGTTCAAAATAGGCTATTATTTTCTATTAAGCCAAAAAATGTTTAGGATCTCTTGGCTGGTGAAATAGTTCTTCTCAAGCTCCAAACGTATCTGGCCCCTTATTATTTCAAATATTTGGAATTTTACTTTTCACAAACTAACCAACGCTTCGATGGGAAAGCTGCTGACCCCCTAGCGCATTTCCTAAGTGACACACACAGCCAAGTGCATCCAATTCCCAGCACACGCCACCTGGGGATCCTGCAGGCCGCTGCCTTTAATTTTATGCATTTAACGTATTTCTTGATCTCCCGTGGTAAACTACACACTTGAGCGTCGAATGTGCACAGAAGGGCTCTGATTACTGCTGAACACAGCAGCCCCTGAATCCCTCCCCAGCTGCCTGTAACGCTGGGCGGGTGAGCAGAGCTAATGAGAGCGACCACCATTCCGCAGGCGCCTCCGCAGAGCAGGTGAAGTGCCTATTAGAGCCGTCACCAGCAGAAACCCTGAGTAAATGGGACTTGGCGTGGGGGCTACCGGGGCTGAGGAGCCTCGCAGAGACACGGACTTCCAGAGGGAGGCGTGCAAACTGACACACACCTGGACTGAGCGGCTGGGAGGAAAATGGAAGGGAACTGCCCCTCATTTCCTCTTCTCAGGTCTAATCACAGACTCCCAGGTGTTCAGATGCGAGACGGGCCAGAGGGGAAAGAGGACGGAGGGGCGGCCATGCCCACACTCACCATACAGCCTGCCACGCCTGTCCTTCACCCGCTGCCCAAACAAGAGGAAAGCCGCCGCTCTCACCTCCTGATTCACCTTGGCCCAGCAGACAAGACGCCTGACAAGCATCTACTTCTCCACTGTTCTCTACCATTCCCTGAAAATATATATATATATATATATATATATATATATATATTTCTGATGGGCAGCAGGCTTCTGGAAGGAGACAAGTCCTTATTTTGCATTCCCCATAATGCTGTAAGACCAGTGAGGATGCCACGTGTTAAGCTGCCACGGGATGGAAACGTCTAGCTAAGGTAAGCTCTGGTGCTTCCAATGCCCCAGTACTAACTGCCACCGTGCCCCGACACTAACCAATTTTCCAAGATCTTTGAGACGATTTGTGCAGGATCACAGGCATAATCATGTCGAGACTTTAGAGTGTACCCAGTTGGGATAAAAGGTCTTTTATTTGGCTTCAGTTAGTTAAAAATGTAAATTTGAGTCTTAGGTGCCATGTAGGCTCCCTAAAACAAGGGTGACAGTAAAGTCTCAGCTCTCTACAAGTGAAGGTTCTACATACTTACTCTTCCTTCATAGGCCAACGTAAATCCCCCTCTGCTCTGAGCCAGGAGAAATGTCTCGGCTACTTCTTCCAACTTCCCCAGGCGATCTGTCTTCACTTCTACCAAGGCACAAGGTGGGGCCTCAGAGTCCTGGGGACTGGACTCCTATCTGCCTTCCCTTCCGCCATCTGAACACTGGGAGGCTCTTAGTGTGACTTTGCCAACATTAGTCAAACGCAGTGTCTGGCTTATAAATGTCATATCTGTACTTCACATACCGGGATCATGCATGTTGAACAAATGCTATTAGTAAGTGCCAAGCAGATTCTGAGACCAAGGAAGGAAACGACTTGGTCACAAACATAGAGATGCAAACAAGCCACACCTCTAGGAGGCCAGCGTTGCCTTCTGCAGTGGTCTGCTGGTTAGCAAGACACTGGGCTGCCATCAGAGGACACTTCCCCATGAGCAGACAGGCCCTCGGCCGACTGGCCACTGGATGGATGCTAGAGTACCTTCACCACTTGCCCACTGGAGATTAGACATCACGCCATAAAGTCATCCCCAGGCTGGAAAGTAACACCGCCGCTGGCCTGGAACAGATGCTCTAAGGAGAAAGAACGTGTCCACAAGAAGTGGCAGGGGGAGCCACTGGTGGTCCCACAATGCTGAGTCCGGATTGGAGACCCAGTGGAAAACCACCGACACGCACAAATCCACCGGCTTTCCATGCTTCTGCCTCAAGGCAGAGCATCTCATCCAAAGGATGAAAGGTACAGTCCCAACGGTCAGACATCTCCATGAAGCACAGGCCTGACCACAGAACCCTTCCCCCTTCCAGCCATCAACCTGCAAAGAGAGGCCAAACACAACCTCACCGTGGATGAGGCCCCAAGGCTGCCAGCCACCCTGCCAAACGTGGGCTTTTGGCCAGGTACAGTGGTTCATGCCTGTAATCCCAGCACTTTGGGAGGCTGAGGTGGGTGGATCACCTGAGGTCAGGAGTTCGAGACCAGCCTGATTAACATGGTAAAACCTCATCTCTACCAAAAAAATACAAAAATCAGCTAGGCATGGTGGTGGGCGCCTATAAACCCAGCTGCTCAGGAGGCTGAGGCAGCAGAATCGCTTGAACCCAGGAGGCGGAGGTTGCAGTGAGCCAAGATCATGCTACTGCACTCCAGCATGGGTGACAGAGCAAGACTCCATCTCAAAAAAAAAAAAAAAAAAAGGGCTTTCAGGCTTGATTTAGTACATGAACACTGTTGATCCTCAAGACTAAAAGCAAAAAGGAGCGTGGGAGAATTTCTATGTAAAGAAAACCCTGACTTGAGCTTAGTGCATTCATTCACTCACTTCAGGTTCATTATCTGGACGTCCACTCCCTGCCCATCCTTCTGCCTGGACTGGGAACAAAGTGGACAAAACAGACCCAAGCTCTGCCTCCACAGGACCTGCCACGCAGTGAAGAGATGTGCAAAAAGTAAGACCCACACAAATGAAATAATTACAAGCTGTCGTGAGCCCTACAAACACAGGCAAGAAGCTGGAGGATGAGGAAAGGCTCCATCCACTAACCACGGTCCAGGAGCACCGGGCAAGGCCAATAACAGCTATAGCTTTATTTTTTTTCCTAATTTAATCCTCACAACCAAGCTATCTGGGAGGTTTTATTTCCCTTCTGATAAAGAGTT
This sequence comes from Homo sapiens, assembly GCF_000001405.40. Classification (NCBI taxonomy): domain Eukaryota; kingdom Metazoa; phylum Chordata; class Mammalia; order Primates; family Hominidae; genus Homo; species Homo sapiens. The sequence goes on along the minus strand of NC_000010.11, from coordinate 129,644,655 downwards.
AAGGATGAATGCGTGTCTGAAAGGGAAGCAGGAATTGAGGCCTCGGTGTGAGCTCCCCAGGCTCGGCCCTTCCACGGGCTCTCACCAGGCCTCAGGGGGGGAACCCAAGCACTCTGGATGGGCTCATGGGGCCCTTTGCAGTGGGACCCCTTCAATCGAGTCCTCTCACCCCTGTCCCCAACTAGTTTCCTTCCAGCCTCTTGCTGTGTCCTCTTGAATTTCACATCCTCAGGCTGCCTGGCCCCGACGCCAGCCTAGGGGAGCCTCCCTGCCATGAGGCCACCCAGCACCCTGGACTTCATTTTCCAGCACATGCCGCAGTGTACTGCCATTGTCACTTTTTAAATTGTGTGGCCTCACTGTACTCAATGTACTTCAATGTACTCACTCACTCACCAAGCATCTAGGATTTGCTAGAGAGTTACAGGTGCTGGGTGTACCGGGAGTAAGACAGACCTGGCTCCCCTAAAGCACTGCTCTGGGAGAGGGGAGCAATGGAATAGACCATAACCCCCTAAAATGAATGCATGAGTAATATAATGATGTCTGCTAGGAAGAACACTCAACAGCATGATGGGTTAGACCGGGGCTGGCTGGGAAGGTCTCTCTGTAGAGAGGCTGGGCTGGGCATACAGTAGGCATCTGCAGATATTCGCATCATCAAAGTATTGAAGAGTGAAACCAAGTGCTCAAGCTACTTAAAATGCCGATGGAAAGAACAGGTAGTTTGGGAAAGAGATGAAAAAAAACCTCAAGCCAGGTTACCATCATATCCATGAAAGGTCAAGATTTGGGTTTCAGAACTCTGTCGAATTTCTCAAAAGTCAATGTAAAAAGCATAGCTTTGATGCCTCAATTTGTAGCATGCCACAAAATTCACGTTGGGTTGTTAAGACCAAAGAGAGGACTGCTGTAAACACAGGCTCAAAGATGCACCACGAAGAGGTGGTTAACAGACTACTGTGAACATTGAAGAAATCGTTGTTTCTGGGTGAACGGAAGAAATCAGTGCACTGGTGCCCTTTTCACTGGCACGAACAGTCACAGGCTTGAGGGTCCCTGCTCGCTTAGCATGTGTGGGTCCTTGTCCCGCCCCGCTGGAAAGAGCCTGAAGAAGGTGGAGCTCGACTCTCAAGCCCAGGCTCTGCTGCCGTCCACGTCTTCTGAGCAAGCCTCTGTGCCCTGGCCCAGCTCAAACAGGCTCTCTGCCTTTGAACCTTCCCCCTGGATTTGTCAGCCCCCAGGGAGTTACTGGCACATCAAGATCAGGAAACTCAAAACCACTGCAACTCAAAGTTACATTTCTTTTCATGTTTTAAACATCTGACTTCTCCAAACTGCTTACTCCAGTTTTTCTCCTTGAATCAAACTTTCTATTCTCTTGTAGATCTCTAATCTGCTATCTCCCAGCCCTCCTCCCACCCCACAGCCTCACCTGCCATGGGGGACGCTTAACCTCAGGGTACTCCTCAGTTGGCCACAGCATGGGCCCAAGGATGAAGGTGAAGGGGAAGCGCACGAGACAAAAACATGACAGCGGCATTTGGTTTTCTAACAGTTTTCACTCAGCTACAAAACTCCCTTTTCCATCCGTAAGTCATCACTAACAATGGAGCCGCAGAAACCACTACACATTCGCTCGCCCAGCCTTCTCTACATGGGAGGTGCATCACCTATGCTTCCTGGTGCTCTTTTATTACCTTTTTTTCTTTTTTTTTTCTTAAGAGACAGGTTCTTATTCTGCAGCCCAGGCTGGAATGCCTTGGTGGGATCGCGGCTCACTGCAGTCTTGAACTTCGGGGCTCAGGTGGTCTTCCCGCCTCAGCCTCCCAAGTAGCTGTGACTACAGACGTGAGCCACAATACCCGGCCCCTTTGATTACTTTCAGGAGTTACTGGTCTATCCTGAATCAGGCCAGGAACATACACCTGTGGAATGCTTAGAAAACGTGGAAGCATTTTTGGCTGCCACAGTGACTAAGAGATGCTAATAGCATTTAGTAAGAAGGACAGTCAGTTCAAAGACTTGTGTAATGCAATGGCAAAGGGTGCCCCCTCCACACACACCCCTGAGGCCAGACATGTTGACTCACACAGGGTCACATAAGGTCACACCAGGGTAGTTAAAAATTAGCCACAATCCCACCTTCAGAGATAATCACTATTTTTAAAAGCATATTCCTTTGTCTATTGTTCTTAATGATCTATTTTTTTTTTGGAAAAATTCAGGTGGAATGTTTACAGTAAGGATTCTCCTTGGTTATAAAGATTCCTGGGAACATCATTTTCAAAAAATGCAGAATATTCCCAAATGCAGATAAACCTGGATTTACTTAGAAGCTCCCCCACTGTTTCTGGGGCAATGGGACTGTCCATTTTTACATTTCATAATGATGAAGTTCATAGGGATAAGCCATTTATGCCCCCTACGCCCGCCCGCCCGCCCAGGTGCGGGGTTGTGTGAGGAACCTCATGTAGGGAGTGAAGAGGCACTTTTCAACGCACAACTCTGCACTGTAGGAAATGCCCACTGAGCGGAGGGGATGTCGGGTCTCACTGTGAGCAAGTTCTGTTGCTGTCCAACAAGGGTTCTCTGTGTCTGTTGAAGGTACTATTCTTCAAAAGTGGCCCTACTAGAATTATGAGCAGAGAGCCTAGGAGAAAATAAGCTTTCATTTGTCTTGCAAATTAAACTCTATTAACCCCAGAGGCTGCTCCTTGAACATGCTTCTAATATTAGCTATGCCGCATACATTATGTGGATTTCATGTTTTCAGCATTACATTAGATACAAAATATTTTAAAATTCTAGGATGTTTCTTCAACCAACCAAAAGAATTCTAATGTTCCAATATGCAGGGAAGTTAGGAGGAAGACTATGTTAGTTAATTCTGAGTACGTATGACACAGGCTATAACTGTCATAACACAGACTATAATTGTCAGCCGAGTATCAAAAAATCAAAAATAATTCCAATGAGTCATTTTGTCTCAGTATTTTCCCCAAGATGTAGCATGCACAAAGGTGAAAACTACCTTAATCTGAAAAATGTAAAGCTTCTATCTTGTGAAATACGAACTAAAAGAAACTGTGAAATCCAGAATTTAATGACCATTCTTGAAGGAATTATATGATCAGTTACTTTAACATTCTCTAGTGATGGGTTGTCAAAAATAATTTTGGAAAACTTGTACAACTGTAAATTTCCACATAGATTTCAGAATGGCTTATCAGTTTCTAGGAAAAGACCTGCTGTGATTTTGACTGGAATCATGTTAAATCCATCAGTTTGGGGAGAATATTGAGTCTTCCAATCTAAGAACACAGTATATCTCTCCATTTCTTTAAATGTTATTTTATTTAAGGTTTTGTAGTTTTCAGTATATATATCCTGCAAATATCATTGGACATGAACTACTGCACATTTTCATCTATTATAAATGGAACTATATTTAAAATTTTAGTATCCAATATTCATTGCTAGTATATAGAAAGGCAATTGGTTTTTGTATGTTGCGTAGTTTTGTAGGTTTTTGGGAATTTTCTGTATAGACAATCATGCCTTCTATAAATAAAGTTTTATTTCTTACTTTTCCAAAATCATTTTTTCCCTTGATGTACTGGACTGGCTAGGACCTTCCACTGAATAGCTGTAGGAAGAGTGGACAGACATCTTTGTCTTATTTCTGATTTTAGGAGGAAAACATTCAATCTTTTATCATTAGGAATTATGTCAGCAATAAGTATTTGATAGATTCCTTTTTATCAAATCAGGAAATTTCTTCGAGATTAACACAGGTTTATCTTCATTTTTCCTATTGATATGGTAAACTGATTAATTGTGAAATACTGAACAGTCTTACATTCATAAGATAAACTCAAGTTGGTCATGTTCCATCATCCTTTATATATTTCCTGGTTTCAAGTTGGTAATATTCCTGAGGACTTTTGCATTTTATGTACATTAGGAATATTGGTCTGTATTTTTCTTCTAATCCCTTTATTTGGTTGTGGTATCAAGGTAATGCTGCCATCATAAAAAGAGTTGGAAAGTATTTCCTCGTGTATTTTCTGGAAGAATTTTCTAGAACAGACATTATTTCTTCCATAAATGTTTTGTAGAATTCCCCAATGAAGACAACTACGTCTGAAATTTTCATTATGGAAAGGCTTAAATTATAAATTCAATTATTATGATAGATTTAAGACTATTTCTTCTTGAATGAGCTTGGTAGTCTGTGCCTTTCAAAAAAGTTATTCAGGCTGGGCACAGTGGCTCACGCCTATAATCTCAGCATTTTGGGAGGCCGAGGTGGGTGGATGATGAGGCCAGGAGTTTGAGACCAGCCTGGCCAATATGGTAAAATCCTGTCTCTACTAAAAATACAAAAATTAGGTGGGCATGGTGGTGCTCACCTGTAGTCCCAGCTACTCAGGAGGCTGAGGCAGAAGAATCACTTGAACCCGGGAGGAGAAGGATGCAGTGAGCCAAGATCGTGCCTCTGAACTCCAGGCTGGGAGAAAGAGCTAGACTCTGTCTCCAAAAAAAAAAAAAAAAAGTTATTCATTTATCTAAGCAGTCAAACATATGGGTAGCGAAACTGTCCTGCTATGCACTTTTTTTTTCAGTGTCAGTATGTTTTGTAGCAATGGCCCCTCTCATCATAACATTGTTAATATATGACTTCACTCTCTTTTTTTTTTTTTTTGGTCAGTCTAGCCACCGATTTATCAGTTTAATTAATATTTTTCCAAAGAACCAGTTCTTTGACTCATTGATATTTTCCACTGTTTTTCTGTTTTCCATGTTTATTCATCTTTGTTTTTATCTTTATTATCTCCTTCCTTCTGTTTGTCTTGGGTTTGACTTGCTCTTACTTTTCTGTTTTCTTAAAGCAGCAGCTTAGATCATTGTTTTGAGACCTTTTGCTATTATAAAAACTTAATGTTATAAATTTCCCTCAAAGCACACTTTTAGCCGCAACCCACAGCTTTTGATAGGTTGTGCTTTCATGTTCATTTAATTCAAAACATTTTCTAAGTTTCCCTGTGACTTCTTTGAATGATGGGTTACTAAGAACTTTCAAATATTCTGGATTTTCCACATCTTGGCCTTTGTTAAGTGTATTCCAGAAATGTTAATTACATCAAGTTAGTAGATAATGCTGTTCAAATTGTCTATATCCTTACTGATTTTAGGATCTGTTGATCAGTAAGAAATGGTGAAATCTCCATTTATAATTGTGGACTTATCTATTTCTCCTTTCCGTTTTTGCTTCATGTATTTTGGAATTCTGTTGTCAGGTACATAGCCATTTAAGACTGTTAGGTCTTTTTGGTGAACTGAATACTTTATCGCTATGTAACATCTCTCTTTAACCCTAGTAACTTTTTTTGTAGAATATACATCATCTAATGCTAATATAGCCATTTCAGATATCTTACCTTTAATCTATTTTTTTCTCTTAAACAAACAATTCATGGTTTTTTAAGATCTTTGTATTTTTTCCACTAATTTCCAATGATCTTTTCTTCTGCTTTTTAAAAGGTTTATTCTGTTCATTTTCTAACTTAAAATGTATACTTCCATGGCTATATATTTTCAAGAATACAAATTATTTTTGTCATTTATGTTTTACTCTGTTAATCTATTTTACTTGTTTTGTTATTGTGTATTCACCTTTTCTATCTCTAACAAGGCTGTTAGTCTTAGAATCTATTTTACATATCATTATAGCTATGCCAGTTTTCTTTGGGTATTTTCCTGACATGCTTCTTTCCATCCATTTACCCTCAAAGTTTGAAAGTCCTTATACTTTGGATAACCTTTGAGTGGCGTATATTTGGATTTTATATTTTATTCCATTTTTCAGTCTTTTTCTTACTGGTGAGTTTAGTTCATTTACATTTATTATAATTGTTAAGGTGTAACTTTTGAGGCCTTGTGAGAATAGTTTTGCCAAGCCCTCATATTTTAAAGTTTTAGCTGCATATAAAACTCTGTTCTAAGTTATTTTCCTTTAATACGCTGAAAACATGCCTCCATTCTCTTCTTACATTCAATATTGCTGTTGACAAATCTGAAGCCAATATGACCACTGGTTCTTTATATGTGTTGTTTGTTCTTGCTAATGTTTTAGATTTTTCTCTCTATTCTTAAATTTCACTGTGCTCTTCTAGATAGACGTCAGTTATTTTTCTTTTTTTTTTCTTTTTTTTTTTTTTTTGCCTCTTTGGTCCTCTCTTGGACTTCTTATTCTTAAGTCTTTCATGTGTTCTTAATTCAAGGAAATTTATATCCATTATTTCTTCAACTACTTCTTCCTGGAGGGAATGTAAGATGGGAGACATCCATCTGTTTTTTGAACCATTGTTCTTTAGTTCTCATGGGACTCATACAAGATAAGTAGCCCACCTCTCCACTTCAGGAAAGCTGTATAACCACCGGGTTGAGTTCTAAACCGTTACAGATTGGTGTGTCTAGGAAATTTAGATGAAGTTAAGTGAAACATGTCACATGTCTCCTTTTGAAGTACATAAAGCAGGAATCCTGAGCATATGTTCCCCTTCAGCATGAGCCAGCACCTGCCAACTGGGAAAATGTGCATCTACCTAGAATTTCAGCCTGAGACCAGACTGAGCACTGCAGGAGGCACTCACTCTCCCGCGAGTGCAAGGCTGGCACTTGCTGAATGAATTTGCTCAGGCTGCCATAACAAAATACCATAGACCGGGTGGTTTAAAGAACAGACATTTATTTTCTCACAGCTCTGGATGCTGCAAGTCTAGGTTCAAGGTGTTGGCAGAGTTGATTTTCTCTGACGCCTCTCTTCTTGGCTTGCGGACGGCCACCCCTTGCTGCCACTTCACATGGTCATCTCTGTGCACAGAAGCCTATGGTATATCTGTGCCCTAATCTCCTCTTCTTATAAGGACACTAGTCAGGCTGAATTAGGGCCTATTCTAACAACCCCAATTTAACTTTAAGTACCTGCTTAAAGGCCCCATCTCCAAATACAGTCACGCTCCGACGTACTGAGGGCTAGGGCTCCAACATGTGAATTTGGGGAACACAAGTCACTTGCACAAATCTGAGAGTGACAGCCTCCTTCGATCCTGCCCCCTAGGCAGATCTCTTACCTCATCTACTCTCAGCCCTCCTAAAATCGTAATGAAAATTCATTTTCAAGTGGTTCATTCTGCCAGAAATTAAAAACAGAAACCAGCCTGTGTTGAGCACCTACATATATCCTGAAGCATGATCCCAAGTCGTCTCCATTACTCTGGATGTAGGAATTCTAAGAAGGAGAAGAGCCCCATCGCACAAGAGGGCCTTGGCTTTGAGGAAGGCCCTAAAGTCAGAGGACAGGGTGGGCCCATCTGCACTTACACCAGGCTCCTAAGACACATCCTTTTTCCATTTACAGCAGTTTTCTATTCAAGGGGCACTAGTTCTCCCTGGGAATGACAAAAACACTCTTGAAGGCACTCATTAAGAGGTGTGAACTCCACTTACACCCAGTGGAGCTTTTCAGATACGCATTATGTTACTTGTCACACCACACTAATTAGTGACAAAAGGTGCTTCTGCCTAAACAGGTCATTGAAAATGTAAAATATGTGAGAAACAAAAACACCTTTATTCAAGAGAAGCAACCCTTGGAAAATCCAACAGGTTTATAAAGCCTCTGACTTAGACAACTCGAGTGTGGCTGCTCTTGTCAATTTAAACTCGGCTCTATAATTAGAAAACAGAACTTTCAATGTTCATTTAATGAGTTTAAAATCTAAAGATACTTGAATATCATTAATTGTAGACTATTTTTCAATTGTATAATTCTGATTGACTCAAAAGATTATATAATTTATGTTCACATACTTTTTTAAACATTTTCTCATAAATGCAAATATGAAAATGGCCTCATTAAAGAAAGAATAATATAATTTCAAAAAGATCTTTCATTCTGGGGGAAAATGGGTATCCACAAAACAATCTATAGAGTTCACAGGAAATCAACAGTGGAATGCTGAAAGCTTTTCCTCTAAATTTAGTAACAAGACAAGAATGCCCATTATCACGACTTCTATTCAAAACTGTATTAAAGGCCTAGCCAGAGAGCCAAGACAAAGAAATAAAAAGTAAAACTGAAACAATGACTATCAGCATTAAGGCCTTCTTTCAATGACAGTTGCTTAGAGGTATGATTCACCCCAAACTGGGCTATAAGCATCATTGCAAAGACCCCTTTTCAATGATGCAAATGAGAAGAATCTCTTCAGAGCCAACATTTATTGAGTGCTTACTGAATACTAACCTCTGTGCTGGTTATACGTGAATGTGTTCCACTCTTACAGCAGTCCTGAGGGGGTGTCTACCCACTTCTTCAGGAATGGTTCAGAGGTGACGATCTAGACCAAGGTCAGTATCTCCGGCTGGACTCGGGTGAGAAAATACGAGGCACTTTGGGGGTTTCTACACCACAAAAATTTGTAACCAGAGCAAAGTGTTGTGAAGGTGAACGTTGTACTTCATCCATGAATTTCTGAGTAAGCACCTTATAAATCTTAACTAACTTGAGAAAAAAGAAAAAGAAGATAACTCAGAAAACCACATTCTATCTTTTTTCAGTTCAAACATATTGGCCAAGAGCATGCATATTTTAAACTAAAAATATGTAAATTTTCCAGTGCCTGTTTTTTGCCATAGAGAACACACATCCACTCTTGATATATATTCTGGAGTGATTACAGCAGGAGCTCCTTGCAGCTTGATTAGGAGAATCTGTCTTATTCTCATCTCTGACAGATGCAGGCCTGGTCTTCCCGTACCAGCTTGTAAGAGGGTCCTCAGTTTACACTGTGAGAGTCCTTTGGAAGTAACAGACATGTCTGTCTATTGCTAACAGACATAGGTGACCACTAGTGGCTCCCTGCCTCAAAAAGTGCTATCGATGATCAGAAAGTTTAGGGGAAGCAAATTTCTTTTTAAAACTTCATGTAAATACTATAATAGCACAGCTTTAAATTATGTATCTTACAATTATTTTTTAAAAAACACCCCAGCACTTCTGTTTCCAGGCAAGATAAAATAAGTAAGAGACAAGATTGACCCTCTCACCAAAAAGAACCAAAAAGAAAAAATAAATTAAATAGAACACACTTTTCAAGAAACTGGAGAGCAAAGTACAGAGACAGATGAGTGACAGAAAACCAAGGAAGAAAAGGCTGCGACTGCCCTGAGAGTTCCGGGCACCCGGAGGGGCACACAGGAAGGGCCTGGCCAGCTCCCAAACTGAGGGGATGGAGCTGTGAGCCCGGAAACCAGGACAGGCAGAGTTTGCAGGACAGAACTGGAGGGACAGAGACACATCTCAGAAAGAGGAATCCTGAGATCTGCAACAGGTCACCCTCACATATTCATCAGAGTACTGATGGGCACCGCCATGTCAGGAAGCTCCCCCAGGCAGGAAAAGAGCTATCTGTGAGGATGACAGGGTGGTAACCGCTGCTCTTGCAGGGCTGGGAGCATGACTTTTCCTGACAGCCACACTGGAATGCCTCCTATTCACAGACCATCCGGGGCGAGCTGAAAAGGGGGCTGGCCTCAGTACACTGCTCTGGTTCTACCTAACGAATCTTAAAAGCAAGACCCAAAAGAGTCAAACTATTCCCAAGTAATTTAACTGTGACTGTATCCCAGAACAAAGCTCAAGGAAATCTATCAGAATGCAGAAATAACCAGAACTCAACAAGGTAAAATTCACAATACTGGACATGCAATCAAAGATTACCAGGCACACAAAGAAGCAGGAAAATATGATCCATTACGAAGAAATACACCAGTCAATTGAAATGGACCTAAAACTAACTCAGATGTTAAGATTAGCAGACGAGGATGCAAAAAGTTAATGTAACTGTATTCCAGACATTCAAAAAGTTAATTAGAATTATAGAATATAGTAAAAAAAAGATCCAAAGAGAACTTTCAGAATTAAAAACTAAAAAAACCTACAATGGAAAAATACATCAAATGAAAATAATAGATTAGACACTGCAAAAGAAAAAATTAGTGAACTTGAATATATTCCTATAGAAACTACACAAAATGAGGACAGAGAAAGGAAATCAAAAGGAAGGAAGAAAGGAAGGAAGGATTATCAGTGAGGTTTTGAAAAACTTCAGGAAATCGTACATATCTGTAGTTGGAGTTTCTGAAAGGAAAAGGAAAAAAATATATTTGAAGAAATAGCCAAAATATTTTCCAATTTGATGCAAACTGCAAATGCACAGATACAAGATGGACAGTGAAACCAAGTAAAAGACACATGAAGAACTGCACCAAGATGCATCACAATAAAATTGTTCAAAAAATTGATAAGGGGCCTTACAACCTACCAGAGGAAAAAATCATGTCACACAGAGGCACAAAAAGATGAGGATGACAGCAGAATTCTTAATGGAAACAATGCATGCAAGAGGGCAGTGTAGCAAAATCTGTAAAGTATTGGGAGGAAAAAAACCCTGTCAATCTAGAATTCTACACCCAGTGAAAATACCTTTCAACAATCAAGAAGCAATAAAGACATTTTGGGCACTAAAAAACTGTAAGAAGTCACCTGCAGTAGACCAGTGCAATGAGAAAGGGTGAAGGAAACTGTCAGGAAGAAGAAAATGATGCCAGGTGGAAATGGATCTAAACAGAATGAAGAGCAATAAAACTTTATTGGAACACGGCTGCATTAATTCATTTACATTTTGTCTATGATTGCTGTCACAAAACGGCAGAATAACTGAGACAGAGACTAATATATTTACTATCTGGTTCTTTACAGACAATATTTAAGAACCTTGTATTAAACAAAACTATTGTCATTTGAAAATATTTGTCGTTTTATCTGTGTTTATGTTACTGTCTTTTATGCATATAACCACATGTTTATGCAAGCAAAGAGTGACTTTTACAAGGAGGCTCACCAAGTATCAGCACTACTTATCTGGGGGCTGTGAGATGGGAGGTAATTGTTATTTCTTTTGCTTTCCTGTATTGCTTAAATTTTAAAAATAAGTAAAAGTCATTTTATAAAATGAAGTCGCTAGTTTTAAAAAGTAATATAACTATACTATAAAAAATTTGAAATACAGACAAGAAAAAACAGGAAATTCCTTGATCTTCATCCCTAAAACAGCCATTATCATCATTTGAGAGTATTCACTTCAAGCTTTTTCTCACATGGCACAGTTGTAACTCTAATGTGCCTGCTCTTTAGCACTCTGCTTTTTCACTTAACGGAAGCATTTATCCCTGACTACGCAGTCTCATAGGCATTAGATGCTGACTCGGTTTGGTGAGAGCATGTGTCAGTATTATCTAAACGATCTCACTAGTGTTGGACGTCTAGGTTGGTTTCCTTTCCACCATGATAAGAGAAGCTGCAAGGTATAACGTTTTTTCTATAATTTAGATATTTTTCTAGAGTATACTTTTTCAAAGTGGGAGTACTGAGAAGGGTTTTAACATTTTTATGTCTGTATGTATATGGTCACAAGACTGATAGCAACTTACTGTTATCAGCAGCATCATACAAAAACATCCCCATTTCCGGCCCATCCTTCAAAACACCAAATATTTTGTATTTACATTTTTTCCTAATACAATGATGAAAAACAGCATTTTGTTTTAATTTACATAAAATTTTTGTCCAGAAAATATTTTAAGATACAAGAGATATGAAGCAGTTATTTTCAGATGATATATTTAAGTAATACTTTACCCTTTACTTAACTCATTCCGTCGTATCTAAGTATTCCTCTGCATGAGACATGGAATCAAATATCATTAAATGAGAATCTTCCGAACTTGACTTTTAAAGACACCCAGTCACTCCCAGAATAAAGATGAGACTTTGAACCCACTGTGGTATGTGACTGGGTCCACAACCCTCCCTCTCTCCCCCAAACTCCAGCAGGTGCACAAGCCTTCCAGAGTTACCAAAGAATCGGGCCGACATCCCCCGGAGCAGCAGGCAGGGTCTGCTCTATTCACCAGAACCAAGGACAGTGCCTGACACGTACGCAGCATTTAAATATTTGTGGGATAAATGAAGGAATCACTATTGTTGGGACAAAAACCAGCTTGGTCTTCAATCAGGGTGATTTCAAAATCCTCTACCGTGTGCTTTTGCCCCGTACTGGCGAAGTCTCACGTGAAAATACCCGCTTCAGTCTCGCTGGGCCCCAGTTCTTCCCTTGTGACCCGGATCACTACTCAGTGGCCTCACTGCCTCATGGAGCACTTGTGCTAATGACTGAGATACAGTTTAAGAAAGTGCTCTATCAAGTACAAGGCGCCCACATGCAATCCACTTCCAGGATGGCATGACAGCACAATTTGGTACAGTTAAAAATGAAAGTAAGCTAAATAACCAATCACAGGGTGTTAAATAAATTATGAAACATCCGTAAGCCAGGCTACTGCATATCCAATAAAAGTCATGTCTAAGGATGTGGCACAATGCATACGCTGGTGCATAAAAAGGCATATCCCACTACAACACATGCAGTGTGACGCAATCCAAACTTTAGTAACATTTGTACGCTGTAGGCATAAAAACAAACTAGAAAGCTGGGCGCGGTGGCTTACGCCTGCAATCCCAGCACTTCAGGAGGCCAAGGTGGGAGGACTGCTACAGCCCAGGAGTTCAAGACCAACCTGGGCAACATAGGGAGCCCCTGTCTCCTAAGAAAAAAAGAAATTAGAAGGACTGATAAAACATAAATAATAGTTAATTATGCAATAGAAATATACATTTTTTATTTTATTTATTTATTAAATTGAGACAGGGTCTCACTCTGTCATCCAGGCTGGGGTACAGTGCTGTGATCTCAGCTCATTGCAGCCTCCAACTCCCAGGCTCAAGAGATTTTCCTACCTCAGCCTCCTGAGCAGCTGGGACCACAGGTGCACACCATCTCACCCAGCTAATTTTTTGTATTTTTGGTGGAGACGGGGTTTTGCCTTGTTGCCCAGGCTGGTCCTGAACTCCTGCACTCAAGCGATCTGCCCACCTTGGCCTACCAAAGTGTTGGGATTACCGGCGTGAGCCACCACACCGTCCAAATTTTTAATTTCTTTATACTTTATTTTCAACACTGACCATGTATACCTTTTATAATCTCAAAAAATTATAAAACCATACATACATGTAAGCCATCATTGTTATTAATGTAAACAACCCTGAAACAGTATGATTTCCAGAAGTTTACATTGTAAGAGTCCTTCATTCTTCTGTCTCATCATTTGAACAACATATGGCAGGACAGATAATACATTCGGTCAACAAATTACTATTTGGCTCTTTAACACAGCTATGAAAACAGAGAGCTAAGCCCTCCCTCTATTTTCTACCCTTAACGGGGACTGTGTAAATCTCAGGCTACGTTGTCACAGCTGAGTTACAAATTCCTAATAAATGGGATCTTAGTCATCAAAAATAACAAAAAAAAAAAGCAGACTGGTTTCATTAACATAAATAAAAGTTGAGAAACAAAATACATAACCTGGAAACATGGATGGGAAACACGAGCAGCAAATTCCTTTTCCTGCCTTTACTTTTATGATCCTATTGATACCGATGAGATTTGGGATTTCGAGATATTTTTCCTTCCCTTTTTCATTAAACACAAAACAAGTGTACATCTAGATTTCTGGACAGCAATGCACTTTTCTAAAACATTTACAAAATAAAGCAACTATTTTTAACGTGAGCCATTTTTCTTTAAGTGAACTGTATCGGAAGCAGCCTGGCCATGTTTTTCAGTAGGAGCACGTTAGTGCAATGAAATAATTCACAAAAAGTGGCTTTACCTTCTCATGGCACTTTACTCAGTAATTGGTATTTAGCAGCCTTTGCCAGTTCACCATTAAAAATGGATTCTTTTACTGATCACAACACCTTGAGAGACGGCGTCTCGGCTCTGCCCACAAAAATCTTCCTTCTGTTTTCTTTTTCTATCAGTTCGAAGCATCTCACCCATCCACAGGCCTTCAGTCTCACACACACTAACAAAGTAAAGGCAATAGGGTCTCAGGACAAATTTTAAACACTGCAATGAGTTTATCTTCAAGGGCCAAGAGCATTATGAGAAAGAAAATATTTTCTTTTCTAAAAGCAGAGGAGAAAGGTAGCTGGCAAGTTCAGCCTGTGAGACAGTTTGTTTCAAAGGAAGGGTTAATATCTTTCCTCACATCCAGCCATGAGCCACACCAAAGAGCTCCTCACGGCGTGAGATGGGAAGACATTTCACTTGATGTTGCTCAAATCCAACTTTTAAATTGCCCTTCAGAGGAATCTCTAGGCAGACAAGCCGACCTTCTACAGGGAGATCAAAGAGAAGTGCAATCAGAGTGGCCAGGCCCTTTCATCTGGACGGACAACACCAGCACCGGGTACCTGTTGCTCCTAAGGGGGAGATGTTGAGAGAGCTGCATATTAACCAAGCACCTTGGGTGCCCGGAGCACGCAGGTGGACGCGGCTGGCCAGCCACAGACTGGAGACGCACGCGATTAACCAGACAAAGAACACAGCTGCAGAACAACTGTCCAGGCCCTCTCACCGCTTCCACCTGACGTTCTTTTACAAGTTCATCACTCCACGGGCAGATCCGTGTGTGTGAGGGCCTTGGCGGCTGACATGCTATTTACCTTCTCTGTGAAAAGAACAAATCACTTTGCATATTTGTTCCAATAAACTGTGTTTTCCTTTTCAACTTTCTGGGTAATTCTGTGCTCACTAGGAGGGATGGGTTGGGTTATTCCGGAAAAGTCCAGGAAACACACCTCCACCCAGCTTGCCATACCTTCCCTATGTCCCATCAGTGAAAACCTGCACTGTGGTTTTGATGGATGGGGAAACATCCTCTTGGGATTAAGCTGAGATCATGAATGTGTTTTATCTGTGAGCAATGGCAGAAACGTGGAGCAACCCTTACACAGGTTTATGCATGCAAAGAATGATTAATTCTCAGTGATCCTAAAGATCCTAAAGATGATCAACGCGAAGGTGCCGAGGTGGCATCACTCACACACAGTGCCAGTCACCAGGTACGCTGCTTAACTGTTCCATCCTTCCAAAGTGAGCTAAGACCCCATCCCACGCTTCACCAGAATAAAGCTTGAGGGAAAATTCAAATGTCTAAGGTTTAAAAGTAGCCACAGACAGCCTATGATGTGAAATGTACTACCACGGACAATGAAATATTCTATGATACACTCATACAATACACACAGCACATCCCCAGTGTGTCTGTTTGTGTAGAGGTAGCACTGAAAT
Organism: Homo sapiens; assembly: GCF_000001405.40. NCBI lineage: Eukaryota > Metazoa > Chordata > Mammalia > Primates > Hominidae > Homo > Homo sapiens. The sequence continues at coordinate 129,629,326 of NC_000010.11, read as the reverse complement.
TTCTAGTACAGAGATATCGCAGCCAATACTCATGCAGATATTTCCGTAATCTGAAATCATGCAGTACTAAGGGTTTATAAGGCATGTTTCATATAGAAGCATCAAGTGGTCCATATGATGCCAAATTATTTACAGTATCTTGAAAAGAATACGAGCCACTCACAAGGGAAGACCTAATGCCACAGACCTGGGGAAGGTAAAATGGCGGTGTAGACCATTGCCGCCTGGCAGGGCGCTGGTGGGACCTGCTCCAGCTGGGAAGGCTGCATGCAGGGCAAGGCTGACGTGTGCTGTGTGCTGCAGGAGAGGTGTCAGGAAGAGCCCTTCCCACATGGGTTCCCCCGGGAGTGGCGCTGGGAGTGGGCGGGAAGAGAGCTCTTGCTGTCTTTGAGTTTCAATGGCTGTTGCTGCTGCTTGCAAGGAAGGAAGGAAGGGGATAAGCTCCTGGTTCCACCCTTTTTTCTGTCTCGTGAAAAACCAGAATCTTCAGAAGCAAGGGAAGAGGGGTGAAGTCAGCTTAAATCTGACTTTGAATTCAAGTTCAAGTATTTTAACAGCCCCGTGAGGGCCAGCTTTATTCCAGCCAACGCTCCCAGCAGTCTGAGCTCTACTTGTCTCTTGGCACCCACAGTTACAGATGCGTTTGAGCCCAACACGCAGTGCCTCCTTCATCGACACGAACTGTGGACTCATTGAGTTCTTTCCCCATGTAAAACCCACTGGTTTTTGTACTGGGATGTTTTGCCAAATGATTCTGTTCAGGGGCTGTGTTCCAGAAAGGTGAGCACGGAGATGCACAGAAAGCACCACGGGGTCAATGCCAGGGCAGACACAGGTACCAGGACTCAAGACCAGCTCAACCAAAGAAAGGCAGTGACCAGCACTGCCCAGCGACCGAGCGATCCACCAGCCCTACCTTCCACAAAACGCCCTGCTTCAAACCAGAGCAAAACGTGAAACATGTCGGGAAACATTTGCTCACTGGAACTTCTTCCTAGTGTTTTTCCACTTTTTCCAAAACATGTATGATAAACTCATAAAGCTTTTGGAAAAATAATTTACATTTAGTTCATTCCACAGAAGCAAGTTCCATGAAGTTATGGTTTTTGATGAACAGACCAGTGTAAAAAATGAAAAGGAAGGCGGTATTTCTACAAAAGCATCTTCGGTAGAAAACACCCCAAAGCATCTGAAGCTGCTTTTAGGATGCCGCTCATCTGCATGGATGTTAAAATTCTTCATTAATAGGACTAAAATGTTACAATTCTTCATTAATAGGACTAAAATATATTTATCACCAGCTAGAGTTTTAAACACCAGCCAGACGCTTCCAAAGTGGCGTCATTATCAAGCCACCTCTGGTTAATAACTTGGAACAACAAAGGCTAACTCAGGACACAACAGGGAAGACAATATCAACACAATAAAGCAGGAATATAATTTACTCTCAGCTCCTTCTCAGAACATAACTCCTGGCCCACAATCACACTCACATTACAAAATTATTTTTGTATTTTTCTTCTAGCTATGGGAATAAAATAAGCCACTTAGATGACAGTCGAGTGTCTATAAAATATATAACAGCAATAATTCCCAGTGGAAACGTGGCAGATATTTATACAAGAGCCAAATATGAAGCATGGTGGAAAAAGGCTAACATGAGGGTGTTTATTTTTAGAGGCCGCTTCCGGATGAAATCATACGGCTGTGAGGAAGGAAGTGTTGGTGAGGACCCTCAGTGCACAGGTCTCATATTCATCATGAAGAGTGGAGGGCGAGGGGCCAGATGAAGACATCACAAAAAAATACAGGTCTGCACCAGGAACACCAAAGTCACTACCATCATACACTCGGGGGCGAAAAACTGAATTCTTCATTGCAAAAGCTGCTTTTTTCTTTCTTTCTTTTTTTTGAGTAGAGGAGGGAAGCAGGGAAGAGAGGGAGGCATATTCTGTTTTCTCCTTCAAGTTTCTGTTTTTGTTAGACTGGTTCCAGAAATCCTAGTCTCTCCCTGGGGAATCCCAGCTTAGTTTAGCCTGTCACCATCTTCAATTACCAGAGTCACATATGTTAGACTGATCCACGTGAGAAAAACAGTAACTGGATACTTTTCAACCCACGCCCTCATCCCCCAGCACACCCATCTTCAGCAACTGAAGGCTTCCTTTGATATCTCACTTTCAAGTTGAGCTTCTAATTACATTAAAACTGAGCCATAGCCAAGGGAGACACACGGCCCACAGCTTTTCTTCTTGCCTGTGAGCCCACTTGCGTGAAGCCTTCTGAAAGCCAGCGTGAGGGACACGGCGGGTGGCAGCTGCCTCCGTCCCCTCAGAGGCGGGCAGCACCCATCACTCTCCTTGATCTCTGGGTGCGCTGGGAGCCTGCCCACGCTTCTTGCACTATGTACTCTGCTACCGACTCAGATGAGAAGCCTTCCCTGCATCTCCTTACACCAGCTCCATAGTCAGTTTATAAAACAATTCAGTTTTGACTTCACTGGGTTAATATTATTGGTTCTGAAAAGAGTAATTATAGTGCATCTTAAAACAAAAAATCTGTTGCTTTACGTAAGGCGCTTCACCACGGTGTTATCAGAGGCAGAAAATGGCACTGTCCAGTGGAAGTCAGGCTGGTGTAGCTGGAACCGGAGCCTGTCGTCTCCAACATAGATTTCCACGGAGAGCACGGCCCTGGGCATGCAGAACAGCCAAGGGGATCCTCCCAAAGAGCACAGCAGAGCACCCTGCCAACCCTCAGAACCTTCCCAGCTCAGGCGTCTCCCTGCAGGTAGGCGGCAGCAGGCAGAACATGCCGCGGGGCTCGGGCTGGAGCCAGCTCCAGGGCATCAGGCCTCCCTCCAGGGAGAAACATTCCAATCACCCCCGAAACTCACACGTGCTGCCGGAAGCTCAAGGAAGTCTCAAAAAGAACTCCCCAGGCTTCACCAATGCTGTTCACACGGGTGGTGTTCTGCCAGTGCTTACGAGACACGAATAAATTAATCCCCCAATGACCCAAAATGCGGGTGGGATGGAGAAGGAGAGGCATGCGGGTGGGTGGGGACTGATCACCTGGAGCACGGACTATTCTACTAAATGTTCCTGATCCCCCTTCCCACATGCTTACACGCAGGCTGATAAACTCCAGTGGCTCTTCCCAAGCGCGGAGCAGTTCCTCAGGATGAAAAAGAGCCTAGTCCACCTGTCCATAAGTAACAGTGGCTGCCCCGTTGGCCCAGTACAAATCGCCACTCTGCCCAGGAAGGCAGCCTCAGGTTCCCCTAACTGGCAAGCAAACATATTCTGCGCCATCACGAGCTGAAGGGACATGTGGGAATCAGAAGGAAAACTTGTCTTTTCTGGGAAGATTCTAATCAAGACTAAAATATTGGTGGTAAGTTGAAAAGAACTGCAAATATCAAAAAGGGATTTAGAGAAAGAAATGGGAAAGATTTAGCTGGGGAAAACTTGAAGGTAGAGCACTTGAAAACTCCTGAAAACAAGCAACCCTGATCAGTACTGGAAGAAACATGGAGAGAAAACCACAGGTGCACACGTGTACACACACATACATGCATGCACACACACGCACACACACGTGTGCACACTCGTATACACGCTGTCATGTAAGAGAATTTCCTTTATATTCTTACTTTGCAGTGCATTTTCATCGTGAATGGATGTTGAAATTTGTCAAATGCTTTTTTTGGTTACTATGATCATTATCATCATAAAGTTCTTTTCTTTTCCTCTGTGAATGTGGAGAATTACACCGATTGATTTTTGAATGGAATAAACCCCACTGGAAATATACATATTTTTCTATATTGTAAAATTGACATTCTAATATTTTATTAGGATTTTAAAATTTGGGTTCATGAGAGACATTGGTCTGTGGTTACCATTTCTCAAACATCCTTGACACATCTTGGCATCTTGGTGTCATGGTTGTGTTGGTCTTATGAAACAAGCTAGGAATTATTCTCTCTTCTGCTATTCCTTGAAAGGGCTAATATAAGATTGGAATTACTTCTTCCTTAACTATTTGATAAAACTGAACAGTGAAGCTGTATGGGCCTAGATTTTTCTTTGAGGGAAGATTTTTAATTTTCAATTTTTGATTTCTTTAGATTAAATTGTTAAGCTCTGACAAAAACTTAGCTCATTGTATCTAAACTGTCAAATTTGTCAACATAAAGTTTTAAATAACATCCTCATTATCTTTGAATATTTGTAGATTCTGTAGTGATCTTTCCTTTTCATTTATATTATTTGTCATTTCATTTTTCTTCATCAGGTTTGGCTGGGAATTTTGAAAATTTTTACGACTCTTTCCAAGGACATAATTTCTGCCTTTGTTAACATCTCTGTAATACCATTTTCTGCTTTGCTGATATCTGATCTTATTTTTACTGTTCCTTCCTACTTTTCTTAATATCTACTTTGTCACGTTTACATAGCCGCTTCATGTGGGTGCCTGCCCTGCACGGTGCATCTCTTAGGCTATGTTTAAGGTGTGCCGCCTTAGTCTATGGTTGCACACCATGTTCCCACAGTGAGACCATCTCTGATTTTCATCTGAGTCTCCACTGGGTCCACTGACTTCCGAAGTCCTCGCCGCCGCACTGGGCATGCTGACCATCCTACGAGTTATGTCCTGCTTGCCTCACCTGTTATTCATCCTTTCGTTTCCCTCCTCTGCCTTCCCTTGGATAAATCAGGTATGTTTGCTATTTCGTGTCTTCCCTGTGTAGGTTTCTTGGCCCTCCATTTCTGTTTTGTTTTCATGGATTGGGGATGTAGAGATTACAATCTATTCCCCTAATGTATCCCTATTTCGAGTATGAATACATAATCCCTTTACAGCAGGAAAGCCTCCCCACCCTTTCTCATCTGACTTTATTTTACTGTAGGCCAATGTCTCTGTCCTCCAAAGACACACGGCCCGGGGTCCAACAGGCTGCAGGAACTTCAGTGCCTGCTATCTGCTTTTCTTCAGTGGGCCCCACTCCCAAAGCTACACCATGAGATGGAAACTGTCCCCGGGGGAGCAGGACCATCCCCAGGGCTGCCAGGAAATCTGCCGTGAGTGAGGTGCACAAACCCTGGGCACAGTCCACAAACCCAGTCAATCTTAAAACTGATTAATAATTGTTGGCACAAAATGTCCCAGTGTGTGAAATCCTGGATAAAAGGAAAAGGAACTGATGGGCAAGAAGATTCGCGCAGGCGCTGAGCGTGTTGCCTCACCAAGGCAGGGGGCCTGGAGGCCCCATCGAACTCAGACAGGTGGACGGTGCTGCAGGGTACACATGGGAAGACCCCTGCACGGGGCTAGCAGGGAGAGGGTGTCTCCAAGCCCTTGGGAAGGGCACAGGCAATCGCCTTGGCTGAGATGGCAGAATGGCATGCGTTCAAGTTGTTTCTTGAGGAAGAGGGTGTGGGGTCTACATTCTCCCCTAGTATACAAATGGAGATACCTGTTTGAAAGGTTATATAGATTAGGCTGGGCACAGTGGCTTATGCCTGTAATCCTAACTCCTTTGGAGGCCAAGGCAGGAAGACTGCTTGAGACCAGGAGTTGGTGACTAGTCTGGGCAACATAGCAAGACTTGTCCTTTCAAAAAAATTAGCCAGGCGTGGTGGTGCACGTATGTAGTCCCAGCTACTTGGGAGGCTGAGGTGGGAGGGATCACTTGAGGCTACAGCAAGCTATGATTGCACCACTGTACTCCATCCTGGGCAAAACAGCGAGACTCTATAACTAAAGTTATATATATACATACATATATATATACTTAAAAAGGTTATATATATGTTAGAAACTGAAAAGAAAGCAATGCATGCCAGGCACGGGCTGATCTACTTCCTAATTCTGGATGGTGGCTGGTCCAGTGCATTGGGAACTGGCCATATCCCCCCAACTCCAAACTCCATCAGCTGGCATGTGCAGACCAGAGCCCCAGCCTCCTTCCTACCACTTGGCATCTTCCCCAACTTGGTATCCCCGCTGAACTGCTGCTCAGCGCGGCTCAGGGAGCACCAGGTCTGAACAGACTCCTGGCAAACTTGTCTGTTCACAGTGATGTGACTGGGTGTTTTGTGTCTTCTCTTCATAACTAGACTGTATGCTCCTAAGCGCAAGGGCTTCATTGTAAACTTTGCTTATATCTGCAAGGCACTAATCAGTTATGCACCCTACAGCACCCTACACTACGCAGAGTAATCAGCCACTAAGGAGTAGTGAAGGATCTGACAACCAGAGAGCTCGGTAAGGACGATGCCATCCGGCTGGCTCCTCTGCAGGTGGCCACAGATTGAGCAGCAGAGATTAGGAACAGAATTCAGAGACATAAGTCATTCATCTAGGGCTGTATGCTCGGCCCACGTAGATCCTGCCAGCCAACGAAACGGGGCTCCATGCATTCCACAAGTCAGAGTCACTCAACATTCCAGGGGCTACTCAAATCTCCTTTAGCCATGTGACGAAGCCCCTCAACTCACTAACTCTAAATACTTTCTTTTTTTTTTTACAGGCCATTTATTGAAAGTCAGGATTACATTTATTCACAATATCATATTCTTAATGAGAGCATATCAAACCTTATTTGGATGCAATCCAGAACTTATTTAAACAGTTAAGCACATATACACAAAACATAAAACAAAGAAAGAAAGCCATGTAATGTTATTGGACACTAAAGATAAATTAGCTTTCTGAGATCAGCAATTGATAACTGAAGTCTGCTGATAGTTAACCATACCTCTGTGTACACTTAAAAGCTAACCTCACCTATGTGAAGTCATACTGAATTCAAAGAGGAAAGATGAGATACTTACATGATTCAATACCGTGTAAACTAGACCGCATCAGGTTCCAGCACAGATCATGCCACTGACAGCTTACAATACCACAATTTAATTTCAAGACAAACACTCCAGATTTCAAATTTGAGATGAATATATGTGATCTGAGAATTACTTCCAGAGCTTTCAAAGTGGAATCGTATCTCTGCTTAAACACCAAAACATGGCTAAAAACTGATGCGAAGATGAGAAAATCTCTCACACTGTGGGGAGATCAGAGTAAGGGCAACATACTGCTAATCATTCGATTCAGGTCATACCAATCAGCATCTTATCCTTGAGATCAGGTATTCCGTCTCAAAGCAAAATTAATGAATAAACCAGAAATCTTTTATCGCCTTCTGTTGTGAAACAGTTATCCACTCCAGAGGAAGAAACAGGAGGAAATTAAGCAAGTCTATGCCATAAACCACTGCTCCTAATCAAAAGATGTAAAACAAACACCGTTCTGTGATACAATCAATTGCTACTCTTTAGATGGATAATGAATAAATAAAATGACTCATAAATAGTCATCTCTATATTACCTTCTGTCTTCCTCTCTTAATAGTTAACAAATTCTAAGAGTTAGATGGATAGCTCTACTTACATGCAGGATGACTCACCAAATTCACAGTGATTCAACATTTTCTAATTGAAATTAGGCACATGGGGATGGCTTTTTAATGTCCACACTATTTTTGAAAAGCAAATTCGATAGGAAAGGTGGCAAGGATGTTCAACAAACAATCAAAGTACATTTCACTTACAGCTCTGCTGATAACAGCTGGAGCATCATACTTCCAAAGAGATCCCAAATTCAACCACTTCTTAACACCTCCGCTCCTTCCTGTTCCAAGCAACCATGCACTGCTCACCATGGAACCATTTCAACAGCCTCGCATTCATCTACCCACTCGTGCGTCCCTGTTCCCCATCCTTTCCAATTACTGTCCACAAGGTAGCACAGATCTGATGAAGGGCATTAAACCCCCCTGCGCCCTTTCAACATATTTAGAACATCAAAATGCGTACGTGAAAAGAGTACTTTCTCACTTTCAATTTCAATTCTAAATGATTATTTCTCGACAAATGACTGTTTAAAGGAAAAAGTCACAACCATGTATTTGAGAGTCTATAACATGTAGAAGTAAGATCAATGGCCGTGTACATGGGACTTCAAGGGGCAAATGGAAGTTCACTGTGGTGAAGGTCTTGCATTGCATGTGACGTCACAGAACACCATTTTCAATGTAGATCATGAGAAGTTAACAATAATATTAGAAACCCTACAGTCACCCTGCCCAGTGTGGTAGCAGGTATCCCCAAGTGGCTATTTATATTTAAATTATTTAAAATTAAACGTAATTGCATACCCAGTTCCTTCAGTTGCCCGAGTCACATGTCAAGTGCTCAACAGCTACAGGTGGCCAGTGCCTGCCATACTGGACAGTGTGGATACAGCGCATTCCATCATTTCTGGAATTTCTAACAAAAAGTACTGTACTAAACAAACTACTTAAAAAAAGGTAGCACTAATAACGCAATAGTAATTATAAAATGAAATCAAAAAAGGATTCAATCCAAAAGAAGGCAGGGAATTAGGAAAACAGGAATGAAGAATAAAAAGTACAAATGAAAAAATCAGCAAAACGGCAGACTAAACCCATACCTATTGATGAGTACATTAACTAAAACATTTCAAATAAAAAGTACAGACTTGCATACTGGATCACTATATCCTGGTTCCAAGAAACACACTATAAATATAAAGAAATAGATCAAAAGCAAAAGGATGGAAAAGAGTATAACACATGCATAGGCAAATCACAAGAAAGCTAGCAATATTAATATCAAAGTAACTTCAGAGTAAGAAAAATGGCTGGAGATAAAGAGTACATTTCATACTGTTAAGGAGCCAGCACATCAGGAGGACGTCATGATCTCATGTGATTAGGCACCTACTAGCAAATGTACAGAAGGCACAAGGCAAGAGTTGACAGAACCAAAGGGGAAAAGAGACAAATCCATAATTCGAGTTGCAGACTTCGACACTCCTTTCTCGACTGATTGAACAGGGAGACAAAGTCAGAAGATAGGGAAGACCTGCACAACACGCCAAAACAACCTGACCCAACGTACATTTATAGAAGACTGCACACAATGGCAGGGTATATTCTCGCAAATGCACATGGAACAGTGTAATCACCATTTACAATAATTACAGTACATAAATATTTAACAGAGTGATATTAAAAAACAATCCCTATCAAAACATGTAGAATGCTGCTTAAGCACTGCTTAGAAGTTAATGTCTAGTTTTGAATACTTATATTACTTAACAAACAAAGTTTCCTATCAATGACCAATCTTAGAAAGGATCATGAACGGCCTCCAATGTCTCTGTCCTCCAAAGACACACAGCCTGGGGTCTGTCAGGCTGACATAGTTAACCCTACAGGGAAATTTAGTGCCTGCTATCTGCTTTTCTTCAGTGGGACCCACTGCTTCTATCTTAGAAAGTAGAAAGAGAGTAAAATACACAAAATAACAAAAAAATAAAAATCAATAAAATACAGAACTGAGAAAATGAATAAACCTGTAACAAGACTGATTTAGAAGGTGGGAAGTACCATTCCAGGAATGGAAAAAAGGGCAGTGGAATAGCATCATCATGGCGTGCCCTAGAGACCTGAGAGGGATAACTGGATAAGAGAAGATTACGAACAATTAATGCCAATAAACTCAACCACTTAGATAAAACAAACTCTTTGAAAGACAGATAACCAAAACTGAGTCATGAAGAAATTCAAAATCTTAATAGTATTGCATATATTTTTTAAATTAAGTAATAACCTTCCCACAAAGAAAATTCCAGGCCCAGATGTTTTTAAACACTTAAATAAAAAAAATACCAATCCTAAACAATTTTAAAAAGCAGTACAAGAGAGAATACATCAGTTCATTTTATGAAGCCAGCATTACCCCGATAATAAAGCCTAAAAAAGACAAAATGTGAAAACTGCAGACCAGTATCCCGTAATTCGTAAAATATTAGCAAATATAACCAGCATTATTTGTATATTTATTATTTCTATGTATATAGAAATAATGCTGGAATTATACACATATATATACAGAGAGATGTATGCATGCATTTCTCAAAGCAAGTGGCACTTATCAAAGACAAGCAAGGTTTGTTGAGCATTAGAAAATCAATTACTGCATTTCTCCATATGATCAGAATAAAAGACAGAAACCACATAAACATTACAACAGATGCAAAAAGGCACCTGACAAAATGACACACCCTTCCGTAATAAAACTCTCAGCCTACAAGAATAGAACTTCAATGGGAATTTACAAGAATGTGTATTTATATTTAACAGTAAAATACTGAGTGCTTCACCCCTAAGATTAGGAACAGAGGATGTTTACTTCCCCAACTCCTGTTGAATGCAGTATGGAGACCCTAGCCAGTACAATAAAGTAAGAAAAAGAAACTAACAGCATACATAGTATAAAGGAAGAAACAAAACTGTCTTCATTCTCAAACAAGATATTCACGTACATGGAAGATACTAAAGAATCCTTGGGCAACTAGAACTAGAATAAATTTGTTCAGCAAACTCACAGCATACTAGACAAATTTACAGAAAGCTCCTGTAATTCTCATCATTAGCAAAGAAATACTGGGAATTGAAACTAAAAATATAGCATTTTTAAAGGACAAAACAAAAACACATGAAAAACTTATGGATAAATTTATGTGGAATATATTTAAAAGATTTGTATACCAAAAAATTACAAAACCATGTTGAGATGTATCAAAGAAAACAAATATGGAGCTATACGCCACAATCAAAGATCAAGACTCAAAACTGTGAAATATCTCTGCAAATAGATCTATAGATTGAATGCAGTTGAATGAAAATCACAGGTTTTTCTATACTAATTAATCCACTTATTCTACATGGAAATGCAAAGGACTAAGAAGAGCCAAAACAATTGTGGAAAAAACAACGAAATTTGGAGAACTTCTACAAGACACCAAGACTTACTACAGAGCCACAGCAATGAAGTCGGGGCCATGTTGGCATGAGGACAAGCAGAAAAATGGATAGAACAGAGTCCAGAAACAGAGCTGTGCATACATGGTCATTTGTCAAAAGGTACAACATCTATCGTAAGGCTTGGCACTTGCCAGCACTCTAAACTTTGATCAGCTGAAATTATGTCTCAGGTAAATAATGGATAGAAATCCAACTTAAAAAGAAAATCCTTTTTAAAAAAAGTTTTCTAGGGATACCAAAGAAGTTCTAGAAACTTTAAAAAGTAAATCTAGTTTCTTTTCCTTTTCCATCCCAAGGGGCCTGGCTCTATCTCTGGTGCAAATTGGGCATTCTGAGAAATTTCAGAGATGCCTCCAGGCCAAGAATCCCGGAGACAGTGGTGCAGCCCACACAGGAGGCCTCTTCACACCCAGGAGGGTATATGGCAGGAGGGGTCCTCACAGCAAGTTCATGGGCTGGAGGGGGTAAACTCTCCCATCCTTTGGCTCCTCCCATGTGGCCCGTCCCAGTGCCGGAAGGCTGGGTGCTTGCATAAGAAGCACACTTTGCAGACTATGCATCCCCCAAAGGTCTAATACCCAGAAACCATAAAGAACTTAAACAAATTAACAAGCAAAAAACAATCAACTCTGTAAAAAAAAAGTGGGCAAAGGACATGAACAAACACTTTTCAAAAGAAGACATACATATGGCCAACAAGCATATGAAAAAAATGCTCAACATCACTAATCATTAGAGAAATGCAAATCAAAACCACAGTGAGACACCATCTCACACTAGTCAGAATGGTTTTTATTAAAAAGTCAAAAAATAACAGATGCCGGTGAGGCTGTAGAGAAAACGGAATGCTTATACGCTCTTGGTGGGAATGTAAATTAGTTCAGCCACTGTGGAAAGCAGTTTGGTGACTTCTCAAAGAACTTAAAACACAATTACTGTTCAATCCACAATCCTATTATTGGGCACACACCCAAAGGAATATAAACGGTTCTACCATAAAGATACATGCACGCGTATATTCACTGCAGCACTATTCATAATAGTAAAGACATGGACTAAACCTAAAGGCCCATCAATAGGAGACTGGATAAAGAACATGTGGTAAATATACACCACAGAATACTATGCAGCCATAATAAAAGAATGAGATCATTTGCATCCATGTTGTCCTTTGCAGCAACATGGATGTGTTCTCACTTAGAGGTGGGTGCTAACCACTGAGTACACATGGCCACAAAGAAGGGAACAGCAGACAACGGTGCCTACTTGAGGGTGGGAGGAGGGTGAGGATTGAAGACCTACCTATTGGGTACTATGCTTATCATGTGCTTATCATGTGGATGAAGAAATAATCCACACACAAAACCCCTGTGATAGGCAAGTTACCTATACAACAAACATGCACATGTACCCCTGAATCTAAAAAACAAGTTACATAATAAAAGAGCATGGTTGACTTTATGAATTTGCTCAATAAAGGGGCAGAAGCTCAGAGTCTGGGCTCGTCAAGCGAGTGACCATGACCACCTCCTCGGGGGAGGAGGTGGAGAATGAAGAGCACACTCCCAGGCCCCTCTCCCACCTCACCGCTATCTGCAAGTAGAAAGGAGACAGTGGGGCATGTTCTTTCCTGGAACACTCACTAGAGAATATCACAAAGAAAACAGAGGTTCCCCAGGCTCTAACCTGTAGAGATCCACTTCTGTCTAGTTAACAAGGTGACTCTCGAAGATGTCTCAAACAGGATTCTAGATGTCTCCTGGTTTAGTGTTACCTGGTTAAGGAGGGCAAAGGTGCCAGTGAGGGCCCTTAGAGGAGAGCATGGAGGAGGACAGGGCACCAGAGAGGTAATCCAGGGGCCTGGCCGGCCAATGGGGGGCCTGGGAGGATGGCGGGAGGAGGATTCCAGTGAGCCCTTGTTGGGAATTTGCAGGCCCTGGCACTAAGAAAGCCCTGTCTACCATTCCAGCTCCAGGGCACAGCTTCTATGCCCTCGCTTCCCCTTCAGCACCACATGGCTGCCTCCTGCTCTGGGATCCTGAGACCACCTGGAGGCGACCAGCACTGGCCTTCCTGCCTGGGCGGCCTCTCCGGCTCTGCATCTTCACGATGAGCATCGCAGCTCCCCTGAGCCTGCAGCTTTCAAGATTCCTAAGCACCGTGGCATGCGTGTGGCATGTATGTAGGAGTATGTGAGCCAGGTGGGAGCCTCCGTTCTCCAATCCAATCGCCGCTCCCTCTGCTCAGTGCTCTTGTTTGCAGGGCTGACCCTGTGGTGCCCACACCCTGCCTTTCAGAGAACACGTCTGTGCCCTGGCTTGCTTTCCTAACTGCCAAAGAACTCCACCACAGTCTGCCCTTCATGTTGCAAACTTCTACACATACGATCAGAGGATGGGCAAAGACCCACCCCACCCCCATCTGCAAACCAAAGATTCCTCTTCAACACCCAACAGCAGAAGCCTCCCTTGCTCCCCAGCTTGGGGAAGGAGCCACATTACTGAGACCCATTCATCCTGGTCCCACTGCCACACCCCCTGCCGTGGGCAGCTCTTCTTATACCTGGACCCTTCCTGTCTCTCCCCTCAGTCCCTTTATGGTTGAGGCCTCCCTCACACTAAGGATCCTATCCTCTAATGCCCAGGCCATGTTCTCACAGGGATGAGTGCCACTTGGTATATGGTGCCCAGAGACACAGATGCACCCAGCCCACACCCGCACGGCAGCCTCAGCAGAGATGCTCTCATCCACGCCAACCAAAACCTTAAAAATTCCACCACGCTGCATCCCTGAGATGTGGACACCGCCTGCACTGGGGCAGAGGGTGAGGAATGTTCCGGATGAGGCAGGAATATGCTTGGTTGAAGCAGATTCAGAAGTCCTAAGGAGAGGAGCTGGGGACAGCTCCCAACATACAGACTTCTGCCCGGCGCCGTCAGATGACTCTGGAGATGATCTGCAGAAGATCCACTTTAAGGCTCAGAGATCTGAGTAAAATAACCACCCTCACCCCTACCCAAGAGGAAAACACAGTGAGAAGGAAAAGAACGAGGCCGTGGTCCTGGGTGCTGTCCAGCGCAGCCCACACCTCACCAGGGAGGCGTCTGCCCAAGCAGGGGCACGTCAGGGGAGGCGGCGGCAAGGGCTCTTCCTCACCCACAGTCCCTTCCTTTGACAATTAAAATCAAAACAAACCTAATTTCTAGACATTAGAAACAACTGGAAATGACTTTCACTTAAAATCACAGCTGCCCAATATAGGCATCTCACTCCATATGATGGAAAATGTAGCTTATGCTGAGAGCCAAGAAACAACCATTTTCCCCCTTTTCTCCACTGCACCTCCCCACCCCTCAAAATTCCACAAATCCCTACTCAACTGAAAGCATTAAAAATTCACTTCAAAAATAAGCTTTAAGATAGGAAAAACAAAAAACAAAAACCAATGTGAGCCAGGAATGTAAATACAGTACTGGGAATATGCAAAATGCTTTGCAAAAGCTGACGAGGGAGCGCTCGGCACCCACACATTTTAAAGATGGGAGCCTACAGTGCTGGGCCTGAAATGAACAACATACTGAAGTCTGGTGTCAATTTAAATGCATTGAACACCAGAAAAATGCCCCCAACCAAGGCTTCAAACTTGTACAGCACATTTCCACTCAAGCCAACTAGATTGCCTGTCACATCTGACATGGCTCGTCAAAAGTCATCCTTCACTGCTCATGGGCAACATCGAGGTCAAGAGACCAAGTGCAATGGTCCAGCCCATCCCCGTTTCTTCCTTCAGAGCAGCAGATATTGAACTCTAAAATGACAAGACGGAGCAGCTTGAAACGGCTGCCAAAGAAGCGAAAGCTGTCCAAGGCCGCTGATCTGAAGGAGAAAAACCAGCCGCCGAGCACGTGTCAGGGCCAGGAACACACTCTGACAGTCTCACACAAAGAAGTCATAGCGAGCACAGGGACGTCCGCGGACCTCAGGTTGTGGCAGCAAAACCAGCGCAGGCTCGGAAAGCCCACAGACGATCACTAGCAAACCCTAGACCACGTGTCTTAGACGGCTTGTGACGATCAGGTGTGGGGGAAACGGGTTTTGCTCTAAGAAAATAGGCTTTTAAAGAGCCCATATCCAGCCTGAGGAAGGAAGGACCTTTTGACACGTGCTACAACACGGATGGACCTTGAGGACATGATACTCCATGAAATAAGCCAGTCACAAAAGACAATGGCTGTACCACTTATGTGATGTAGTCAGACTCATAGAGACAGTAGAAGGGTGGGTGCCAGGGCTGGGGAAGGGGGAGTCTGTGCTCAATGGGGATGGAGTTTCCCTGTGGGAAGATGAGGGGCTCTGAGGATGGGTGGTGGTGATGGCTGCACGACGGTGTGAATGCACTGACAGCTGCTGAGCTGGACTCTTAAAAATGGTGAAGGTGGGAAATTTTATGTATATTTTACCATAATTTTAAAAACCAAAATGCATGTCCACCATGAATTAGCCAAGCCATGGCACTGACCGGCCCTTTCAGTTGTGTTCCATAGGCACAAAAGGCATCCAGGTTGCAGGTGGGAGGGGGGACCTCAGGCAGACCTGCGCTTGCACTGAGGGGTCTCATGACACTGCGTGACGCTGGGCAGAGGCGCCCAAGGCACAGAGGGACAGGACCCATCAGCCTGCGCCACCAGCCTCCCGCCAAGACTCCTGTGTGCATCCCAGGAAGGGAGGCTCATTTAAATGGTAAATGTTTTAGACCTTTTTATTAAAACACTGGTATTTTATCAAGTTGCGTTAAAAAACAGACCAGATAGATGATGAACCTTTGATGACACAGCATATTTTGAGGGTCAGCCCAACTACACCCCAGACTCCAGGGAGGGGTGGGGACAGAGACCTCCCGACAGACTAGGGTCCTACAGGGCAAGTCAGATGAGGGCTTCCCCTGTCTGTGACAAAACAATCTAGAAACTCGAGGAAAGGGGCACCATTTCCTTCCGGCCCAAATCACTGAAGCCCACCTAAGTGCCCGGACCAAGCATGTGATATTCAAATCACAGGCAAAATGTGGATCAAGGACGCTTCCCGTCTTTGCTTTCATTTTAATCACTGGACAGCAAAGAGCACTTGCATCTCTTGGATTCCTTCACAGTGACTCTCTTGGTTTTATTCTGCATAGCAGGCCTCAGAGACCATCTCTTCCCTGGTGGATCCAAGATACTAAAGAAGATTCTACTTGTACTTGAATTTTCCAAAACAGACCCTTTAGGCCCTGGCTAATTACCCTGGACCTGATATTCCAATACAGCTTGGAGCATGGCTTCCCTATCCCAGAGTGAACAGGAATGAATAATGGAAATAATGTTTTAGACAGGCCAGCACCTTAGGAGGTCTGTGTAGTGGGTCTGAACTCGGCTATAACATGGTGAGTAACTGATTTAAGCAAGGACCAAACAATGTTACAGGATGTCACCGCAGCTGTGACCAGAAGCACATGGGGACAGAGTCTCACTGCTCAGGAAGGACGGGCAGAGTCCACATTGGGCGAGGGGGACGGAAGAGGCAGAGCCTGTTTAAAGAAATAAAAATACCTCTTTAAATATTTTACAGAGATGCCGAAACGAAGACCTCCCTTAACAAGATGACATGTTTCGTTTTTCTCTGGAACCACCTGTAACATCCTATCAAACAGTGCCCTGGTTAAGTGCTGCCTCGCCTATGGTTCAAAGGTGGAAGTCACTAGCTAGGCTTTAGGAGGAGCACAGTTTCTTCCGGTAATTGTTCCTATTTATATGGGGTCACTGCCAGCAAGGCTGTGGGGAAAGAAGACACTGGACGGCCCAAGCCCTGCATTAACTCACTTCATGTCCTCACGTGCAACAACTAACATTCCCGGGTATAAAACTAGGTAATGATAAAATATTTTAATTCAAGACTTTGTAAACCAAATATAAAATTCTAACCCCAACCATCAAATGGACTTCCTCCGCAGCCAGGGCTCTTTCAAAATGTAACCTGAGAGACTGTTTCAGGCATGACGGGAAGTGGGGGTTGGATATGCTTCGCTATACCTCTCCGGCACTAACATCCACACAGACTTGAAGTCTGATAAGAAACATTTTACAAGTTATTCTCTCTGAAGCCTGCTACCTGAAGGCTTCCTCCACAAATAAGAACTTGCATCTCCACAATCCTTTATCTTAACCCAGACATTCCTTTCTATTGATCTCAGGTCTTTAGAGAAACTCAACCAATTATCAACCAGGAGATTTTTAAATCTACCTATAAGCTGGAAGTCCCCTGGACTTCAAGGTGTCCCGCCTTTCTGGACCAAACCAATGTATTTCTTAATGTATTTGATTGATGTCTCATGTCTCCCTAAATGTATAAAACCAAGCTGCACCCCGACCACCTTAGGCACATGTTCTCAGGATCTCCTGAGGGCTGTGTCACTGGCCATGGTCACTCATATTTGGCTCAGAATAAATCCCTATAAGTATTTTACAGAGTTTGACTCTTTCCATTGACAACTGAAATTCTGGGTACTTGCCCAGGCCTTGTTTCAGGACCAGTGCATCACACCCCAGCTCTAGGAGCTCAGAGGCAGGTGCATACTTCACCGCTGCTCTCGAGGGAGAAGCATCTCATCCAAGGTTATGGCCCCCCCAGAGCGCACCCGGGAGCCAAGACTTAGGCCCCCGGCCTCAATTTGGGATGACTCTACAGGTCATTCTCTCTCCAGAGTTCCCTGCAGGACAGGATGAGACCTCAACTGCAACTAGGTCATAATGCAAGCCCCTGCTTCTCCCTTGCCCGATCCTGCAGTATGCACTTCCTTACAGAGTGTATCCTGGGAATACTCCCTGATATGGTTTGGCTCTGTGTCCACACCCAAACTGCATGTTGACTTGTGATCTTCAGTCTTGGAGAAGGGTCCTGGTAGGAGGTGACTGGATCACAGGGGCAGATTTCCCCCTTGCTATTCTCATGATAGTGAGTGAGTTCTCAAGAGATCTGGTTGTTTGAAAGTGTGTGGCACCTCCCCCTTCACTCTCTCTCTTCTTCCTGCTCCATCCATGAGGATGTGTTTGCTTCCCCCTTTGCTTTCGGCCATGATTGTAAGTTTCCTGAGGCCTCTCCAGAAGCAGAAGTCTGTCCAGCCCAGATAACTCTGAGTTAATTAAACCTCTTTCTTTCATAAATTACCCAGTCTCAGATGCTAATAGCAGTGTGAGAATGAATGAATACACTCCCCAACAGCCACCTGCACACAATTCTGCATCTGAGTCTATTTCCAGGCCTCCTCTACTCCCTAGGAGTTGATGTGTTCTTTCATCCTGTGCACCATAAAAACTGCAAAATAGAACATACATAAAGGCTGAAATACCAAAGTTTAAGCCAGAATTAGAGGCATAGTTAACTACTGCCCATCATCCTGTTGGCTGGAACTTTCACTTTTGTTCATTTATTCATTCAAGTATCTCACGAGAACATACTTTGTGCTAGACACTGTTGTAGGCTCTAGGGATACAGCAGTGGGCCAAACAGAGATAGGCTCTGTCTTAAGGGAGGGTGCATTCCAGTCAGGGACAGAGGCAAATGAATGCACTATATCCTAGATGAGGGCTTTGCAAACTTTTGCCTAATGAGCCAGATATTACACACATTTTAGATTTGCAGGTCAGACTTTATTGCAACTATTCAACTCTGCCATCATAGGGAAAACAGCCATAAGAAATCAAGTCTTTATAAGTGTGTTCCAATAAAATTGTATTTGCAAAACAGGTGGCCAGCCTGAGAGCCATGGTTGGCCAACCCCTGTTTTAGTTGGTAAAAAATAGAGCAAGGAAAAAGTCCAGAAGTGCTATGAGGGGCATGAGGAATCGCTATTGCATATGGACGGAGAGCTGAAGAAAACAAGGGGCCAGCCATGTGCAGGGTGGGGGCTCAAGTGTTCCAGGCACATGCCAAGGCCCTGGGGTGGGGCATACTTGGCAAGTTCCAGAACAGCAAGGAGGGCAGCATGGCTGGAGCACAGTGGTTTGGCAAACTGGAGGAGAGGAGTTTAGAGAGAAAGGGTTGAGGGTTGACTTGCAGATGACATGGGCCTGACAGGCTATTTTGAAGCCTTTGCCATTAATACAATGACAGTGATACCGCCAAAGAATAAGGTGCAATTGTTAGAATATGATAGTGTCTCAAAAAATCAATAAATTCTAATGATAAAAATATTTTCAAATATTCTAAGTATTTGAAAAATCCTAACTCAAATATTGAATATCTGCTATCTTTGACTGGGATATTTAATAATAGACCAAAGCATACTCCAAAATAATCCAAACAATAGTTTACCATATATCAAAATACCTCCAAAGCAAAAACTCTCAGTGTCTGCCTAAAGCTTTCTATTCATCTCCTTTGCTTTTCAACAGCAAAATCCAAACTGCACAGACGTCACTGGGCATCTCGATGCTTCTGCACTTCCACCCTCCTTTCTGCTGCCAAGCTCCCGGGCCTTTTTCTAAAGGCCCTGCTCAGCCAACGCCTCCACCATTGCCGCCTGCCTCCCGTGGTGGTGTCCCCCCAGGTGAAATCTCCGCACTGCTCCTCCTCCTCTGCACCATTCCTCCTCCTGCTCTTCCGCTCTCCTGCAACACTTCCTACAGTGTTCAGGGAAGCGCTTCCAGCCTCCCACCTCAGAGAGCTCTGAGCAAAGAAGCACCAGGTCTTACTCATCCTGCTCCCGAATGGAAGTATCAGCTTTAAGTCCCAAACCTAATGTACCAGGTGCTCATTTCATCATCTCCCAGCACCAGAGTTTGCAAAGAAGTGGGTTATGCCCCACAGAGCTGCTAAGCCAGCGCTGCTGTGAGTTCCTCTTCACCTTGGGTGGCAACACCTACCGCCTAGGGTTACCCCAGCAAACCTCCACCATCCAGCCTCCAGGGACTCCAGATGGGGCCAGAGATTTCACTTCTACCATCCAGCCTCCAGGGGCTCCAGATGGGGCCAGAGATTCCACCTCTATCATCCGGATGGGGCCAGAGATTCCACCTCCATCATCCGGATGGGGCCAGAGACTCCACTTCTACCACCCAGCCTCCAGGGGCTCCAGATCGGGCCAACGATTCCAGTTCTACCATCCAGCCTCCAGGGACTCCAGATGGGGCCAGAGATTCCACTGAGGAGGGAAAGGTGTGGTGAGAAAGGCTGTAGACAACCTCCTTTCCTGTGCTACAGCCCCCACTGGACTCTCAGGATCATGTCCACCTGTGCCATCACTGTGGCCACAGGCACTGCCCCTCCCTGCATCACCTGTTCAAGCCACTGAGCCCGGACCTGCCCAGGAGAGGCCCAGCAGCAGTAAGAGAGGAGAGAAGGCTTTGTCTCCATGCCACCGCCGGCAGGTGACATGAGAGAGCAGGCCCCGACAGGGACACAGTGTACTGCGTAAGCATGCTTTACTTCACTTAAATCAACTGCTACATCTCATTCTAAACCAATAGCAAAGGAAAAAATAAAAGTCACCACACTCCGCATTCAGCCCGGGAGATGAAAGGGAGTGGCCAAGGCGGACGGGGCCTCAGCTGGGGAGCACGCGCTGGGCCTCCTGCCCCTGGGCAGAAAGTTCCTGGACTGTCACTCCACATCTCCCCTCCCAAAGAAATCACCAAAAGCAGCTGAGACAATTATTGTACTTAGAAATTATTTTTTAAGGAATAACATAAAGAAATGGGCAAGAAGGTGAAGGAATAGACTATTAAATAGAAAAACTAAATCGAAGAGCGTATAATTATACGCAGAGAGATTATGCCTTATTTTAATATAAATAAAACTTTTTAAGCGTAAGATAAAAAGCCATGCCTCAATACACCAGTTTTCCAACAGAATACATTCAATTCAAATGATTCTCATAATCTCAAAACAAGGTTGTTTGCTTTATTTTAGAAGCCTGATTACTTATAGATTTACAGTGGGTGAAAGTGGAAAGGTTCAGTACATCTTGTAATGAGAAATCTGGCCCCACCGACGCAGCTGCGGCGCAAACCCGGAGTTCCTCCCCTCCTGCCTTCCATTCTAATCTAACTCGATGACTAACTTCAGCAGACCCCTCTGTGTAGGGACTATTTCCACACTCTGCTCCGGGCTACGCATTCTTCTGTGTATATACTAGTAAATTCAACAGCCTCTTTAACATCTGAGAACGAATTATGACAAGTCATTTTTTGCTCCATATTGCAAGTCAACGTGGCAACCCCGTTTTTTTTCTATTATAAACATGTACTATACCCTGGCTCCAAGTCGTTTTGGATGCTGATACAAGATTCATAATGGCTGTCAGAATCTGCAATTTTCCCTTTTGTTTTATGAGGTCAGGCAATATTACATGCACTGATATATTCCATTTTCCCAGCTGAAAACCTTCTCATTTGAGCCCGACAGGTTGAGGGAGTCATGATTTGGCAACCTCGCATGTGAAACACGGTACGAGGGGGCAGGTGGCTAACCCCACGTCCTCCTCTTGCTCTTGTCCACTGGCAACAGTAAATTAAACTGTCAAAAATGGAATTGTCCTGTCATCAACAAAGCTATAGCTTCACAAGTATTGCAACATCAGATATATTTCTAATTCTGCATTTCCCTGCACCTGTAATTTCATCAGAAATTCGCACTGGACCATGGTGAGCAGCTGTCCAAGGGAAACTGGCACTGCGAATTCCTTTAGAGGGTTGACATGGCATTTCAAAGACAGAAATTAATGAACAATTCCAGCAATTTGTAATATATATAAAAAGGGTGTTCAGTGTGAGGTCCTGACCTTCAGCAGGACCCTTTAAAAGGGCAGAAATGCTAACGTGGACATGACATGCTGTGCGGCACAGTGGAAAGAAATTACACACAAGTTACTCTGCAAACAAAACAAAGCAAAACACAAACACCCTGGCAGCAGCCAGTCCACTTGAAAATTACTTAATGGTCACAGAGTCAATTGGCCTAGACTGCTATTAAAAATGTTTAAGATCAGGAACATACTTCTTCAATGGTACTTAGGTAGAAAGGAACTTCAGCCCTTAAGTTAAAATGTTATCCGACAATCCATCTTCCAAAACCACTCTGATTTCTTCCAGGTAATTCTTCCCGGGATATTCCTCCAAGAGAAAAAAAAAAAAATGACTGCCCTCTTCCTTCTGAGGATTTACGCGTGGTTCTGATTCTCCTTCCACCATGGCCTACTATGACCATTTCTGCTGGCCCGGACTGCACTTCCAAGAAGTTACTCCCTTGTAAGTTGAACAAAAGTCAAAGCCATCTCCACCTACCTCCCAAACCGGAGGGTGCCAACTCAGAACTCTTGTGAAGCTACCATAGGGCAAGAACCCTCTAAGTTGTCCTATAAATTTGCAGAGAAAAAACGGGCTTTCCCAGCCCATTTAAAAACAACATAAAGTCACAAGTCTAGTTGTTATTAAATATTGCAGTCAAATACTGTTATAGATTATTCCTACAAAAATGCATTGCTTATCAAACATTATGCTCAAGACAGAAAGTTAAATTGAGATGAGGAATCATTTCACAGCTTAATACAGTCAAAGTGACTCAATATTCCTTTATTAATTCTCATTTAATATCACTTTAAATTGCTGCCATTATTATCCCACCGTAGACGAAAGATTCTGTGTAATTAGTCTGTATTAAGCCCTTTTTATTTATAAGGAGCCAAATAAACAAACCCACTTTAATTACCGGGGCTCCACAATATTGATCTGAGCATCAAAATTTAATATGACTTTATTTCAAATTTCCATATGACTAGTATTTAAATTTCTTCCAGCAATAACAATTTTGCAGGCACAAATGACTTTTCATTCAAAGTATGTAAATTACTGCCTAGCGCCGGGTGCGGAGGCCCTCGGTGCCCACAGCATGTTTACAGAGACCTCAGGGGCCTCCCCGCTGCACGCTTTGCTCCCTAATACGGCAGGAAAAGCCACCAATTACCAAAAGAGACAAAAGTCAACGAAGACAGGGAGTCTTCTCCCTCCCAAACCGTGTTCTCTCCCACTTCAGTACACGGTGTTAACGACATACAAATTTTGAGGTCATTAAGTATAAACAGGAACGGAGCGCCAGACAGGCAGGCAGGCAGGATGTGCTCACGTCAGCATTTCAAGTGCCCTCCTAATCCCACAATGCAAGTTTCGGCATTATTGTCTCAATTTAACTTGCATTAGTACCTAGCACCTTGATTACACTGTTGGGTGGTAATCTTCGCCTGCACATGCCATCATTACTTATGTCAAGCCTCTTGAGTTGTTATGAATACTACGTTGTTTTACGAGAGAGAGGAAATTAGTGCCAGTCCCCTAGAGTTTTGGGTGCTTAGCACAGAGGCACTGCGCAGCCCTCACAAATCCCACAACAAATCCTTGTTTAGTGCCAAATGGAGATAAGGACTTTGCAGCAACATTGGAGCATAAATAACTCATGTCCCTCTTTATTTGTAAATGTCAAAAAAAAAAAATCACCGTTCTTGAATGTTGCTTTTCACACACACACAGCACAACGGGTGTTTTTGGCCACGCAAGCACATACCAGTTGAGTAACACATTCCGAATTAACCCGCAAGACCAAGCTAATACGCAAAACAAAGAAATGTCCACAACACGTGTTTGAGAATTATCGTAAAATGCTGTTTGGGATGGATTTTTAATAAAAATGAACTTATCAAATTCAAGGGAAATGCACTGGTAACACAAGCCTTTCCTCGGGAGGACAATAAAGTGGAAAAAATGGGCTTCACATGTATTGCATTTTCCATGTTTTTTTTTAAATATGATCCACTATGTTGTTGAAAAGAATTATTTTCTGGTATTGTGGGGATTTTTGCATTGTCTGTTTATTCTGTTTACACAGCAAATGAAACCTACAATATGAATAAGTGAACTCCCTAGGGAGCACACGGAAGTCAGAAATGATGTACAGATGGGGACAGGGGCCCATGAAAACAGAATAGAAATTAATGTGCCCTCAACAGTCACATCTGGAATGGAACTGGCCAAATAAATAATTTTGACATTAAAAGAAATTAAAGATCAAGGACCGCAAATAGTAGAGTAAGTTTTTTAAAAAATAATATCATTAGTTTACACTATGTTTGAAATGGCATTTAAAATAAAATAATCAAATGTGCAGGCCAAAAAATGAGGCCTCGATGCATTTCCTCTTTTTCTTTCTTTCAATGGCCAGTAATAACCCATTTGAAACATCTTTCCCACAAAAGAATCTCCATATATTGCCTTCTTAAAGTGCTCTTATTTAAGAAACAACAAGATGCAGTCAAGTTTTTGCATCCTGAAATTGTTCATGTTTAATTTGGTAAAACATTAAAAGAAATCTCAGAAGGCAGACAGATAATCCTGTGCCTGCTACACAGCAGAGACAGTGGGGCCCCCATTTAAGGGTTCAACACCAAAACTGTGATTCCGTTCACTTCTTTTCTCTTGACCCCTCTGCTATCTTTATTGACGCAGCCCGAAGCAGACTAAACAAAAAGCAAAGGCAGGCTCTGGCAGTATCTTTTTTGAGACTGGGGTAAAGGTCTGTTGGAGACATCATTGTGAAAATGATAAAAGGCCTTGAGGTCACAGCCTGAAAGCCGG
The DNA here is from genome assembly GCF_000001405.40 of Homo sapiens. Lineage (NCBI taxonomy): Eukaryota > Metazoa > Chordata > Mammalia > Primates > Hominidae > Homo > Homo sapiens. The sequence continues at coordinate 129,604,747 of NC_000010.11, read as the reverse complement.
GGGGAGGGGGTGGGGCGGCGAGGTGGGGTGCAGGTGGGGCCTGCAGGGGCACCCCCTCCTCCCAGTGAACCACTGCAGCCCCCAACTCCCAAGACAGAGCCACAGGGAGCCACTCCTTTCACTACCCACACCAAGAGAGTGGCTCCTCCACGTGTCCTCAGATGAAGCCAATTTTGAAAAATGGCTTCTGACAGCCCCATAAAACTTGCATGGATTGACCAAATGGGTGCTCCTGAGCCCACAGACTGACCACAAGTCACACATCTGAGAAAGCACGTTTTCACGACTGCTGATTCTGTAAGTAAAGTCCTCTGGAGCCAGGGCAAATTCACCGCCACCAAATCTTCACCATCCACTGCATATGTAAAGAATTTTTTTTTCAGAAGATAAAATATTTTTCTGAGTGTAACAACAGGCATGACTTATTTCAGAATTAAGTGCTAGGCTCTCTGGTGCTTTGGGAAATGTAAACTACAATTTTTACTCCAAATCCACCATCCACTTCACTAGCTTGTGCTCTCCAAAGGCCCCGGCAGCCCCTTCAGATGATGAGCGTCGTAGAGAGTGCTTTGGTAAATCATGCAAACAAGGAGGAGGATGGAGACAAAGCCCTCCCTCTCCCCATTTCATACCATCAGTAAATTGATTTAGAAACTGCTTGGGGTAGAAAACAAATATCAAGCTACAAATGTATAGCACTGACTTTTGAAAAATCTGACCTCTGGCACCCGCAGACACACGCACACATCAAATCTTCTAAGAGGGCACCAGGCACTCCTACCCAGGCCTCCAGCCCTCCACTGCTCAGGAGGTAACAAAGGTGAGAACCTGCAAGAGGGCACAGGGTTAATATCTTCAATCTAGGAGTCTGAACAGCACCTCTGCAAACTACAGAGTAATCTTACTTTCAAATTACATAAAAATAACTGATTATTTTCAATACAGCCCTTAAATAAAAGAAAGTTTTATTCTTCACAGTGTAAGTGCTGGTATTTTTTGTGCCCGACAAGCTGCCCATACAAGAAGCAGTGTGCCTAATATTCTTGCCAACAAAGGCATTTGAAATTAGCAATTGCTTTTAGAAACTTTAATTACAATTTTAAAATGCTATTTCTGCTCTATAATAGATTCCAATTGTTTCAGTATTATCTGGCTTGCAAATAAAATCTACAGTAGATGACAATATTCCCAGGATTAATCACTCTTGAAATTCTAATATGCTCTTGAAATACCAAATAAAAAAGACAGCAATGTTGTTGATGTACTGAAAGCTTCTTGCTTTTTGCAGTTTGCTATTATTATGCATATCCAGGTAGAAAGTTAATTAACCCAAAGCTTAAGCTAATTATGATAGCAGAATGCTATCAACCCAACGCGCTCAGTCAGACAGCTGCCCGGAATCTCACTTGCTAATCATCTGTCTTTGGGCTGAGCATATGGTACATTTTCATGCTATCAGAGAAACAACAAACAGCTGAAAATCATTAACTAAAAACAATGTGCATAAAATCAGAAGCAGTTTTTTATACAGCTTTGTGTCAGACAAAAAGCCAGATCCTTGCCCTATAAAAATTAACGATTATTTTGGTTCTTGTCACTTAAAAATTTTAGCTGATAGTGCAATAAATATGTGACAAGAATTTTAGTCGCATCAATTACTTGTTTATATGAGTTTGCAAAAATATTCTAAATTTATAACAAGGGCATTATAATAAATTTTGGGAGAGACTGTGACATAGGTTCGTATAGTTGCCTGAAGATTTAAAATTAGCTGCTAAGAATGACCTCTTTGTTTGCTTTGTGTGGAACCTCGGTATCCACATGCTAATATCTTAAAGATGACTTTTTTTTAATTGCCAGGTAAAATGTATGAAATATACTTGCAGACATTCCCGAAGCAGTATGTGACATTTCTGAGGCCATCCAGAAATCTGTGTAGACACCAGAAAGCTACATCGATCATGGTAAAAAGTTCACCTCAATGTTGAGCTGGAAAGGAAGGAGGGGGAGGGAGGGTGGCAGCCCCCAGGTAATGCCGGGAGCACTCAGGTATTACCCAGGCACGTGGGGCGCACTCACCATTCCTTTTCAGATTTGCCTCCCATGTATCTTGTGCTTCACAAGTCCTAGTTACCTGAAGCCGAAAGGACAGCAGGAAATCCTACGACACACGGCCCATCTGTTTTGCTTTGTGTGGCTCTCAACCCTTTGGATTGTGACACAGATTTGTAAGTTCACAAGGCACAGTACAAGCAACTTCCCAAACAAATTTTAACTTCATTTTGGTGAATCCGCTCTCACAAGAGGAGCACACCAATTATCTTTAAGCGCATCTCTGAGTCTTTCTAAACCTCCTGGGCTCTAGGCTCAGGTACTTATATTAATTTTAAGCTCACGTACCCAGAGGTCTCAAATGCCAACCTCGCTTGGAGATTTCAGGAAGCGCGTTCCTTTTCAACATGCCTGACTAGTAAAGTGACACTCACAACATTTTCTTGAAATCACTATTACTATTAAAATTTTGTACTTTAAAAAAAAAGCAATAAAAATGAAGATTTTAAATGTATATGATTCTGTATCACACTTGCTAACATAAAAATGAAAATATTTCTCCCCTAAAGACCAGGTCATTTGATCAAAAGGAAAACTAGTTCCATAAACTGTAAAAATAAACTTTTTTTCCTTCTTGGGGAAAGCTGAGATTTAACTTTTCGCATGATGTGACATCTGCAACTGTCGCCAGTCAAAGGCTCAGCAGAGCCTGATTAATTGTTAGTCTAGGGGGATTTTTGTTGGTCACGGACCAATGAACTACGGGGAATTTCCATGGCTGTAATGTACCACGGCGACAAAACTCACTCTATTTGTATTGCAGTGGCCACTGGAACACCAAGCACTCTACTACCACATCCTTACGTTGCTGCGAAGTGTCAAGAAGCCCTGCACGCCCACCAGCACTTCTTGCAAAGACCAAGTGTGATGTGGGAAGATACTTCCCTGACGGTCTCCCCAAGGACTTTGGTTATTTATTTTGGACCAAATTAAAGTGACTTAGAAGGGACATATGTCTTCTTCCCTACTCCACAGTAATGGAACCCACTAGCTCCCATGGTTGGATTTCTGCCACTGCTGGGGAGGCCTGAATCGATCTCGAGGTGGTGCTAGGATGAGGACTTAGACAAAGTCCCCAGGTGAGGGGCAGGATCCAGGAAGCCAGAAGCCCCTGCAGTGTTTCCCTTACTCATCTCCACACTGCCAGGAAGGCTGGACACCCTCCTTCCAAGAGCAGTGAGCCACCCAAGGTCTGCCCCATGGCTTAGAACCCCTTAAGCCAAAGGAGAATGAAGTGGCCAAACCATCAGGAAACTCTGATTAAACAGAAGACATAAAGAAACCCCACCCAGTTGCTGTTCAACTTTTGTTGCTGTTCCCAGTGCACACACAAGCCCTGGAAGAGAAACAGTATTTGATATGGACCAAGTTTGTATACTACTGTTTGCAAACTGAAAAGGACCTCTGCTTGCTACTCCACTGGGAAGACTGAAGCCAAACCTATTACTTTAGTCATAAAGGTTTAATCATTTGCGGTTCAAATGTTGACGCCTCTTCCCAATGCGTTGAATTTTTCACATCTAAGTTTTTGAGCTAAAAAAAAAAAAAATGCTTTCAGATGAAAAATGCCACCAAGAAGGAAAGGCATATGGAGGCTACTTAAATCTGGTCCTTAAAATCTTTCCCTTCTCTTCCCAAAGGCTACATACTCAACTCTGATATTGATATTAATATTAATTTGTCATTAATACTAATGTTTCACTAACCAACTAGGAGTATTTTGAAATATCCAATTTCTCTGGATAGCTAAACCTGAGGTTCCACTATGAAAAATGTTTTCTAATTACTGCTTGCCAGTAAGCCATCAGACAATGCAGCCAGGTTTCCCATTAATTCAGGAACTTCATACTTGTATGGAAAACTGGCCACATCTGAGTTGGCCACCTCGGCAGGTCATAGCCAATTCCTGCTCTTAGGATACCCACGCAGGCCATTTTGCGGGCAGCCTATGGGGGTGCTAAGAGGCAATACGGATGTTTACCTCACTTGATTAATTTAATTTTCAAACAAGTAATCCAATGAAAGTAATGGGTGTTGCTCTTGCTAGCTCAATGAGCAAAGAAATAGGCTCACCAGCTACCTGCCAACCTCCCTCTCTTAAGAAATGGCTCCACAGTCGGCATGTCTGCCCAGTCCAAATCACAATGTGTATTTTTTAATTGTTTTCTGGGTCTATTAATGAGAATGGGTGACTGCTGAATGCATTCCCCAAACATTCTCCTATAAAGATGTGATTTTAACCTGTTGCCTCTAGCTCTACCTACTAGAGAATCTCTTGGTTTATTTTCCACAGTCTCCTTCCCATGTGGCTCGGAGACAAAGGAAATTCAGGTGGGTTTGTAGGGACTAAGGTGAGAGCTACCCCTAACCACGAACTAACTCAAGGGACCATCCCAGGAAAATAATTTTGTGCGAGATGGCAGCCATGGATGGGCGGACGCAGAGATGGGTCGCTCAGAGAAGCCGCAGCCAGCAGTGGATGTAAGGCTGTATCCCTGGAGATACTACTGACTTAGACAGAAGTTAGACTCCCTGCACCACACAGACTTAGGTCCCAGGCTGTGCCACAGGTTTCAAATTTGTTCATTATCCTTCAAAAAGAAATGACCCGTCAAATTGCTAGCAGACATCTACCTACCTACCTACCTACCTACCTACCTACTTACCTATAGGTAACAACAGGCATCTAGAAAGACCAATGTACATTAGTGTGCAAACGTTGCAGGGATATGCACAGTTAATATGACACTTGATCCGCATCAGATGGGCAACAATTAAGTTGCTCTGTCACTCTATCTCCCTGGTGAAGAAAGGATGGTAAAATGGGAATGGTCTGAGTTTTCATGACAAACAGTATAGAAACAACCTATTCAAAGAGAAAGATATGCACACCCTGTGTAAACATTCAGTTATAGAACTCCCTCCCACAGACTTGCCGGCCTCAGTGAATCGTGTGTGAAAGCATGTACAAGCATATGTCTGCACTGACTGCAGTATTATCTGTGGGGTGGGAAGGACGCTTATTACCATAATTTTTGAGGGGGGAAGGACAATGGTTGGAAATGCTTTGTATAGCCACATCTTAGAATATTAGGTGACTAGGAAAAAGGATTAAGATCTGAAACCACTGCCTCGAAGGGATGATAAATGCGCAAGACAAGAAGCAGCAAGATGAGAGGAATACCCATCAGGATCCCACATTCTAAAAACTAGGTTGAAACTTCAAGCACATTTGCATTTGTACATGACTACTTCCTAGTGACGAGAGCAACCTGTTGAATCAAGCTTAGCCTAAAGCTGCCTCCTTCCATGTTTTGAATGTGGCCTCAAGGTTTTTCTGTACCTCATGAACTATAACAAGTGGAGGTATAAACAGACCGTAGCCTACTCTTGTGCCAATCACTGAGTTTTGGCCAATCCAATATAGCTGACTGTTCAAACCATGTTCAAATAAGGCAAACGCTGTAACCAATCTGGCTGTTTCTGTGCCTCGTCTCTGTCACTTTCCTTTTTCTGTCCATCTGAGCCTACTCTGGCTTTGGGAGGCTGCTCGATTTGCGAATTGTTCGTTGCTCAATTAAACTCCTTTAAATTCAATTCAGCTTAAGTTTTTCTTTTATCAGTACCAACTAGGGTATTAGCAATTGCTAAGGGAAAAGGGAGAGAAGAACATAAAAAAGGGAAGGGCTGGAGACAACAAGAGGTGAGTAAACTGGGGTAATAAAGGACTCTTTAAAAATGATGTCCCTGTCAAAACAAGCAGCTCAGGGCATGTGTTCAGCACCTGAAGAGGCTCAGAAGCTACTGACGCCATCCGCATGGAGTGTGAGCCCAGGAGGGGGTGTGGGCAAGTCGTCTCTACTTTGTAATATACAAGACAAGCACATCTACATCCTCTAGAAGCAGACACTTAATTATCTACTAGTTAGAAGAAAATTTAGGATTGGCCAAGGATTCCAACCATAAATATTCTTACTCCCTAACAATTCAGAACAAAAACACCAAATAGAGTTTAACTCCATGCTTAGTAATCGGGCAGCACATTTTGCTTTCTTGCGTGTGGTTTTGGGTTCTCCCAATTGTGTTTATTCCGGAGCACAGTTTTCCACTTTAACTTCCTGAACCAGCAGCACCACTGCAGGGGAGTGTGGGCCACCAAGATGACATCTGACCCTCAGGCAGCACCCCCAGGATGTGCCAGGCCCACCCCAGGCCTACTTGACAAGCCCTTTACTTCGGAATCTGTCACCTACGCTAAGAGATTGGCACTATCATCCCCTTATACAGATGGAAGCCGCCAGAAAGAACAAGAGACTTGCCCACGGTTCCACAGCAAAGAAGTGGCCCACGCAGGGTTCAATCTCAGGGAGCCTGGCTCCTAAGTCTGCTCTGAGAAACACGACAGATTCATGACATACTAAAGGAATCCTGAGCACACACTCGACCAGGGATGCTCCATGCACCCACCCTGAGGCTGGGCATGAGAACAGGGTCCTCATCTTCCTTGCTGGCCGCATCCACGGTGCCTAGAACGTGGCTGGCACACACTAAACATTGAATACGTGCACCGAGTCTCAGAGCACTTCCACATGGTGGACCTGACTGCAGAGCAGGCCCAGGGGCCGAGAGCCACCACCATGCCAATCACAGTGGGCCACTGCGCAGCCTCTACCCACCGAACGACATCTCTCTGAAGCAACACAGAATACGTCAATGCCACAACCTCCCTAAAAATGCCCTATGCCATTTTTTAAATACAAAAATACCACATCATTATTCAGTCTTTGTGTTTCGACCCCAAAGAGCAGGAGTCAGCAGCCACTTCTGTAGAGAAGGAGATAGGAAGTATGTCACACTTTCCAAGGCCTGTGAGGTCTCTACTCAATAGTCTCTTTATTTCCTACAACCCTTTAAAAAATGAAAAAACCACACTCAGCGTCCTGATCATGCAAAAACAGCTGGTGGACAAGATCTAGCCCATGGCTGTTGTTTGCTAACCCCAGTCACAGAGGGGAAGAGCAAAGTCACCTTGAGCTTTTGGATAATCAAAAATAAGGGGGTAAGGGAATGGCTAGCCAGTATGCCAAATTTCATACATATTTCTTCTCAAAGATTTCCTAAACATGGTAATGATGCTTGTCTTTTTTTTTGTTTTTTTATTTTTCTGGATCTGTCTGAAAAGTAGGTAATAAAAATGACGAAACTAAACTGTTATTTTAACCCACTCACCAAAATGTGAGTGAATGGAACTCAGCATGTTTTGCTCAATTCTAACTGTAATGTCTGAGAAGTCCCCAAAGGTTCTCAACTGATGCCGAGTTTTCCAGTCGTAGCTCTGCAATTTCACGCGAGGTTGAGATCCAGATGAACTTTTAACCAGAATGCCAACCATAACAATGGTGCAATTTGTAAAGAAGGTTCCTTTGCAGGCTTAGAGCTCAGATGTACTAGATACCCTGGGACGTGAACTTCCTGACATCCAACACTGGACGTACCCTCTCCACGCCCCAGCTCTGCTGCTCACAAAAGAAAGCAAGGTATCAGTTTGTTGCGCAGAATCTTCTTGCTCATTTATCCTAACAATCTACAGGAGAGGAAGATCAGATGAGGATTTAGGGAAAACTCCTAGATCTCCAGCAGAGACCTTCACCCCAGCCCACTAAGCCCCTTCCTCAACCACTACACCCCACCCCCCTCACTCCTACATCCACTAAAGCAGTGTCTGTATATGCCTCATTAAAACCACAACCAGCTCCAAAAATGCTTCCCTCTCTTTCCTGGCTATCATCCACTGTTAAAGTTGGGCTGTGGCGGATAAGACTCAATGCAAGAAGCTGAACCTGACTCCTGAGCAGGGCCGTGGCCTGAAACGCAAGCACGACCTAGCTGTCCTAGTATATCCAGAGACATGCTCAAGTGAGGGAAATGTATTTCTGCATATCTTGAGGCATCAAAAGCAGGTGCAATCCTATTATTTTTGTTGCATATTAGTTGTGAAGGCAAGAAGGCATTCTGAAAAACAGACACAGACTCCTTCCACTCAAGCACCGTGGTTCTCCACAGGGTGTCCCCCGCCCAGGTGCAGCAGGACTGCTTGCAGGAACTTCCTCGGTGCACACAAGCTCATGCCCATGAGATCTGCCCGCCTTCATCTTGGTGATACATCCCGAAGGAAGGGTGTGCATGTTGGGTCTGAACAGATAAATTCCATACAGAACACTTCTTTCCAAGATCATCTTGGTTTGCTTAGATTTCACTGTATTTATAAACAATTTATGAACAGTGCAATGAAATGTAAAATTTTAATCTTTAGTTAACAACTATAATAAATGGAAAAAGAAACTGACTTTCCACATATGACTGAGTTGGGGAGGGGGCTGGGATGGTAGATAAATTGGAAAAGTCTAGCATTATTTATGTCACCACTCCATGACATTATACAGATAGCCCAATGCAGAAAATACCATGCTAAAACTCACATAATGTCAAAATTTAATTAGGACACATGCTACCGATACCCTGGGGCAGGGAGGGGCAGGGCGGGGCAGGGGGAAGTAAGCAATGATGTCAGATGCCCAGTGTATTCACAGCTCCTTCAAGCCTCCGTAGTCTGACTCTTCTTTGTGCAGCTGAACCCACCTATAATTCTATATCCAGCTCTTTCTATAAACAGGTATGTCTTACGTGATTGTCCCTACCCAGTCCCTGTATAATCTCCCCCATAGAAAACTTGTTAGGTGCTTTTCAACAATTAGAAGTACATTCTAAAGGGGTCTCCTTACTCCTCTGCTTGAGTGCAAGACAGGAGGAACTCCCCGACGGCTCGTGACCATCAGCCAGATGACTCTCATTTCTACCTGCAGGAGGATTAGACAATCTTAAGTCACCTTGAAAGCCTGTGCCAGGGATTTGAAAAATCACCTGGAAAGCTGAGCATCTGAAACAGTGACTCCTACTCACAAGGAGGGACACAGACACTTTTGAGAATTTCAGGAACCCTCTGGGCCCCGCCCCAAGAAGAGTATCGCAGCGCCCACATAAACGCATCCAGTCAACACTTTTCATCTGACCCTGGGTAGTGTCAGACCCCCCCGAAGACCACCACGGACCCCAGGTTGGGAGATTCTGGTTAAGAGTATGTCTGTGGCACGGGGGATCAGACACCTTTGTTTTCATGGGTGGACACCACGAAAGCTCAGGATGGACGCCAGGTCACCACAGGGAGGAACGTGTGTCACGGGCATGAACAAAGAAGACGTTTTCTCTAGGAAATTCCAAAAACATGGAAGAATGCATCTAAGAGTACACTTATGAGTCCAACCTGAGCAGAGCAATTTCTAAGATCTGGTTAACATCGAGATGCCCACTGATGGCAGGGGGAACTAAGCGTGTCCGTCTCCTCAAAGGCACCATGGCTGCACCCTCCTGTGCCGAGGAGAATTCTGGATGCCTCTTTGTGGTGCTGGCCTTTCTGCCTTAGTTTTCCTACAAAAGGACTTGAAATGATTCAAATGACATCATTCATATATGACACATGGAATGAACTAACACTGGATCACAGGACCCTGGCGAAGATCTGAGGATACAGGGAAAGCCTGAAGGAAGGCCCCGAGAGACGGCAGGGGTGAACCGTGAGACGTGGGGCGCTGCTCCGGCTCCCCTCTCCCCAGTCAAGGAAAAGCTCTGAGCGGTCTTCTCCAGCCTGGCAGGTTGATGGCGTGACGGGTGTGCCGGCAATGCTGGTCCGAAGGTCACCTGGATGTGTGTAACTCGCAGGGGAATATTACATGTCAGCGTCACCAACAAACTTTTTGAATCCTTGTCAACTGAGGATGGAGGGCATTGGTGGTAGAGGTGCACCTTCTCTGGGGACAGTATCTGTGGTAGGAGAGAGATTTCTTCAGCCAGAGAACCCTCCAAGGATTCTGCTGTCTCCAGCCCCACTGTTTCTTTGGGGGTGTTACTGTTCGTATTGTCTTTCACGCGCTGGAGCTGATGGGAACAATTTCATACACTGCTGTGGTATGTTAGGCAGGAGAAAGCTGTGAGACCCAATGGTGTCCCTTCATTCCATCCAAAGCCCTTTGAAAGGTACCGAGGCATTTGAAAGAGATGTCCAAGATCCAGCTTCTCATAGCAGTACCCTCTGAGCCTTTTGCTAGAGTAATTCAAGGTTTCAAAGAACACAGTGTAAGACTGAACATATTTTAATATGCCTTAGTAATCTGATTTTTTAAAAATCTTTAAATCTCTTTCCAAGAAACTTCTGATCTGAGCTCTTTTCACCTTCAGTACCCAGGCTACCTCCTTGTTCAGAATCAAGACTGTTTCCTTGGTGTTGACAACACAACTTTGTAAAGGAAGATAAAACATCTGAGGACCCCTCAGACTTCTTATGCAAAAGGAAAGCTTAAGCCCAGAGGCTGAGTCATTGCAACGCCCTCTTCCAAATGAATGGCTGTTTCTAGCCTCATGCATCAGCCAGACCTCCACAGAAAGGCAGAGGCCTCAGGCACCAACACAGGGCTGCCCCCACAGATCACTCAGAGGTGAATTCTTTGCCGGCCTCGCATAAACAGGGACTTGCCAACTGTGACTTTAGATCAACCATCTCAGTCCAGCTCATAAAACCCCACACTGATATAATGTGGATCACAAGCTTCCCTTCCCAGGGCAGAGCAAAGTCGAGGCTCATTTCCTCTGCCTGCCCAGAGACCTCTGCATAAGGAACTCCTCCTCTGCTCCCACCTTCTCTGCCGACATTTGCCTCCCCTCACCTGGAGCGTGGATTCACTGAGCACTGTTCGCCTCACTGCCTGGCCTCCAGGCCTCCCCACTACCTTGTAAGGAAAGGTGTCAATACTCAACCTCTTGAAAACCTCTTTGGAAGCACAGCCCTGGGTGTCTGTGGCGTACTTTCCCCACACATGCCCGAAAGCTGCTTTAAGGAGCCTGGATGATTGAGACTTACGCCTCAGCCACCCATTGTTGTTGTCACCTCTGAACAAGGCACAGTGAGACTGAAATTTCTGTTATTTGCTAAAGCTTAAGAGAATGTCAGAAGGGGACGTGATATGACTGTGTTTTTTAAAATGGCTAAGGATCCGAAGCAATTCCGTTGACGTAGTTCAAAGAAAAATAAGAAGCCAGGGGCTCCCTCTCAGATTCGTCGGCAACACGGGGCTGGCCACTCTGAAGTCCTGACCAGATGCCGGCCACACTGTGCTCAAGAGAGCTGGGGAGGCAGGAGGGAGGACCGCCCATCCCAAATGCAGGAAACACAGGGGCATCCCAAACTGCTGATCAGGACCCACCTTTCTAAGGGGAGGCTTCCGAGCCTTCTCAAATACCAGCTCCATTTCACCCACCGTCATGACTTGGAGGCCTGGGAATCCCAACAGCGCCCACTGCGCAGGAGCTGAAATCTCCTGTCCGGATAACATCGAGGGAATGAGCAGGGCATAGGATGCCCGAAGACCCTCCCTACACTGATGAGAGACACCTGAGCCCTGAGAAGAAACGGCTTGGGGCTTCTCCCTCACCCTACACAAGAAGGAAGCAGAGTGCAGGTTCTCTGACCTCGCAGCATCCCCGAGGCCACCATGGTGTTTGTCTGGGGCGGTGGGTGTCTGACTTTTCAGTCTCACCCTTAAGCATCATGAGGACTCTAAAGAGCTATTTTTTTCCTCATGCAAGTTATTTCTATTGATACTGTGTTTGAAATGAAAGCTGAGAACATTTAAAAATATTTCATTTCAAAATAGTTATGAACTGATTTCATGTTATCACATATAACATTTTCATGAAAAATAACCATTTTTCCAAAAAAAAAAAGGATTAATTAAAGTTGCACTGGTTTACATTTTTGAGACTGTCTTCCACAGCTGGCTTAACAGAAGGCAGGTGGACTCTCGCAGCTGCTTCTGCCTTCAGTCTGTTTCCATACAGGGCTCTGGCTGACGTGCAGGAAGAAAATCTACCTTGGGCCACTGTGGATACTCTCCTTTGATACCTGAACAGAACTCTCAACAAGGGGCAGCTCCCAAACCACAGTTTCCATGTGGACCCTGAAGCCTTCCGAATCAACTGTCTGCACGGTTCCATTAAAATCCATTCACCTAGCCTGCATTTTGGATTTTTACCCAGGCATAATTTTATAACATTATCCATCATTTAGAAAATACTGGTTCACTGAGGTATGCAAATCTACGTTAGGCATTTCAGCCACAGCACACTACCGAAATTCACACTAGTTAATGCCACACTGGTATCAGCAAAACGTTGTTTAAACATTGAAATGCTGTTAAGCTCACGGCAGTAGGTGCAAGTTTCTCAAAATTATGATTTTCACTTGAAACTCAGATTTCATCATTCAGTACTAGCAACAAATACTGTCAGCTATTTTCCTTGAAAATTTCTGCCAAAAACCCAAGTGTGGGTAAATATGGTTGGCTGGTCAGTGATACTTTCAATGGTGAAAATGGTATTCCAGGAAAAAAGTGGCCACTCCCGTCACCCTGAGTCACACGCAAACCCTTCCTCCGGAAAACATCCCTGCTTTGGTCCATGGCAGAAGTGCTTTACGCACACTTCACTTCATCCCCGTGTCTACTAAAAAGAGAGGTGCTCCAGGGTCAGTTTGTAGTACAATTAGCGTTTATTGCTTCAACAAGGACATTCTTTTTTATTTATTTATTTATTTTTTGAGACGGAGTCTCGCTCTGTCACCCAGGCTGGAGTGCAGTGGCGCCATCTCGGCTCACTGTGATCTCTGCCTCCCGGGTTCAAGCCATTCTCCTGCCTCAGCCTCCCAAGTAGCTGAGATTACAGGTGCCTACCACCATGCCTGGCTAATTTTTTGTATTTTTAGAAGAGATAGGGTTTCACTATGTTGGCCAGGCTGGTCTCGAACTCCTGACCTTGTGATCCACCCACCTCGGCCTCCCAAAGTGCTGGGATTACAGGCGTGAGCCACCGCGTCCGGCCAACAAGGACATTCTTAAATAAAACACCGTCCACCACCTGCAAACGCGTGGTGGTGAGGAGTAGGTGGACAGCTGCAGAGGTCTGGGGCCTGGCCTGGATCTAGGTCCAGCTAGAGCAGCCTCCCCCAGCATCACTCTTGGACACGCGAGGTCTTGGCGTTGTTACAGAGGCATCTCTGACCTGACACAGCACCTGTGCGGTCTTGGAAGACCCAGTTTGAGAATCTCTGAGCCAGAATGCTCCTTTCCTGGGGAGACAGAGGGCAGGGAGCAGTAGCAGGTCCATGTCTTCCCGCACGAGTGGACCACAGCCTGAGGCGTGCTCATTTCACTCCTCGCTCTGCTGTCAGGCTATTCAAGGTCAGCCTGGAAAGAACTGCTTGCACAGATTCCACAAGGCAGCATACTTGCTTTTGGCATTTTCAAAAGTTAAAAATGGACAATATTTGAAACACGGCCACTCATCATGCCCGTCCCAGTTCTGGCCAGTCTCGCCTTCTCCTGGGGGCACTGTCACCACCCTCAAGCCTGACCACGCTGCGCCCCCAGGAAGCCATCTCTGCAGGCCTGCCCATCCCTGCCAGCTGCCACAGGTGCTTGCCTACAGAAAACACACTGCGTTTGGCCAACTCATCGCTTATTCCCAAACACTTCCAACGACTACGTCATTTTCAGACACTTTTTGACTAAATGGCCAATTTGCTGGAGCCAAGCACCCTTCAGATTTGCGAAGGTAATTTGACCACCTTTCCGTCAGCCGGCGGGAGAGAGGCTGGAGCAGCTCACAGTTTAACCTGCACACTGCACCGACATATTCCTCACGAGGGGTCCCCCTCGGTAATAAAATCAAGATTGTGATTGCCAGTACAAGATTCACAGCATTTAAAGTGCCAGTAAACTGTGGATTGTGAATCCCTTAAATGCCCGTATACCCTATCTTGCTGGATCTTAAATGCTGATATCAGAATTTTTATTGAGAGTTTCTAGCCTCTCTGAGTTTCTCATTAGACTGTGAATGGCAAATGACATACTTTTCAAAGTTTACGTTCTTTTTCTTGGCTAGATCCACAAAAATAAGATTCATACTTTCTTGCCTCGACCAGCAATTCCATGGCTAGAAACTATTCATTGCAAAACAGAAACAGTTTTATTTTGCTCTGATAGAGATTCACAAAATATAGAGAGAAATTCGCTCACATTGTATCCAGTCTCTTTATTAAAATTTAAATAATGCTGAGTTAGCCATCTAAGGAATTAAAATCGAAACATAAGTATTCAATCCATGTAGAACTCTGGGATCCAGGTACTTTTCAGGGAAAAGTTCATATAAGCACATCTTGGTTTACTAAATGTGCTCAAAGCAACTGAACTATAAAGTGAACTATATTTTTATATTAAACGTATTTTATAAGATATATTAAACATGTGTTTCCAAGTAAAACAAAAGACCACAGACAGATCTGAAACCTTTAGGAGAGAAGGGAATTAGCAGAGAATGTGGGCCTGCGGCAGAGCCCCCGCCTGCCTAACAGAAGCTCCGGTCCTCGAGGTGGGAGAGGAATTAACAGGGAACCCATGGCCTGATATGCTGTGGCCCTGTGATGATCTCATGATCCGCACTCCATTCAACCACCCATCCTGTCTGAGCAGCCTCTCAGTCTCGCCCACCCTCACCCCAAACCAGGGCTTCCTGGGCCATCTCCAGCCTCAACCCACCTGGGACCCCTCCCTTGGGCTCCAGATCCCACGTCCTCTGCCTCTGTCTTCTGGACCCTCCTGGTGGATGGGCTGCCAGCTCCCATTGGCTCTGATTTTCACGCGGCTCCCAGCTGGAGGCTTCACTGCCCGCCCTGGAGGTGGAAGCAGCCCTTTAATGGTCTCCCTGCTGGAAGCTGGATTTGTAAGTAGCAACTGCTCTGGGAGTCTGCCTGTCCAGCAGCCCTTCCTTGGTGACCACCCATGTGAGCGTTAAGCAGCCCCGCCGCAGGCCATAGGGGGTCACTATTGCAGGTGGTGCTGCCGATATCCGACTTGAGTTAAATCACTAGGAAAAATTTCCAAAGTCAAGATGTTTCACTCCTGCTGAGAATAATGGAAAGTTTCAGTTTTGATTATTTTATATATTTAGTAGAGGCCACAAGAAGCAAATAAATGTCAACATTTTATTTCATGTCATGTGAGCCACAATGCGACTGAGAATCCAAATTCGACCTGAGTTTGCCTGCAAAACTCAAGAGGTCAGAGGTGAGTAGCACCCATGCTCTGAGGCATGGCCCAAGTGAGGCCCTGGCAGGGCGTGTGCCAGGCCCCACACTCCCGTGATGAAGGGACAACACACACTTTGTCCCCACCCCAGCCAGGCGGCTTGAGGCCTGGCTGCTCTGACGTCCCACTGCAGAGCCACTCATGAGACACCAGAACACAGAATTAAGGCCTGTTGGCACTAGGCTCCATGACTGCGAGAACAGACACCATGACGTCCTCCTTGGATACCGCTTCTTCAGCCAGATTGTACTCCCTGGTGCTCCAAATGGCCTGTCAACTAGAGAGAGTAGGGGGTAGCAAAAGTGACACAAAAACACCGGCCTCTTCCAGCCTTCCACAGACCTGGAGCAATGCAATTAAAGCCTACAGTGAAGCAGTATCCAGACCACCAGGGTCTAAAGCAACTGCATTAGGCTACTGCCAGAGACACCTACAAAACAGCTTCCCTCCCCCTGAGGGGAATCTGCGCGAGTTTCTCCTAGTTGTCCTAAAATGCCTCTCTGTTCATTAAGCTCTGCAAATATGTAGTCTGCATGCAATATTCAACGTGGTAAGTGTAAAGATACCAGCTCCAAATTGTTGAGCACTCCTAGGCAGTTTGCATGATGCTGCGTGTTTTCCAAATGCTGCAGGCACCCTGTGATGTCAGTGTGCTGGCACACACACTTCACAGAGGAGAGTATGGGCTGAGGGCACTATCCATGATGACAGTGCTGGCTCGCAGTACAGGCAGGACTGGACCCAGGGTTCGGGGGCCCATGCTACTCACAAACATCTTTCATGGAAGGTACACAGTGGGTCTTGGCCACACCGAGCCACAGTGCTCTTATTCCTGGATGCATGCGTGCGAGTGGGAAGAATGTGACACAGAAAGGGACAACAAGGTACTCAGAGGGCAATAAAAAAGGGAGGAAAGACGTAAGACTTCCACATATAATAAAAAGCTGGTAAATGATGCAAGAAGATGCATACGGTATTACCTCTTACTGCTGCATAACAAATCACCACAAATTACCACAGATTCAGTGGTTTAACCACCACACATCTACTGTCTCATCCGCCCCATGGGTCAGGAGTCCAGGCACGGGTGGACTCAGTCCTCTGCTAAGGGTTTCTCCGGGTGAAACCAAAATGTCAGCTGCAACTGAGACTCCCAGGGCTGAGGCTGCGAGTCTCTTTCAAGCTCACTATGTATTGACAGAATTCATTTCCTTGCACTGATAGGACTGAGGTCCTGTTTTTTGTCTAGCCATGAGTCCCCGGCCATGATCTCTCCTCTTACAATCCTGCCTTGGTTGTGGGAATAATTAGCCTGAAACTAAATACCACTGTAGTTGCAACTAGTGAATCTTCAAAGCATGATCCAAAAGATTCAAACTATTTCCACGTAACTTACCTGCCTCCCAGAACAAAGCTAAAGGATATTTATTAAATAAATAACCTAGCACCCAGCCAGGTAACATTTGCATATAAAGCATCCATTCAAAAATTACAAGAAAAGCATAAAAGAATAAAAATACAACTGCTAGGAGGAGAAAAAAATCAAAACCAACCCAAAACTGACAAAGATGTTAGAATTAACAGACAAGGATATTAACATAGTCGTTATAACTGTATTTCACATGTCAAAAAGGTGAGTAGAAAAATATAGGTCGGGTACGGTGGCTCACACCTGTAATCCCAGCACTTTGGGAAGCCGAGGCGGGTGGATCATGATAAAAATATAAAAATTAGCTGGGCATGGTGGGTTGTGCCTGTAGTCTCAGCTACTTGGGAGGCTGAGACAGGGAATCACTTGAACCCAGGAGGAGGAGGTTGCAGTGAGCCAAGATCACACCACTGCCCTCCAGCCTGGTGACAGAACAAGACTCCATCTCAAAAAAAAAGAAAAAGAAAAATTAAGATATAAAAATGACACAAATTTTTATGGATTAAAATCACCATGCCTGAGAAGAAAAACATACTAGATGACATTCAAAGCATATTAGGCATTGCAGAAGAAAAGATTAGTGAACTCAAAAACATAATAGAAACTACCAAAATAAAACACTGCAAAAAAAACAAAAAAATCACAATATTAGAGAACTGTGGGATAACTTAAAACAGACAAATATAGATGTAATTGATGGCACCAAGAAACTCAATGAAGCCCAAGCACTAGACACATGAAGACAAGCACACCAACCCAAAAAATGAGCCAGATGGTCAAAGCCAGCGATAAAGAACATAACTCAAAAACCCCTGGAGGGGGGAAAATGCTCCACATACATGAAGGAAAATAAGGATGACAGCAGATTTCTGGTCCGAAACAATGCAAGTCAGAGACAGTGGAACAAGATCTTTAAGAAAAGGAAAAGAGAAAACTCAAAATTCTTTGCACAGCAAAAATATCTTTTAAATATGAAAATACTTTTTCAGACATTAAAAACACTAAAAGACAGTATCACCATCAGACCCCACAGAAGAAATGCTAAGTCTTCCAGGCAAAAGGAAAATGATATGAAATCAGAGACTATATGCAAGAATTGCATTCCCACCCACTGTTCATAAAAACGGCAGAGGGATGCAGCCACTCTGGAAAACAGTTTGGCAACTTTTTAAAATGCTAAACACCCATTGCCCATAGGATCCACTCCTAGGTGTTTACCTAAGAGAATTAGAAGCATACGTCCTTACCAAGTCTTTCATATAAATATTCATAGCAGTGTCTGCAACAGCCGAAAGCAGAAAGAACAATATTCAATGTACAATAACAAACGAATGATAAACTGTGGTATCCCCACACAATGGAATACCACTCAGCAAAAAGAGTAATCAACCGCTGACACATGCAACAACATGCATGAATATCAAACTCAATACACTGGAAGAACTCAGACACGAAGAGACTATACGTTATAATTCCATTCATAAAACGAGAAAATTTTGTGTAAAATACAATATATATGTATATATGTGCATCACAAAATTCTAGAAAATCAAACTAATGCACAGTGACAGCAGATCAGTGATTGCCTGGGGATGAGAAAGGAAAGCGGGTTGAGGTGAGGAGAGGAATCACAGAGGTGCAAGAGGAAACTTTGGGGGTGATGAGAATATTTGTTATTTTGATTGGGGTCATCCATAGGCAAATTTTATCAAACTGTATATGTGAGATACAGTGGCCCCCTTTATCCACAGTTTTACTTTCCATGGTTTCAATTACTTGAGATCAACCGTGGTCCAAAAATATTAACTGGAAAATTCCAGACATAAATAATCCATACGTTCTAAATTGCACACCATTCTGAGTAGTGGGATGAAATCTCGCCCCATCCCACCTGAGACACGAATCATCCCTCTGTCCGGTGCATCCCCACTGTACACACCCCCGCCCTTCTGTCGCTTAGTAGCCATCTATCTTGGTATCTATCAGATAGACTATCAAGGTCATTGCAGTGCTTGTGTTCAAGTCACCCACATTTCACTTAATAATGGCCCTGAAGTGCAAGAATAGTGATGCTGGCATGTTGTTATAATGGTTCCATAGACTGCTGCTGTTAATCTCACTGGGCTAGTTTACAAAGTAAACTTTATTATGGGGATGTATGTGTAGGAAAAGATACTGCACAGCCGGCCCTCCATATGCATGGGCTCCACAGCCACGGACTCACGGACTCAACCAACCACAGATCAAAAATATTCGGAAAAAAATTCTACAAAGTTCAAAAAGGCAAAACTTGAATTTGCTATATGTTAAGGACTACGTTGAATTCACAAGAATGAAGTGATATCTAGGCATTAGGTATCATAAGTAATCTAGAGATGATTTAAAAAATATGGGAGGGTGTCTCTGGGCTATATAAGAATAGTATGCCATTTTATATAAGAGGCTTGAGCACCTGCGGATGTTAGTATCCGAGAGGAGTCCTGGAGCCAACCCCTCAGGGATACCAAGGGTTTGGTGCCTTCTACGGTTTCCAGCATCTGCTGGTGTTCTTGTAACATATTCCCCATGACTAAGGGGGAACTACTGTATGTATACTCTGTATGTCATTTACATCTCAATAATGCTATTGTTTGACAAAAAGAAATAGTACACCAAGTGTGTCCTCCCTCTGTGGCCTTCTGTAATTGTGAATCCCATCAACCAGCCCTATTGTGAATAAAAACCCTGCTTACCATTCCCAGCTTGATTATTTGCCCGTTTTACACAAGAAGATATCTTTCTCGCCCTTTAGGATGGCTAAAATCAAAAAGACAACATGGAAAGTGTTGGTGAGTATATGAAGAAATTGGAGCCCTCATACATTGCTGGCAGGAATGTAAAATGGGGCAGCTGTATTAGAAAACCATAAGTTTTTCAAAATGCTAAACATGCAATTGCCATCGGACCCAGGAATCCTACTCCTAGGCCTACGTGTGTGTGTGTGTATATATACCCCAAGAGAAATGAACACATATATACACAAATGTTCACTGCAGCCTTATTCACAACACCAAAAGGCGAAACTGACTTAACTGATGTATAGATCAACAAAATGTGGTTCATCCACATGATGGGATATTGTTTGGCCGCAGGGAATTAAGTTCTGACACATGCTGGAGCGTGGAGCAACCTTGAAAACACCACACGAAGGGAAAGGAACCAGGCACAAAAGGCCACATGGTGCAGGATTCCGTTGATGCAAAACATCCAGAACAGGGAAAACCACAGACACAGACAGACTAGTGGTGGGCTGGTACCAGAGGGAGGGGGATGGGAAATGACTGCTGGTAGGTCTGGGGTCCCTTTTTTGGCAGGGGCAGTGGGGAAGAGGGAGATTTAAATCTTCTAAAATTACACTGTGATGATGGACACACAACTGTATAAATGCATGAAAACCCAGCATGCTGTACAATTTAAATGGGTAAATTTTAGAGTATGTAAAATGTATCTCAGGAAAGCTATAACATGAAAAAAAAAACAAATTAAGCCTTATACAAAAAAGAAACAGCAGCCATACATGCTTTTTGAAATATGAAATCTCCTGATTCGTGTGTGCTGGCAATTAAAATTTGAGATACCTGTCAGGCCCCCATGGACAGGCCAAGCAATTCTCAGCTGCCTGCTGCATCAGGCCAGCAGGCCAAGAGCTTGCCAACTTCAGGGCTATACCTTCCTTTTACAAACCAAATGGTGCCCCTCCATGTCTGTTTCCCTGCAAGAATCCCCTAGAAACTGTGTTTTCTAATCCTGTTGAGAGCGGCTTTCATGTCTGCTCATCTGATGATGATCCAGGCCTCACCCTCTGTCTACTCTCTGACCTCTCTCTTCCTCCAAGGCCAGCACTTTGCCACCTCGCTCCTGTGGCCACACTGACTTCCGCTTCTGCATCGGAGACTTCCTGGCTCCACTGACATGCCAAGTCTTCGGTGCACGGTGGAGCAGCCTCTGCCAGCTCTGATGACCTGGTGCTCCACGTCCTGCCTCACTTTCTTGTGTCCCACACCAAGGCACCCACACATAGACTGTATGGCCCATCTGTCTCCTCCCAGCTCCACCAAAAAAAACAAAACGAAAGTCAAGACTTGGTCTGGCAGGTTTCAAAGACATGGCAGTCAGATGCAATGGTGTTTCCATCTGTTGAATGGAATACTCTTCCCTCAACTACAGAGACGAGGAGGACATGAAATAGGAAGCAAGGTGTGGGCGGCACCTGTGAGCAGAGGAAATGTAAACGGTCCTGCTATGTGTGCCACAGAGACAGGGCCCTGCCCTGCAGGCAAGGGGGATGTATCAGATGCAATGAAGAAGAATTTGGGAAAAGGGCAGAACAGGACCAAAACCACAACCCCTAGGCTGCAATCTATCCAGAAAAAGTCAGGCTTTCTACCCGGGATAAGGAAGGAAGTCAGCCTCACTATCTTCTACCTTAAACTACAAAAGCAACACACCATCTTGATCCAAAATAGGTCTAAAATTTAAGAATAACAGAAAAGTATTTGCCTTCAAAAATCTGATGAGTAAATAATTAGCCTCACTCATTCCTTTATAAATTTCCACAGAACCCCAA
This sequence comes from Homo sapiens, assembly GCF_000001405.40. Taxonomy (NCBI): domain Eukaryota; kingdom Metazoa; phylum Chordata; class Mammalia; order Primates; family Hominidae; genus Homo; species Homo sapiens. Next base: position 129,583,350 of record NC_000010.11, on the reverse strand, counting down.
GAGATTACCTCTAAAAACAATGAATTAGGTCTTCTGATGATAATGGGTCTTTATTTTTATGTTGATTTTAGAATAATTGTTTACTGTTAGATTGGTTAAATGTTTAGCTATTTGAATTTCCATTTGATGTTAATTTAACTTATTACTACAAGTTAAATAAAGTACACCCAAGGCAGTTTTACAGAAGCTTCCGATACACCATTTATTATATTTGTTGCTTATTTCAGGAAACCACACAGACTTCTTTTCTCCCCATTGTTATGGAAGGAAGCAAGACAGCCTATCAGAAAGATATAAGATTTTTTTCCCTCAAGATGGTTCATCTTTTGTGTTGGCAATCTGTCTTTTAGGGAAGATAGAATAAAGCCGATATTTAGGTATATCAAGTGATTCAGTGCAAGCATCTCTCAAAACCATGATCAATATTCTCATGTTTTTAGCACTGTTTTCGGTCATAAATATCTTTTCTCTAAAAAAGAAATAATTCTTTCTGTCCACAGGGCCTGCAGTCAATATGAAGTCGCCAAGCCACCAGGATGGTCATGGCGGGCACAGGGCAATCCTCAGAGCCACCTTTTCACTAAAGAGCCAGGAACCCGCTGGTGTGCTAAAACCTACATGATGCTTTATCCGAAGGGGGAAACTGCCGGGGATTTAGATACCAAAAAGCAGTAACAGAAAAATGGTTTTATCCTAAAGCACAAGATCACCTACACTAAAATTCTATATCTCATTTTTTTCCTCCTCACAGCTCCATCAAAAAAAAAAACAACAACCAGACTTTATACTTTAGAAATAATTTGTAACTGTCTTTTAAAAGTTAAAATCTAAATATCGGGAAGACGTTGTACGGAGAACAAAAGTTTAAAAGGCACACAATTAAATGTTTTTAAAAGTCAGTGTTAGCAGTAAGGACTTACGATGTTATTTTTTCAATGCCTGGCAGCCACCCGTCAGAGGCAGAGCACAGCAACACTGCGCAGTGGTCATGAGAACTATAACACGAGGAGGGACTCTCTGAACTAATTCACTGACAACAGAGCACACTCTCAACGGCTTGTTCAGATCACAATGGTCACAGCCTTGGCTCCTGGTAGAAGGCGGGGTGGAGTACATGTCGGGCAGAAGGCCAGGCGGGGTCCACGCACATTCATGAGACGTAGCCGGGCTAAGGGAGGCTGCTTCCCACCACCCTGGAAAGCGTCCGAATGATGTCCTTCATACACAGATGTGCTCCCAACACTCAAAAAAGGAGCACTTGTAAGCAAATGTGAAGGAGGAATTCACCCCCTCACCACCACCCACCTGGGACAGTCCGCCCACAGAGGCTGGCCCACGTGGCTCGCACACCCTGGACAGCCTCCTGCACAGACAGGCAGAGCGCCTCCTACAAGACGCCGGCCAGGCAGCAGAAAGTCAACAGAAAGCTGATTGAGTACACTTTCCTATTTTTTAAATATTAAGGATAGAAACTGTTGAAAATAAATTGCTGCTTTCAAATGCTTAGCCAGGGGATACCCCGGAAATGGTTTTGTCTCCAGGAGGACGGGACGGCCACTGGGCATGCTCACGCCCACACCTAACTCACACTTGAGCATTACCACCAAAACCTTTCTTATCTGCAGGTAGCCAAAGCCCTCTTCCTCTTTAGGAGGCCTTGAACTCTGGGCTCAGTGGTTTTCTGTTTTGTTTTTTAAAGAAAGGAAACAATGTTCTGACTAGTCTGAGAATATCTTATTCTGAGACGTGTCTGCACTCCAGCAAGTTGCAGAAGATAGTGACTGACCATTTAGATCCAGAGTTCCTGCATCATCTCTAGTTTGTTTCATCAGGAATCACAGCTTTTTAAAAATTAACAGTAGATGGGAATGACATGATGATTTCCTCAGAAAACATAACCTACTTGGCTGCGAGACCATGCCAATGATGTGGGGTCAGAAAGACCTGGGGCCCTGTTCTCCAAGGACTGCCACCGGAGGAATGGCAGGTCTCAAGTTCAATGGTGCCATGTCAGTAGCCCTCCCCAATTAAATGGTGGCTTGGAAAGACAGGGCCTGTAAGCAGCCCAGTCACGCCACTGCAGAACCAGGGGCAGGAAAGCAGAACTCAGCCACAGCGGATGGAATGAAAGGCATCCACCACAATGCCAGGCTACCAAAAAGCTCAGCCCGCGACAGGTCACGGCAAACACCTTCCAGTGTGCAACTCACACTGCAGCTGCACCGTTAACAATTATCCACCAACGCAGCTGTTTCCCCTTTCTTATCTTACAAAGTAGCATCATTATTTCCTCACAGAGTGTCATGTGCTAACATTGCTTTATGAGGAATCCAAATTCAACTGTTGACATCCCCCAAGCACCTGCTTTGATTCCTGTGCCATGTCAGTGGGACCAGACAGCGGCTGGATCTGGGCGTGTAAGGATGCATTTCTCAACAGCAACCATGGTTCCCAGAAATGGTACTATGTCTTCTAAGGGTAAGGCAGCCCTCAACAAACGATGTTTGCAACAAAGACCTCAACAAAACGGAAGCACACAAGGAAGGCACTTGCTGCCTTGAGCTGCCCAGTTGTGGGGTGTCTGTGGTTATGGGGCATCCATGGTCACGGGGTATCCCCAATCATGGGGTGTCTGTGGTCGGGGGACAAGCCATCATGGGGTGTCCCTAGGTACAGGATGTCTGTCCAGCATCCTTTTGTAGCTAGTGGTTAGAGACAGAAGCCCAGGCTCACAGTCTCAGCAAAGAGGCCACTCTGGAGGACTGCCTCTCAGGAGCCAGGTCTGAGGAGGTGTGCATGGGCTTTAGGGTATCACTGAGCCCCAGCCTAGGAACGTCTAGACCTAGAAGGCCTTCCTCGCTCAAAGCCCACGGGCCCTGGAGCCAGCCTCCTCGTGTTTAAGTCCTGTCTCCCCCTCTGAAGAGCTGTGTGACCTCAGGGAAACTGTTGCACCTCTCCATGCCTCAGTTTCTACTGTGGTGCCTAATCGTAATGCCTATCCCTCAAGGTTTTTGTGAAGATTAAATCAGATTAAACCATTTAAGCCGACTTCCAAGGCTCCTGACACATGGTATGCAGTGTCAGCACCACTGGCTCCCGCGCATCCCCCTGATCCTGCGCAGTCCCGCCCCCCCGGGCACAGCAGGTGCTTCTCCCACGATGCCACCTGCCCGTTAATGGGGAATACTCCTCCCTGCTGAGACGGCAACACACCCTATGGCTTCAGAACAAAAACCCGCAATTAGAAAGTGAGAGTCCTCCAACAAAGATCCTCCCTCCCACCCGGGTCGAACAAAGCCTGGAACACCTAATAAATACCAAGTTTGTGAAACAAAAATAAGCACCTGACAGTACCACACACCGGCCTAAGGAGTGTTCCTCCCAGAGCTGCCACCTCTCACGGGCAGGCCTGGGTGGCTGCGGTGCCCTCTCTGGGACCAGAAAGTGTCAAGGGCTTTTCTGACAGCCTCGCTATGCAGAAGGCATTCCTGTTTCACACTAAAGAAAACAAAAACATATAGGTCAACTTTCCCAAAATCACAGAGTTAACATGAGAGCTGATGTCTAAGAGTCTCCAAAGCTCATAACCTCAACGATGTGTGACCTACTGCACTGCCAGAGGAGAGATACCACGCAGACAGAGATGGTTTCTGAGCATATAATAGTAAGGCTCCAGAAGAAGAAACTCAAAATTATGAGCCATGCTCGTTCCATGTGTCGCCTTTAAACACGGACACTCAGCTGAGATAACAGCGCCAGGCCCAAGGTAAATAAAGACAAAGTCAATAAAGACATTCTCCTAAAGATGTCCTGCCTTAACGTCCTTCCAAAGTGCCGCAGGCATGGAGGCACGGAGCATGGGAAAACCCCATACATCCTGACAGCTGCACAGAAACGGGGCAGGCCGAGTTCCATCTGACGCTGCCATGATCCGGGGATGAGCAGAAAGCTCTGCCCACCCTCCATGCCATGCTCCTGACCCACGGGACTCCTGGGGCCTGGCCCAGCCACAGGTAGGCAGGTACAGGTGAGCACAGGTGTGGCTGCAGTGCCAGGCGACTGTGTGAAAGGAAGCCAGTGAGCAGGTACTCATCTGTTTAATACAGCACTCCGTGTAATCTCATGTTTGAATTTTTGGAATGGGTTACATAACTAGAAATCAAAACAATGGCCGTTTTTCCTTCCATCTTGGAAAATGCTCAGCTAATTTCTTGTTTTAATTCAATATAGAAAATGAGTAAAATTTTAAAATCATCCTAATCTGTTAGGTCAATATAACAGAAATCCCAGTAAGTTTCAGCCCTCCTGGGATAAGGGAACTGAAGTCGTATCTAATGTACACAGTACATTAAGGCGACGGCAGGCTTAAATGAGGCAGTGCTCACAAATGCACAAATGACTGATGTCCATGGCACTTTAAAGTTTATAAAATGCCTTAAGTATTATCCCATTAGGAGATACACACTCCAGGGTGGCAACTCAAAGAGACTTTTAAAACTATTTGTACTAATAGTTGTAACTATTAAATTATTACAACTTGGGAGAGGTAGCGGTAAGGAAGGAAAAATAAAGGAAAATGTTTTAGTTGCTTAATAATCCTAACTACCTTTCTATAAGTTCCCAGGATGTGAAAGACAGTCCACAAGCTCATCTTGTTTCTTTCTTATTATTATACTTTAAGTTTTAGGGTACATGTGCACAACGTGCAGGTTTCTTACATACATATACATGTGCCATGTTGGTGTGCTGCACCCATTAACTTGTCATTTAGCATTAGGTATATCTCCTAATGCTACCCCTCCCCCTCCTCCCACCCCACAACAGTCCCCAGTGTGTGATGTTCCCCTTCCTGTGTCCATGTGTTCTCATTGTTCAATTCCCACCTATGAGTGAGAACATGCGGTGTTTGGTTTTTTGTCCTTGCAATAGTTTGCTGAGAATGATGGTTTCCAGCTTCATCCATGTCCCTACAAATGACATGAACTCATCATTTTTTATGGCTGCATAGTATTCCATGGTGTATATGTGCCACATTTTCTTAATCCAGTCTATCATTGTTGGACATTTGGGTTGGTTCCGAGTTTTTGCTATTGTGAATAGTGCTGCAATAAACATACGTGTACATGTATCTTTATAGCAGCATGATTTATAATCCTTTGGGTATATACTCAGTAATAGGATGGCTGGGTCAAATGGTATTTCTAGTTCTAGATCCTTGAGGAATTGCCACACTGATTTCCACAATGGTTGAACTACTTTACAGTCCCACCAACAGTATTAAAGTGTTCCTATTTCTCCACATCCTCTCCAGCACCTGTTGTTTCCTGACTTTTTAATGATTGCCATTCTAACTGGTGTGAGATGGCATCTCATTGTGGTTTTGAGTTGCATTTCTCTGATGGCCAGTGATGGTGAGCATTTTTTCATGTGTTTTTTGGCTGCATAAATGTCTTCTTTTGAGAAGTGTCTGTTCATATCCTTTGCCCACTTTTTGATGGGGTTGTTTTTTTCTTGTAAATTTCTTTGAATTCATTGTAGATTCTGGATATTAGCCCTTTGCCAGAGGAGTAGGTTGAGAAAATTTTCTCCTATTCTGTAGGTTGCCTGTTCACTCTGATGGTGGTTTCTTTTGCTGTGCAGAAGCTCTTTAGTTTAATTAGATCCCATTTGTCAATTTTGGCTTTTGTTGCCATTGCTTTTGGTGTTTTGGTTATGAAGTCCTTGCCCATGCCTATGTCCTGAATGGTATTGCCTAGGTTTTCTTCTAGGCTTTTTATGGTTTTAGGTCTAACATTTAAGTCTTTAATCCATCTTGAATTAATTTTTGTATAAGGTGTAAGGAAGGGATCCAGTTTCAGCTTTCTACATATGGCTAGCCAGTTTTCCCAGCACCATTTATTAAATAAGGAATCCTTTCCCCATTTCTTCTTTTTGTCAGGTTTATCAATGATCAGATAGTTGTAGATATGTGGCATTATTTCTGAGGGCTCTGTTCTGTTCCATTGGTCTATATCTCTGTTTTGGTACCAGTACCATGCTGTTTTGGTTACTGTAGCCTTGTAGTATAGTTTGAAGTCAGGTAGCGTGATGCCTCCAGCTTTGTTCTTTTGGCTTAGGATTGACTTGGCAATGTGGGCTCTTTTTTGGTTCCATACGAACTTTAAAGTAGCTTTTTCCAATTCTGTGAAGAAAGTCATTGGTAGCTTGATGGGGATGGCATTGAATCTATAAATTACCTTGGGCAGTATGGCCATTTTCACAATATTGATTCTTCCTACCCATGAGCATGGAATGTTCTTCCATTTGTTTGTATCCTCTTTTATTTCATTGAGCAGTGGTTTGTAGTTCTCCTTGAAGAGGTCCTTCACATCCCTTGTAAGTTGGATTCCTAGGTATTTTATTCTCTTTGAAGCAACTGTGAATGGGAGTTCACTCATGATTTGGCTCTTGTTTGCCTGTTATTGGTGTATAAGAATGCTTGTGATTTTTGCACATTGATTTTGTATCCTGAGACTTTGCTGAAGTTGCTTATCAGCTTAAGGAGATTTTGGGATGAGACGATGGGGTTTTCTAGATATACAATCACGTCATCTGCAAACAGGGACAATTTGACTTCCTCTTTTCCTAAATGAATGCCCTTTATTCCCTTCTCCTGCCTGATTGCCCTGGCCAGAACTTCCAACACTATGTTGAATAGGAGTGGTGAAAGAGGGCATCCCTGTCTTGTGCCAGTTTTCAAAGGGAATGCTTCCAGTTTTTGTCCATTCAGTATGATATTGGCTGTGGGTTTGTCATAGATAGCACTTATTATTTTGAGATACGTCCCATCAATACCTAACTTATTGAGAGTTTTTAGCATGAAGGGTTGTTGAATTTTGTCAAAGGTCTTTTCTGCATCTATTGAGATAATCATGTGGTTTTTGTCTTTGGTTCTGTTTACATGCTGGATTACATTTATTGATTTGCGTATATTGAACCAGCCTTGCATCCCAGGGATGAAGCCCACTTGATCATGGTGGATAAGCTTTTTGATGTGCTGCTGGATTTGGTTTGCCAGTATTTTATTGAGGATTTTTGCATCAATGTTCATCAAGGATATTGGTCTAAAATTCTCTTTTTTGGTTGTGTCTCTACCAGGCTTTGGTATCAGGATGATGCTGGCCTCATAAAATGAGTTAGGGAGGATTCCCTCTTTGTCTATTGATTGGAATAGTTTCAGAAGGAATGGTACCAGCTCTTCCTTATACCTCTGGTAGAATTCGGCTGCGAATCCATATGGTCCTGGACTTTTTTTGGTTGGTAAGCTATTAATTATTGCCTCAATTTCAGAGCCTATTATTGGTCTATTCAGAGATTCAACTTCTTCCTGGTTTAGTCTTGGGAGAGTGTATGTGTCGAGGAATTTATCCATTTCTTCTAGATTTTCTAGTTTATTTGCATAGAGGTGTTTATAGTATTCTCTGATGGTAGTTTGTATTTCTGTGGGATCGGTGGTGATATCCCCTTTGTCATTTTTTATTGCGTCTATTTGATTCTTCTCTCTTTTCTTCTTTATTAGTCTTGCTAGCAGTCTATCAATTTTGTTGATCTTTTCAAAAAATCAGCTCCTGGATTCATTGATTTTTTGAAGGGTTTTTTGTGTCTCTATTTCCTTCAGTTCTGCTCTGATCTTAGTTATTTCTTGCTTTCTGCTAGCTTTTGAATGTGTTTGCTCTTGCTTCTCTAGTTCTTTTAATTGTGATGTTAGGGTGTCAATTTTAGATCTTTCCTGCTTTCTCTTGTGGGCATTTAGTGCTATAAATTTCCCTCTACACACTGCTTTGAATGTGTCCCAGAGATTCTGGTATGTTGTGTCTTTGTTCTCGTTGGTTTCAAAGAACATCTTTATTTCTGCCTTCATTTCGTTATGTACCCAGTAGTCATTCAGGAGCAGGTTGTTCAGTTTCCATGTAGTTGAGCGGTTTTGAGTGAGATTCTTAATCCTGAGTTCTAGTTTGATTGCACTGTGGTCTGAGAGACAGTTTGTTACAATTTCTGTTCTTTTACATTTGCTGAGGAGTGCTTTACTTCCAACTATGTGGTCAATTTTGGAATAGGTGTGGTGTGGTGCTGAAAAAAAAGTATATTCTGTTGATTTGGGGTGGAGAGTTCTGTAGATGTCTATTAGGTCCGCTTGGTGCAGAGCTGAGTTCAATTCCTGGGTATCCTTGTTAACTTTCTGTCTTGTTGATCTGTCTAATGTTAACGGTGGGGTGTTAAAGTCTCCCATTATTGTTGTGTGGGAGACTAATCTTCTATTCACTTCTGTTAGAACTCTGCAAGGTTTGATGCTGTGTGGAGATCACACAGCGGCCAGGCAGTTGCTAGAATCAGAACTCCTGCCCTGGTGCCTTTCACTTTCCCTGGTATCAGAGGGGCCCACAGCCTGCCTCTTAATAGATTAATTATCTGCTGGGAATGAGAATATTAGATGTAAGAGATCTGACAGAAATAAGAGAAAACCTTTGAAAAAGCTATGAAGGCAGCAATATTTTTAATAATTTCTAAAGTGGGAAACTTAGGGAAAATAGTTGCTACATCATCAAGTCTGCGACAATGCTCACAGAAGTGTTTTCCAAGGAATGCTGGAGTATTTAACCCTGATCAAGCCGTCAGTGGTGCAATCCCCTTTAATAGACAAACTGAAGTTAGACGTACAGGACAACCTACTTCTGGTGACACAGCTCGAGGGGTGGCAGAGCTAATATTGAACCCAGGTCTGTCTACAAAGAACTATTACTGAGAAAATGTCAATGCCTTTTACCCCAAGCTAGGATTTATGTACCTATATTTAAAGATAGTAAAAACATTACTGAAATGTGATACTCAGTCATATATGCAACAATATACTAAATTATTCATTAATATCTTAGCAAAATCTTATGAAGTTTCTCAGAAAGCTCTTCGCCACAGTATGTGAGCTTGGTATGAACTGGAAGCCACCTTAAAAACGAAAGGTAAAGAACAACCTGCTACGGGTGGAAAGGGCTGCCAAGGCATAGGCCATGCTGAGACCAGTGGGTTTCTCTGAAAGTTACTGTGAAAACAGAAAAGCATATATTTGCTCACTCGTAAAAGGTCTTTTAAAGTGATAGTTTTTTCCCCAAAAGGTCAAGAAGCTGTAGGTGAGGCTCAAACTATTTGCTGAAAATTTAGCACATGAAACTCTCCAAAGGGAGACAGTAACTGCGCATAAATAACAGTATCATCTGTGACAAATTAACAATTACAAGCTCCATCAATCCCTAAACTTAATAGGAATATATGTTATTTTGTCGTTGGGTCGGGGGACATGTTGCCCTTGGGATTCCACAGTAAAACTAAGTATATGAAGTATTGGGTTAGATCATTCTGCCTTCTTTAAAATGTCTTAGAATTGGTTAATGATATAAAAATTCAATTCTCACAAAGTCACTTATTTAGAATCTAAGTATTCTCCATTCGGTGATCTTAGAATAATTTTATAACAACATTAAATAACCTAGATTTTATACTCTTTCATATATGAAGTACCACCAAAAAAAATATGGTCAAGGGTTATGATTGACTACAAAGTCAATCAGCAGGCACTTTTTTGTTGTCCTTGTAAAATGTGTGTAAACACAAAGTCGAGTAATTCAAAAGATACTGAAAAAGTTGGTTAGTTAGCATTTAGATGAAAATAAAGATAGGTTCCAACCAAGACTCTTTAAATTAAAACACATTTCAAATAAATAAATAGAGATGAAAATATGAAAAACAACATTTAAAAAGTAGAAGGAAATAAACATATATGATTAACAAAAGCAAAACAAAAAAAAAATCTTAAGGTTAAAAAGGCCTTTGTGTAAGCACCTCATAAATTTAGAAGCCATAGGAAGGGACTTAAAAATCTGACCACAATGGACCAATGTTAATCTCCTAGTTTTGACAAACCATGTACTATGGTTATGTAAGCTGTTAACATTGGGAGATCCTGGGTGAAGGATCTGTACAATCTTTGTGACTTTTCTGTAAATCTGAAATTATTGCCCAATTAAAAGTTTTTTAAAAATCTAGTTGAATTTCTTATTCTGAAAAAAATTCCCTGGGCAAAATCAAAATAGAAATGATGGTCTTTCTTTAATATGCAAAAAGTTCTCACATATCAATAAGAAAAAGACAAAATAACCCAACAGGAAACAAAAGCAAGCATTTTACCAAGGAACCCCAAACAATCAATGAAAATAAGGAAAAATGTTCAACCTTACCTAATTAAAATCCAAAAAATTAAAATGAGGACAATTTTCAAAGCACTAAATTTTAAATTCTACTTCTCAGAATTGATTATACACAGACTTGTGCAAGTATAGAAAGATGTCTATAAATAGGTTCCACAATTAACTTTGCTTCAAATCACTCCAAAAAAGGACCAAAGCAAACCAAACAAAACCTCGGGAGACTTTAAATGTATATTAATAATAGGGACTTAAGATAAATGTGAGAGCATCACTTGGGTACACATATACAATAAAGGAATAGGCAGTCACTGGAAAAAACAGAGCTGTCTGAATCATGCTGTTTAACAACTCTTAATGGCACAGTCTCTATCCCAAATTATCATAATTTACTGTAAATCGTGTTTCAAGACTTCTTCCGTATGACCACAACTTAATATCTACACTGAGTGGAAAGATTTCTGAATTAATTTGTCATAGTTTATTTCTATTTATCAGCATCCATAGTATAAAAAACTTTCAGTATGCTTGACTTCCACACTTAATTCTAAATTCTGAAAATCTGGAAAGATATCAAGCTCCGAGAGCGGAATCATGCCATGCAAATGGTAGCCAACTACTCAGAAGACACTCTGAGGACGTCTAAGTAAGTAGAGCAGGAAGACCCTGGCTGTTAAGGCAAATTAAAACTAAACTGGGTCTTCTGTAAGCCAACTGATTTAAATTAATTTCTCTGAACTATAACCTGTTTGAAAAATAACCTTAATGTATTCAGTGTTAATCTAAGATTTGAAGAAAAAGTGTTGGGGTACACACAGACTAATCACAGAATTACAGGTTTTCCAGGACAAGTTTCACCAAGATTGTATATTCACCTTAGAATTAACTACTCCTAAGATAACTTGATCTTAACAAATCCCAACTAAAAATTCAACTGGAGGTAACATCAAAGCCGTTTATTTAAAACTCCCATATCTGCACCATTTTTTTCTTTAAAGCAACACTTAGATGGTCAGCATGGTTTACATATGTTTATCAATCCCAGATGCACTGACTAAAGGAAGATTATAGCTTAATTAAAGCCCTGGCAGGGTCAGTTACGTTCACATGCAAGATGCTTCCACGGAGTGTCACTTGGGTACAATCAATTAAAATGCACCGTGAATTGTCAAATGGAAAAATCCAAAACAGGGAGCCCGCTGTCGCACTAACGATTCTTGCATGCATGAAGAGGTTAATTTATATTGTATTCTGATGCATGCATATAAAAGTCATATTTATATCAGATATTCATAGCTTACTTAGATGATTGATATCAATTTCTCTTCATATTATGACCAGCAAATAAAACACACGGCGGTTCTAATATAAAGAAATAACATGTGACAAGGTTCCCTAAAACATTTCTATTTTGGACCTCACAAGCTAAATTGCTTTTGCTGGCCCCTTCCACCTCTCAGCATGGTTGACAGACAAATTGATCGAAACATTGGAAAATAATATGCTTGCAAAATTTCTCTGGGTGAGTTTTCAGTCTTTTGAATTTTTCATACCAGAACAAAATGAAAGATTGCCTCCTTGATTTTTCCTCCATTATGCGGCCCCGTCTTATGTACTACAGGAACATACAATACTTCAAACAGCAGCCATACGTTGTAAACAAAACGTATAACATTTTTCATAAAACACCCAAGCTCTGTGAAGTTCAGAGCTGGGTAGCAGGCATCTTTGCCCTGCAGATTATGTTGTTCAATTATAATGAATTCATATATTTCAAGTTGCCTTAGGGCCTCTCATTAGACTTAGGGGTGTTTATTACAGGAAATATCGCCTGTATCATTTAAGAAGTAAGAAGGCTGGGTGATTTGATTAGAAATGTTGACAGTTGAGGTGTGTAAAGAATATGTCATTCACTCTCAGTCTCCAACTGCAATATTAGGATCCTTCATTTTTTATGACTTCTTTAAAACCCCCTTTGAACTGCGGAAATAGGGAACCAAGAAGAAACTTTGTGTGGTGTGTGCTCATACACTAACAACAGGCCCTGATTTCTATTCGACTTGTTACTCTTAAGTGTATTGATGCCATTTCACAGCCGAAGAGATTATCTAAAACAAATTTAACTTCTAATTATGCTCAGCCACATATAACCAAGGATATAGGGAAAACACCAAAATATTCCTATATTATCTTGACAGACCTTGTCTACCAGTTAACAACCATAACTGCCTCCATGTTCTGTTCTTCAGACACCCCAGGCCCTCAGGCCCTTATAGAATTTTTAAATTAATGTCTATAGTATTAAAGGATAGGCAGAATCCTCATACATTTAAATTTACACCTCATGAAAATTCTTATTAACTAAATTTTTCCCTCAATACTCGCAGGTCAAGAATCGATGAATAGTCAATTTTTTTCAGTCAAAATTAAACAAATCATAAAAAATGGCATAATTCTCAGCATTGCAGATTAGATTTAGTAGGTAATATCTGCCAGATATGAAAAACAGAACTCATTATGTTGCACTAAAATAATTTTCATGGCAGTATTTTCATTTCACTTCATCAACTTCACCAGTTTTGATAAGTTCACTACAATATTTCACAAAATAACTTGGTTTGAAAATAGACTTTGTAGGTCCCTCTCCGGATGACCCGGGATGTGCCTCGTGACACGTGGGCACAGACCGTGGCCGGAGGCCCAGGTGGGCTGGCCCCGGATCTGCAGCATATTTGGTGACACACCTCAATCAGCGTCACTGGACTCGTGACCTGTAAGCACCGGGTGGAACCCGGGTGCTGCTGACTTGCAGAGCTACACCAACAAAAGCCCAGGATTTCTTGAACAACAAAATTCTTAGTTAAGGATACAAAGTAACATAGCCTTTTGTTCCTACTCAAAGCCTTTGATTCTTGCACTTACTTGGATTCTGGTTTAATTATTAGTTGATGAGAATAAGACCAATGTCAGTGTGCAAATGTGTGGGCAGTCTGCTGCGGCCATGCACGTGAGGGTCTGCGGAGGGTGCTGTGGCCAAGGGCCATGGAGATAACTTGGTAAAGGGAAATGGAACTTTCTCTTCGCACAGACAAAAGATGTACTTTGGCTTAGGCTGCAGAGTTAGTCTACACTCAATTATGGAGGGCAAGCAATGTTCAGGCGGGCAAAGAAACAAAATTCTCCTGATAAAATCAAAAGGAAAACAAATGTTTGTGTGAATGTGTTGGTGGCTCTGAAGGCAAAAAGTAATTCACAACCTGCAGGCACACCCCCATCATCCCAATACCTATAAGGTCACCTGTGCCTGTTGAGAACACGTCCCACAAAGGGACACTCACTTGTCTGAAGTGGCACTGCCGAGACAGCACTCCCCGGGCTCAATCTTCCGTTCCTCCTGCATCCTCCCTGATGCACAAGGTCAGGAGGCAAAGGAGTGTTTCTTTCATGAGTCTACAACCCACCAAGGTTGTCAGCAACTGGCCCACAGTCATGGTCCCCTCATGACTGGGATTCTGGGCATCACCCAAGTCAGGCCCGGGTAAGAGCACAGGAGGTTGAGGTCCCTTGTAATACCAGGCAAAGCCAGGCAACAGCAGGGGCCGTCCCAGCACGTCGGGAGGAAGGGGCTCTGAGGTAGGAATATCCTCTGGAAGACCAGTCTCTAGCGTGGATGATAAATGAACTAGTTATGATGTGAAGCTCTGAGAGGGCAGCTAACCCGAGGACAAGGCTGTGCTGGATTCGCCTGAGCCACTCGCAGGCTAGCCGTAAACAGGATGACAACGCCAACTACTGTTGTCACTATTTCCATTGCCACCCTCACCCCCGCCCCCACCACGACCTCAGAAAACTGACTTCAGCATCTGTGCGCCGGAGCCGGGCCAGGTGTTTTATGTCTATCGTCACATCTGAACCTGCGAGGCAGGCATGAGAGTGCCGCATTAGCAGAGGAGGAAGTCACAGCTCACGAGTTCAACAGCTGAGGTAACCTGCCAGAGCCCGTAAGTGGCCGAGCCGGAGTGTGGGCCCAGCTGTCTGACGCTAAAGCCCATCATCTCATACCCTGTGGGGAGATGAATGGGCTGGAAGACATTAGCCAGGCCTGCCTCACACTGTCATAAAGGAATACAGAAGCCCAATGTGTGAGGCAGCCCAGGAAAGGCTGCTCCTGTATTTCATGCAAGAAACTGCATAGAATGCTTTGAAAACCTGGATTCCAGGAATGTACTTCAACCTACAGAATAAGGAGAGGACTGGCCAGAGCTGTTGCAGCGCAGGAAGAAATGGCGGGCACTGGTGGCTGCAGTCAGGAGGGGGCAGGGAAAAGGGGGCAGAGGTGGGCAGGAGAGCCAGGACCAGGGCCAGCTCCCATGCTACTCCAGAAACCAGAGCCCTCCAGGTCCATAGGAGCTGTCAGAGGGAGGAACTCAATGAAATCATCTCCAGAGGGGTCTCAGAAACTGGAGACTTTAAAAGATATTTTACCTTTTTTTCCTCTTAATTCAGCCTATAAAAAGTGGTCACCAATGACATATTTCTAAAATGTCTCCCAAGCACCTCAGAAATTCTATTGTGTGTTTTTTTTAACTATCCTATGATAGTTTGGACCAAGATCAATTAGTTTTTAACTTGGAATACAGCAGAAGTTCTTCGGTGTCGTCTTTGGAAATGTCTGATTCACGCTTGCCTCTCCAATCCCAGGACATTTGCCCCCGTGCAGGGCTTCCTGAGTGAGGGCTCCTGACGAGGAGGAATCCCAGGCACAAGGAGACCCCCAGGTCCCCGTGGCACCCCAGTGTCCTGAGCTGTAAACCTGCTCCCCTGTCAGGACAGCACCAGAATGGTCCTTCACATCTTGGGAATAACATCATTATCACAGTCCTTTAAAAAGCACCAAAAACCTCAAGTGAAGGCAGGAGGCCTGGAGGCCTCTACAGTTCAAAATCTCCAAGTAAAGCGAGCTTAATGTGATGTCTGCACATAAAAACAGCCAGGCTGTCTCGGCCCATTCCTGACTTCTATACTTTTTAATGGTTGGTTTGCATTTAAAGCGTATTTCTCTGAATTGTTTATTTTGTTTTAATGTCTCTTAAAGTGCAACACTGCCTAATATCTTATAAAAGCTACGATGGGAACAGTAGCATTCTTAAGTTAGGAGTGACAAATCCAGGAAAACCTCTACAATTTGGCTTCCATATCTCTGAATTGGTATTTCAATGACAGATGTTTGTTGCGGCAAAAACCTCTGTCAGAACAAAATTAGGTGATCTATCATTTTAAGATATGGTCTTCATATACTGTTTACTCGAAGATATCACTTGCCTCAAGCCAATTTTGACCAAGAACATTTTGTGATATGGAAGTGATTTGTATATCATCATTTTTGTGATAAATGTAGCTCTTGAACACAAAATAACCTACCATTCCACAGTATTACAGTTAAAACTCCGACACCAGTAAATCTGTACCCGTGCTTTTATTACTACTAAGATACTGTATCTAGACTCCAGGAGGTTTTTTTTCCCCTTGAATAAGGTTGCTACTTCCCTGCCTCCTGGCCAGGGACAGGATTTTCAACCTACTGTTGGGGCACCCTGAACCCCATGATCATCCCATTCCTGAATCTTCTTAGGGTGATGGCTCTTTCTCGCCGGGACCCCTCCCAGGGTTTCCAGGATGCTCAGTGGCACTTGCTACGCTACCCACAGCTCTCCAGCACCAACGAGTTATGGGCAAGAAGGCCACTGGCTCTCTGGGGGGGTCTGTCCTGCTGGGTCTATGATGGGGACATGGGATGGGGGTGGGAGGTGGCAGGGAGCAGTCATTCTTCTTGGAACAGACAATGCCCCTTAGAGCTGAGAACTACTTTCCTAGGTGGCTGTGAGAGGTGGAGGGGACGGGCCACAGGCTGGATGGGTCTGGCCGATGACCACCCGCACGGGCTGAACGCAGTGGGAGTCCGCAGGCGGGAGAAGCACAAAGGCATTTGTTTCTGGTGAAAAAGGAAAACAAAGCAGCTCTAAGGATCCCTTTTCCGGGTCTCTAAAATGGAAACACTCGAAAACACGAGCTGCCTCAGGGAGCCAGGGCATCAAGACGCACACTCCGGTGACGTGACAGGGACAGGCACCCATTTGTAACAGTTACGTGTCACCCGCCAAGAGAGATGGCACCTCCTGGGTATTGATCTCCATTGATGACGGATTGCTCACTGGCCACTCAGTCTCACTGCCCCAAAACAAAGACCCCTCTCTTAGAGCCTCTGTTCGCCACGGGGGCTCCCCAGCCTGCAGCTCTTCAAAAATGTGGACTTTCCGCAGCTCCTCCGTGGAATCAGAGGGACCCTGGGGCAGAGCTGAGGAATACCAACTTCATGGGGCCTCCGAGAGAAAAGTCCCAGACCCTCCCTATGGCACCTGAATCTCCGCAGGCCTTCAACGAGATCCAGCCAACGACCAACAGTGGGAGAAGAGAAACAGCAAAAATCCCACGGGCAAAGGGGTATGTGTAGGAATGCGAGGGCTGCTGTGGTCCTCAGTGCAACACCTCCACCAGGATGATGATGGGCCCTCCAGAGAGACACGGAATGGGAAGCTCGGGGAGGAAGTGGGAGAGGACAATGAGCTCTGGATAGGCATCATCCTGGTGGGACAGAGGCCTGGAAGAGAGAGAGGGTCCAGGCAGAGCCAAGGTACATCCGCCCAGAGCACTAAGGCCACATCAGAGAAGGCAGCTTGGTTTGGAATCCCAGAGCCAGAGCAACCACTCCGAGCGAGCATCTCCTTGGCAACGTAGTCGAATGAAACAGTCAGAGCTCTGCCTCACCTCTGCCCAAGGCTTGTGCTCGGCCTCCAGGAGCTCTGTGTCCCGAGCCCCTGGCACCTAGACAGCCAAGAAGCAGGCTGGAAGTCCAGCTCTCCATCCCCTACACCCTGAGACCAGGCAGAGCAAAGTAGAGCCTGGGGGCACTGGGAACCCTGCTCTAGCAAGTCCCCAGCCCTGGAGAGCTGGTACAATAGGCAAGTGGCCAGGCCACGTGTGAATGACCAGAGGAGCTGAAGAAGGAACAGAGCTGCAAGAGTGGCCTACGAACCTGAACTGGACAGAACTCAGACCTGTGGCTCCAGCCTGCCTGGGGCCCCGGCAGGAATCACAGGCCCCGACCACGGTGTCTTCCCTGGCAGTGGTCACTCTAAAGACGCTCCGGTCCAAGCCCCAGCAAAAAAAGCACCAGGACCTCTGGAAACTCAGGGGTCTTCTGGGTGGTGGCATTTCAATGAACTGCAGCACAAAATGAACTGCTTCAAATAACCCTCGATCATCAAGATCACCAGGATCTCACAGTAGGGCCGCTAATCCACGGGGAGACGGGGCGCCAGGGTCTTCTTCCATCACCACGTTCAGATGCTCCTGTGGCTATGGCAGAAGAACATGGGCTGATCAAGTCAGAGTTCCAATCAGACTTTCACGCGGCTCCTGTTACAGGTGCGCATGTACACACCGTGTAATTAGTGAGGTGTCTACCACATCCAAAGCAACAAGAAATTACAGTGGAGCATAACAACTACTAAATGTCAATATTTTACATTCATTTTCAATATATTTTTCTTTCAGCCACAAGAAAGGAATAGTTGAAACATACGGTAGCATATTCATCATTCAACAAGATATATTACAACACTCGTCAAAGAGGCTGAGGGGTCCACACACCAATATTACATTTTTCTAACATATCTACTGCATATTATTCAAAGTGATGCTTTCATAGCCTTGTAGATCAGTTCAGAGGGTAGACTGTGTCTTTCACTATTTTTTTTTTTTTTACTGTCTTTTACCTGCCAGTAGCTCAAGGTACCTATAATTCTTTAAACTCCACATGTACGAGGAAATGACACTACACTGGGACACGGTCCTCAGTCACTCAGCGGCTGCACAAGCTGTTTTCGCGCCGGGCCCCACACGAGGAGCAGGCTTCGGTCCTGCCACACCCCGGCCCCGCCGGGCAGGCTACACGCAGCGCCCAGCTAGATGCCCCTCTTTCCCCCTTCCCAAGACGGCAGAATGTGCGTGTCGCAAAGTCAAGCGCCCTCCATCTTTTTTCATGAAGGCTTTAATCTGCTGGGGGAAAGACAAGGCAGCCTGCAGATGAGTGACAGCCTGTTTATGGCGCCATCCGCCAGCACCATGCTGGAGGAAGGGACCCTGAGGGCAGTGGCCATAGGTGGGCGCTGGGAGGGGCGGTTCTGCTCAGTGGCTGCCCCGGGAACTGGCCTGAGGGCCTTGAGGCAGGCCTCCTAGAAGAGCCAGTCCCCAGAAAAGAGGCTGAGGGGGGCGTGTGAGGAAGGAATACAGCAGGGGAAAGGGAAGAAAACAGGAAGACAGAGGAAAAGAAGGGCAGGAGGAGGAGGAAGAGGAGGAAGGAGAGGAGGAGGAGGAAGGAGAGGAGGGGGAGGAAGGAGAGGAGGGTGAGGAAGCAGAGGAGGGGAAGCAGGGGAGGAGGAGGAGGGGGAGGAGGAGGAAAATGAGGGGGAGGAGGAGGAAAATAATGAGGAGGAAGAAGAGGAAGATGAGGAAGTGGAGGAGGAAAATGAGGAAGTGGAGGAAGAAGGGGAGGAGGAGGGGAGGAGGAAGGGAGGAGGAAGGGGAAAGACAGGAAGGGGAGAGAGAGGAAGAAGAAGGGGAAGAGAAGGAGCAAGGGGTAGAGGAGGAAGAGAAGGAGGAGGAGGGGGAGGGGAGAGGAAGGAAGAGGAGGAGGAGGAAGGGGAGAAGAGGAAAGAGGGGGAGGAAAGAGGGGGGAGGAAGGAGAGGGGGAGGAAGGAGGGGGAGGAAGGAGAGGGGGAAGAGGAGGAGGAAGGGGAAGAGGAGGGGGAAGGGGGAAGAGGAGGGGGAAGGGGGAAGGAGGGGGAGAGGAGGAAGAAGTGGGGGAGTGGAAGAAGAAGGGAGGGGGAGGGGGAGGAAAGGTAGGAAGCTTGAGGGGAGGAAGAAGGGGAGGAGGTCATTTTCAGAACAGAAAGTCACCCCCACCTGTCTTGCCCATCACGAGGCTGAGGTCGTGCCCACATCCAGCCTTTGTCCCTTTGGCACTGCCAACAAGACCCAAACCAGCCCACCACTGTTCCACCACCTCTGGCTACTTCCAAACACACAAGGCCAAAGGATGGCAAGGGAGACAAAGGGTGAAGCTTTCACCTTCCGCCGGGCACGCTGCATGCGGATACTCAGTGGAAAGTTCTCCATTGCTGGGCACTGAGGCCATTAACGCAGTGCGTTCCCGATAGCACCAGGTTGATCCATCCTCCTAATGATCACACCGAGGCACGGGAGAACCAGAAGGGGCCTGTGAATCACAGATTCAATCACATTCTGGGTAATTTTAAGGTTAAGTATATTTAATTGTATTGCAGTACTCCAAAAATTAGCAACCCATGAACGACGGAACTCCGCTCTCTCCCAGCACTGTCCCTGGGCTGACCTTGCCTCCTAGCAGGAAGGTAAAGGCCTGGGCAGAAAGGGGAGCTCCGCATGCTCACACCACATCCAGGTCTTTTGATTTTTTTTAAAAAATTAAATTTTCATGACAAAACTCATAATTGAAAACCATTTATCTTACAGCAGTAAAGAATTGTTAAATACATGAATGGGAGTATATGAATGTAGGGGACAGAAAGTGGTAACTGAGGTCACAATACTGACCAGGGAGAGCCACACTCTCCAGAGAAACCACAGAAGACTCGGCCTCAGGACACCAACGAGATCTAGTTCACTAAGCCAGGGCACAGACCGGCAGGGTCATCCTACCCACACACAGTGAGCACGCTAGAAACTCAAACACTGTCCTCGCCTCTGCATCCCGCAGGCCTGGGACCATGGCCAGCACGTAACAGGCACTCAAACAGAGATGTGCCTCGACTTATGATGGGGCTACATCCTGATACATTCAGTGAAAGTTAAAAACATCGACCCTGAAAACACATTCAATACACCAAACGCCATGGTTCCACCCAGCCTGCCTTAAACGTGCTCACAACACTTGAATTAGCTACAGTTGGGCAGCATCAGTGAACACGAGCCTATTTTATAATAAAGTGGTGACTGTGTCATGTCCTTTATTCAATACTGTACTGAGACGCAGAATGGTGGCACGGGCACTTGTGGTACAGTTTCTACTGCACGTAGGCTGCTTCTGCACCATCATAAAGCTCGAAAACTCAAACGCTGAACCACGGTAAGTCGGGGATCATCTGTCGCTGAAGACGAAATAACTGAGGACTTTAACTCAGCATGTGTGTTCCTATTTATTCCTCCCCAGATATTGTGAGATCGGTGTTAACTTCACTTTTACAAAGAAACCTGGCAGAGGCTGCGTAGTCAGTGCGAAGTCCCACAGCCACGTGTGGCCGAGTCACAGCTGGCTCAGCCCCATCTTCTCAGACTCCAGAACCAGCATATCCCCTCCCCTGGCCAGAGTCACTGTCACAAAGTACTGTGTACAAAGTAGACCTAATTCCATCTGTAATGGGGAAAAAAAGCTCCTCCTACTGCTGTCAGAAAATTAACACCCAGTCTGCCTGACACATGCAACTGCTTTCAAGATTAAGAATTTTACATCTGTCACAAAAATGCCCATCACATTTAATGCAGTTATTCCAGGAAGTTCTCTTTGCTAGCTGTCCTCCGATAATAAATCACAAAATCGTCCATGTTTTTGTACCACGAGGCCAGGGCCATGGCAGCCCACTGTAATCAGGTGGGTCACTGACAATCAAATCCCCGGATGGAGCCAAAGACGAACAAGGTGCCAGCAAGGGGCAGGCCAGGTTCGAATGGCGTCCCAAAGACCATTGCATGGAGTTTTCAACGCTCTATCAAGAGACTCACAAGATGCTTAGAACTTAAGCTATAGGGTTCAGAAGGGAATGGTGACGGAGTGTTTTGAAGGATTTTGGTCATGAATGGTATATAATTTTTTACAACAAGTCTTGCTCCATCATAAAAGACTTTATTCACCCATGCCATTCTGAGTCAGAATGGAACGTGCCTCAGCCTACAGCCTGGCGCTGTTCACACATTTTCCTAGCCTTTTATCTGCATGCTAAGCTGTTCCTAGAAGGCTTGGTCTCTTTTTAAATTTCGTTCGAGGGTCCATATTATACAGCTCATTACAAGTGTTCCTAACTCTTAGACAATGACTCTGGAGTCAACGACGTGGCTAATGAAGTAGAAAACTTTAACAACAAATCATTTACAAGTCCTGGGTGCAGTGCTTCTAATGGAGGAAGTTTTTAATCATAAGCAAATGTAATCATTTATGTTAAGCAACCCATGGACCTGGTCAATGTAGCACAAACAGCCATTAAACAAAAATTATGACAATAAGGAAAGAGAATGGTAACACTGCAGACATAGCAGTTTATGCTATTTGTAGACTCCAATAAACTGTGTCTCGGTAAAACTGAACTGAGCCCTCTCCATGCATAATTACATGCTTGAGGGTGGATACCATGTCCTCACAGACAACTATGACCTCCACCATCAGACAAGATATCACCTTGACACCGAAATTGACAAAATCGTTAGAATGGGAAGGTGTAACATTTGGCGCATTGTTTAACTTCTCTGAGCTTCTATTTCCACACCTGAAGAAGCAAGTGTGGCCACAGACAACGGTAGCATCCGGCAAAGAACAGAGAGGCACCAGCAGCTTCTGCTCCCCTCGTCTGGGGTCTCGTGTGGAATGGGCCCTGCTGGGGTGTGGAGGCTCCTTCCCGACCTCCTCGCTCGCCGTCTCACCGCCTGCACCCTGACCCACCCCTGTCGCTGCCCGCACCCACAGAGCGAATCCCAAGGGCCTTCCCCATCGTGACACAGGCAGGCTCCACCTCTCTCTTGTATAGAAAGTAGTAACTAATAATATAGTAAGGAAAGTTAGATACGTGAGATTGGTTAATAGTGAGAATCACGGTGAAAGACATTCCTGAATCTTTAAAATCACTAGGCACCAACTGCAGGTAGAGGGTGAAAGGGCACCTTCCCAGCCCGTCTCAATGGCGTGAAGGGCGGCACCACAGCTCATCCCCACCCTTCCCTTCAGATATAACACTGCTGGCTGGGAAAGGAACACACACACACACACACACACACACACACACACACACACACACTGCTCTTTACTGAATTCAGCTGGAGAGAAAATGTCTGAAAGTTCCCGTTTCTGAAAAGAAACACTCAGTATTCTGTGTTAGTCTCATATTTCGATGCTTTCAATGAAATTCCATAGCAGCAACAGAGACAAAGAAAATCCAGAAACAGAATTTCACCCGACAATATTGTGCTTTAATGGCTGAATGAAAATAATCTGTCTACAGGCCACAATAAAAGACGTTCAGCTGATGAATGTGTCACTGGTTAACTGCTTAATAATTTATATATTTGTATTGAACTTTAACGCTGAATTGTCAGGGCACATAAATACTCAGATAATTCAATGTGAAATGTCTAGATTCTGTGTACACAGTAGGCACTCTGCCACCGTAACCAACAGCAAAAGAACGAAGGAGAGTCTGAAAGTAGGCCATGGTTTGTTTTGCAGAACAGGGTCAAAGTGCATAGGTTTAGCCACGAATGCAGAGTACAAAAGAGACTTAAAGAAACCTTACCAATATCTGTAGATGATCCATATAGGAAATGTCCATTCATTCGCTTGGAAATGCATTACTGCCTGGAGCTGTGTCTACCACAGATTTCCATAATTTATCTATAAAATTAACAGGTGTTTTTCCTTTTTCAAAACAGTAATGCACATTTAATAACGTGTTCTATATCATATACACACTTTTAAACAGCAAAGGTAAAGCAATTCCTTGAATGATCTCAACATATATTCAAACGATCCTCGTTTTTATATAAGAACTTACACATCAGACCCTGAAACTTTGCATTGCAAGGTTCACTGGTATTGGTCAAGAACGCCCCGTGCTCTCCCATCAGAATGATTAATGAAGGCACCTTTTTCACAGAATGTCAGACTCTGCCTTTTTAACAACTGACCTTTCATAGAATACTACTGAACTCATAATTCCACTTTTGCTCCGTTTCTTATTAGTGGAGTTAAATGAATACGATGGGACTGATGGCTAAGGTGACGCACAGTAAATCTTGGAGCACGTCAACCTTCCATGCTGACCATCCAAGGAACAGCACCTGCATTTGTCCATTTCTGCAGCATAAGTATTCTGCTAAAATTCTGTGTCCTTTCAAAAGACAAATTAGGGCAGTCTGCAGACCTCTTCTGAGAACAAAGATGTATATTTTGAGAAAAACTTTAAAAGTTTGTAGGTTTTTTTAAAAGGACCTAATAAAATTGCTAATTTCAATCATAAATTTAAAAAACTTTACTCTTATTCAGTTTTCTGAAACATTCCTGATGACTAAGATGATATATGGCACAACATACTCTATAACCCACATTCATCCTTCCAAGTGACGATTTAATAACCCATCAAGGCAACACAATATGCCAAAACCACTCACCTTACAGCGGGAGTACATGGTAAGAAAAAAAAGATCAGCCGCTAATACCTAAAGAAATCTCCCCTAAAACATTAAAAAAAATGGGAAAATGGAGCTAGAACAGGGGTTTCTTCTAATTATCACTGGGAATAGCAAATTACTTAAGGACTCAATTCTTTCACCATGCCAGCCATTTCCATACTCAGACATACCTAATTTCTATAAACCCCTCAAGGGCCCAAACTAGTTTTAGCTTTAAAGGTCTTATGGGATCGCAGGGCAAAGTAAGAAGGCTATAGTACATTCAATTATTCATTCTTATTAAATATTTGAAAAAAATCATTCTGAATAAATATTGGACGTGTGGTGTACAGGTAAATGTATTGCCTAAGTTGACTCCATACATCACATTATTTTAATCACTCTTAGTATCAGTGAAGTCACTCACCTAAGGAGAGTTAAAGATTTAGGTAAACAAGCAAGATAATGCCTAAGGGTAAACAAAGACACCACGTTCCGACGCAGAAACAGCATCCTGGTCGATGCAAATATTCCAGGAGAACTGGGACATCACCTAGCTGCTGCACAAAACATCTCAGAAGACCAAGCACTGCGTCTCTGAATCCCATATGCCAAAGCTGATTATGGGAGTGAAATGAGAGCACACGCCGCCCCCAGAGCAGAACAGACCAGCCCGGCGTCGGGGATGCAGCTTCCTAAGAAGGGTATCTGAGATCGAAATGGAAAATAACAGAAAGTAAAAGGAAAAAGAGAAATGGCAAAAATGATCTGACACACTTTTCGAAAGGCTCCAAAGCAACTACATTTTCACAAAAGAATGAAAATGAAGATGATAAAAGTGGTGTGGAGCGGGGCTGCCTGCAAGTACTCTCCAACGGCCGTGCAGGGCGGCAACATCAGGAGAGACGCCGGAGATTTCCACAATAACACAACAAAGACTGTAATACCATTTCCAATCTCCAGAAAAAGCCAATGGGAGAGGAAGCTAGCCTTCCATTTTAAAAGAGAAAACAGGAAATTTGCTAACTTGGTGAAAACACACACACCTCCCCACCAGGCAAACTGGCCCCCGCCACCACAAAGGCAGAGGCGCTGAGGACCAGGGCCACGCTCTGCATCACTGGTAATAAACACGAATCCCAAAGAAAGGCCATAAAATATTGATATTCTTCACTTCTGCAAAGATAACAACAAATTCATGAAGGAAAAACACCCACAAATCTTCCTATTTGCATCCTATAACGTTTCCACTAAGGGTGTGGTTCATCGTACTATTAGACTTATTCAAAATGGGCAGTATTTCAATGAGGATTTCCTAGAAAAGACCACCTTCAATTTCATAGCAGCCTATTAATCAAGGTGTTATACATTTATATTTGGCCATTTATCAACAATAGATGAGCTCTCAATTTTAAAAAGACTCCGAAGCGCAAGTACTGGAAATACCCCGACCCCATCCACACCTGACCCCGGGCGCACAGGGGGCCTGTGCGGGCTCTTCACGCACACGTGGGATGATGTGGTGTTACGGGGGCCAAGGTAAACCGGGAAACCTCTTCCCGCAGCTGTCCAGAGGGAAGATCAGGACCACTTGCCAGTTAAAGGTTTAAAATGAGGCACAGCACACTGCAAGAGGCCCTTCATTTCCTACAGAAGACAGATGACACCAACTCATCACCAAAGGCAATCTTACATTTGTAGACCCAATATTTTGGATTATATGCTCTTCCCAAATATGCATTGATTAGCTCAGTTCAAAAAGTTGACTACAAACCTAGGCATCCACACTCATCAAATCTAATAATTCTACTTCTGAAAACATGTCATAGAGGAAAATTTCAGGTTACAGAGGCTTATGTCCCATTATTATAATTGGGAAAAATTATAATGGGTTCCTGTTCTAGCTAAAAACCCACAACCAACTTCCCCAATTATCATTAAAATGCTTTATAAACACCGACATAAAAATCCAGAGATTTCTGCATTATCTAATTTGAAACAATAATTACCGAGTTATGTAATATTTACAAAATTCATTAGTGTGTACATTTGTGTGTATTTTAAGGTCCTAGGTTATTATCTGAGGACAATTACAATTTACTTCTATCTTAGAAGAAATATATGCAGCAACACAATGATTAAAGTATGTTAAAGAGCCTAAAAATACCAATAAAATTCTACCCGAGTTGACAGGGACCCAGAGTCTCGGGCAGAAGCAGACAAGGAGATCTAAGACAGTTAAACCCTTAGGGAAAGGTGGGAAGATGTCAAAGAAAAAGCCCAAGAAGTTAAACAAGGAGATTGTCAGACAAGATACTGCTAGGAGAAGACCAAGATACAGGGCGAGTACATTTTACATCTCATGGCACATCTGACATAGTTCCTCTTGCTTCCTCGAAATTAGCACATGCTTTCTGATAGGATAATGGTTGGTAGGATAAGATGCTTCGTAATTTGTTATTGTATTTGGATAATGAGAGGAGGTGGATATCTGTATTTCCCGCTCCACTCCAGGGACCACGAATTAATGAAGACCAGTAAGAGGGCGAAGCGAGTCTGACTGTGGAGCATGCAGCCCAGGTCACAGCAATTTACAGAAGGGACACGCCACCGCACAAACGTTCTGAAAGACGGTGAACACTCAACATCACGGGCCCCCCTTCAATGAAGGGTAGCCTCACAAACATTCCACGTCCCGCCCCAGAACTCAAGGGAAAGCTGGTCTCACTAGCCCTACGACAGAACAGAAACAAGTTGTGAAAAAGTGATTTGGGACTAACATTGCTCACCACAGCCAGTTTTTAAATTCTCTGTTGAATTTGGTTTTAATAATGGATGCCTTCTCAAACCTTTCTTTTCAAATATGTGTAAAATACCATTTTCATCATTTGCCTAGAACGCTCCTGCCCGTCCTGACTTTGCCGTCGGTGTTTATGAACACTGTCTGGGATGGCGGCGCCTCTTCTACAGCAGGACGTTCCCGCTGCAGCAAGACGGTAAAGCTGAACTGCACAGCATCACCAAACCCACCGACGAGGCTGCGTTCTTCCGCCAGGGCTGCCCTGACGAAGCCCTGCAGCCTGGGTGCTGCAAGTCTGAACCCAAGGTGTAGGCACAGCTGGTTTTCTCCAAGGCGCTCTCTCCTTGGCTTGCAGAAGGCAGCCTTCTCCCAGGGTCCTCACGTGGCCATCCCTCCGTGTGTCTGTGCCACAACCTCCATCTCATGGGGACACCGGTCACACTGGGTGAGGGGCTCCTCTAATGACCCTGAGTTACCCTAATCACCTTTCTAAGAGACCCTATCTCAAAAATACTGTCACATCCAGAGGTTCTGAGGATGAGGACTTCAACACCTAAATTTTGGGGGCCACGTGCTACACAGAGACCAACAGAGCGATCCCGAAAGCACTGCTTGGTCTCTGTGAGACGCGGAGGGTTAAATGGCGATGAAACCCCCCAGCGCCATCAGGGTCCAAGGCAAGAGTCACCAAAAACATGGACTCTGTAAACTGAGGAGACACAAAACCACTTGGAAGCCCACATTTCACAGCTGATGATGGTTTCTGAAGAGGCAGAAGAGCCCCTCGACAGCTCCCTGGAGGGTGCCCCGTTTTGAGGAGGTCCAGCCAGCGCTCAGTTCTCCGAATGCCTGCAGGGTTCCCGCTGGCCCTAGAGAGTCCCAGTGGGAGTGAGAAACTGGGTAAAGAACATTCAGGACTCTGACGGAGTTGCCGAAAATAAAACTTGGAATTCGTGCTACTTTTCACCTCCCATCTCTATAATCACACCATTCTTTGTTAAGAGCACATATATTCCACTCTTCTAACCCTTCACTTACAGGATCTTTATTTTTTATTTTATTTTTTTTTTAGAGACAGGGTCTCACTCTGTTGCCCAGGCTGCAGTGCAGTGGCATAATCACAGCTCACTGCAGCTCTGAACTCCTGGGCTCAAGCGGTCCTCCCGCCTCAGCCTCCTGAGTAGCTGACACTGCAGACGCCTTCCACCAGGCCTGGATAATTTTTTTTTTTTAAGTTTTTTTGTAGAGACAGAATCTATGTTGCCCAGGCTGTTCTCAAACTCCTGGCCTCAAGTGAGTCTCTTGCCTTGGCCTCCCAAAGTGCTGGGATTACAGGTGTGAGCCACCACGCCCGGCCTATGGATCTTTACAATTTCTTGAGTGCCCCCTGGGCTAGGCCCTGTGAGGGGTACTAAGGCCAGCAAGATAGACATGGTCCCTGTTCTCCAGGACTCACAGCAGACAGCACGGCACGGAAGGAGAACAGCGCTCGGGCAGAGCGGGCTCAAAGTGCTGGACAGGCTCAGGCAAGGGATCTGAAGCAAGCCTGGGAGTGCGAGGGCTCCCGGCTCAAAGACAGGGACATCTAAGGAGGCCTATGAAATATGTGGGCAGCGGGTAGGGCAGGGTGGAGGTGGCTGCTGAGCACGCAGGGGCGACCTTAGGAAGTGGTAGAAATAGCACCATCGTCATCCTCATCAACGGCAGCAGTTGCCATTTATTGAGTGCTTACTATGGGGTGGCGTTGTTCTAAGAGTTTCCTGCTGGTCAGCTCATTTAATTGTCCAACAATCTATGTGGTTAGATGCTATTATAGTCCCCATGTGTGATACCTGGGGAAACTGAGGCATGGAGTGAAGTGATTTGTCCACTTTATAGCTGTAAAGTAGAGGAGTTAGGAATCTCGCTCCGGAGACAGCGTTCACACCACACAATGTCACTTCTGAGCTATGGGCCACTGGGTAATAATGCCAGGAAGTACAGGCTGGCATACCTGCTGTTCAGAGTGAAGGGTCTAAGTACAAGAACGGAGGGGCTAGGAAAACACAGAGCTAATGCTTTCTTATCTTAAAAACAGTGAGGAGTCACTTAGGGTCACATTTGATTTCAGAAGCCAACCTGCAATACAGAAAGGGGTGTTACAGACAAAAAAGCTACAGGGAGAAAGGCCAAAAAGCAAGCTTGCTCAGGAAGCACTCACCCAGGGCTACATAGTGTTCATCGAGACTGTTTACTGCAGCCCAGTAAACAGAAACAAAAACATAGAGGTTCACCAGGACATAGACAGTTAAAATACCACCACGTACAACCACGCAACAGGCCTTAACAAAGAACCAAGCACAGACCTTGAAAAATCATGCTTAAAAAGATGTCAGAACAAGAAAAATGCTTAAGATATAAAATTAAGTAGAATTCAAAACTGATTTTAAATATGTCGATGAAAACAAAAAAAAAGCTAGAAGGAATTACACCAAAAGACTATCACTGATTAATGGAACTGATTCTTATTTCCTTTGTACTTTCTGTATTTGCTAAAAGGAGCATCAAGTCCCCAGATGGCGTATGACCCGTCATCACCTGCGTGCTGCTCACGGCTGCAGTGTGTGATGAGGATGCACATCAGGTCACAGAATAGGTGTTCAGAGGCGGCCTGGCCGGCCACAGGGCCAGCAGGTGCCCAGCTCTCCCCATCTTTCTCATTGGCAGCACGCCACCTTTCAGCCCCAGTCCCACGCCCTCATGGTCACATAACAGCTGCCCAGCTCCCTCCTGCAATCACATTCACACAACTGTGTCCGCAGACTGGGGAGCCGGGAGAGTCTTCCTCATGCTGCTCTTTGTATCAGGGGAGAAACGTCTTCCCCAGGAGCCTGCCAGTAGGCCTACGCTTCTCACACATACCCGCTCAGTGAGGCAGAGAGAGCTGGCACCTGCACTCAGCCTTTCCAGCGGGAGACAGAAAGAAGGAATGGAGGCCACGTTTGGGGCAGGCAGGCAACAAGACCCCTGGCCTCCTCCCTGTGAAAGTGACCCTGATGCTCCACTGGTCTTCAATGCCTTTTGTGTATTTCTACCACTCTCTCCTTGTGCCTCCAGGACTGATCTGCCACCATCTCTGTCTCCCGCAGTAGACAAAGCTCCTTGAGGCCAGGTTGTGGTTTCTCGTCATTCCGTCAGCATGGTGCCACACACGAGACACAGAAAGCTCCATCAGCGTTTGCTGAAAAGAGTTCTCATTTTAATTCATTCCTTTGTTGAACGTACTCAACAAAAATGGACCACGTGTCCCCCGGGCCCACAGGTTCACATGCGCTGGTGAACAGATGCAAAAACCACTGCTCGCAAGGTGCTGGGGGCCAGAGAGGGTCACCTCACTCCAAGGCACCTGCGTCCAGGAATTCTGCCTGCTCCTAAGTCTACTTCAGCAGCCAGGGTTTCCTTTGCACCACAATGAATAAAAGTCACGCAGAAATCTGACTTTGTGAAAATGATACATCTATCTCACTTCACTTCAACATAATGTAATATCACTAATATTAATAATTCTACCTCTAGAAATTATACTAGTCTCCCAAAGAAAGAGTCCTTGACCCAAAATATCAGAGGATATTAAACTGAGAAATGATCTACTGATGCAAATCATTAAATCTATTTGCATTTGCTTACTGAACCCTATCGCAGAAATTAAACTCCATGCGGTGGGAAGCTGGCTGCGCATGGTTAAGAGGAGACATCGTGGTGGATCCAAGCTCTATGTCATTAATTTTCCCACTTTCCCTCATTAACAAGTAAAATGTTTTTACTGCTTGAAAAGTTTTAATAAATAGAAAAAAGCAAGGCAGCTGACATAGTTTTTCATGTAATATACAAGGGCTTTTAATATTTTTACATACATTAATGAAAAAGCCAGGAAAAAAACGTTAAAAGGTGACACACGTGGGGAAAAACAAAAAGAGCAGGCTTCAGAAAAGGACGGACTGCTTGCACTTCCGTGCCCTTGACTCTGGCAGCTGTGCCCAGTCCTCACGGACATCAGCAGAAGGGGACCGCGTGGCCCTGCCCTCGGCCAGCCTCTCCCTGCCATCAGTAGCCCCGAAGTCTCAGGAACTCGGGCAAGGCAGTCTTTCACCGCTGGCCAAACATGTCTCCCGCTAACCAGACGATGTGCCTGCGATGCAGAATTCTCCACCAAGACCAAAGCGATGAACTGACACCGGTACAGGGACAAACTATGAGGCTCAGTCCTCATGGAGAAATCACACACTCACGTGAACATGTACTTAATTTAGCTAAAGACTCAGAATTCTGTGACATTGAAGGCTTTGAAGGCCACAAACCCACGTCTGTGGCAATTTCCACTGTCACTGACCTCTGGGGTGCAGGAGGCCCAGGCCCGGGGGCACACAGGTCTGCACAGAGTCATCCTCCTGGATGACCACCTGGGCATGCAGCGTCATGGTGACGCAGCTCAAGCCACAGAGGGCCCCACCGGGTGTGCACTGCCAGCAGCTGGAGCGCCACAGTCACGGCCCAGTGGTTCCCATGTGGGGAGCCTGCCCCTCCCACATGTTCAGGAAACGGGGCGCTCGGCCATGAGCGGGTGGGCGGCTGTGGCCTCCCCTCCTGTCTGCGGCCCCACTGGCCTTCCTCTCAGCAGGTCCCCCTTAGTGGGTCAGTTTCCACAGTTAAAACAATCACCTATTTTTTGGCCCATAACCATGAGAGGAGAGCTGTCCTTTGGTTCTTCTTATCCTGGTCCCATGACTGCCAAGCTTCTGATCATTATCCCACAGACAGAGCCTGAGCCCCACTTCCGGCAAGCCTGGGCTGAACATGCCAGCAAGGAGCCTGCCCACACCCTGGGGACTCGCCTTTGGTACTCAGCGTGGTTTCTGTGGCCTGGGGTCACTCTTGGACAGCGAGGGGTGCCCTTCCCAGGCGAGCGCAGGCCAGGCACAGGAGGCTATGCCTGACCCCTCTGGCTTTCTCTAAGGCATGTTCCACCGGTCTGCTGAAGAGTTTCTGGTGCTGGTTTGATATTTTGGTTTTGATCACTGCACCCAGTGGTGGGGTCTGGTAAATAAATAAATAAGAGAGTAAGGAAAGACTACAATGTCAGTACAGGTGAAAATACCTCGGAGAAACTTACAGAGATAGAATATCAGTGTAGAAGACACTGATCCTTGAAACTATGCAAAAATCATCAAAAAATAAAGAGCAACCCAGATCTACCTCGAGTTGTCAGACTGGGGATGAGGGCTCCCGGGGGCAGCTGCAAGCATGGGGGGCCTGCTTCCTGAGGGTGCCCTGGCCTGCGGCAGCTGATGCTCTTCCTGAAGTCACCTCTCCATCCCTCCCTCTGCCCCACCTATCATCCCCGGGGCCTTCTGTCTTTCCTGCCTGCAACTCTCCTACCTATCTATTAACCTTCCTCCACCTTCTCTCGAAAGTCCAATCACACCATAAAGGAGATGGTGACAAGGTACAAAAAGCCAAATGGTTAACCCAGCATCATTTAAATGCTCATTAATGTAAAAACAGTGCCTTTCTTCAGAGCATCTCTCTCCCTCACAGTGCACTTTGCATGTACTTGGGTCCTGTTTTTACTAAAGATACCTCCCCACATTTGTGTAGAATGTTCTATTTCTTTGAATTCCTTCCCACTGATCATCAACATCTGTCCACCCTGGTGCTGCAGCTGCCCTGCACCTCTGGGCCTCGGGTTTCTGATAGGGAACGGGGCTGGGACAGGGTAGACCCAGGGCCCTACCCGAAATGGCTCCATGTCCTGACGAAGAAGTGCCCAGAGGCCCACCTGCCCTCCAGGCCGAAACAGCACTACCAACGTTGGCAGAGGGTTCTGGTCTCAGGGGTCTTTGGACACTCCTTCTCTTGACTTGGAGGAACCCACACAAGGTGTGTTAGCATCAAGACGGAAAGGAGTAGGGTGGGTGCCAGGGGATGGGCTGGCAGAAATGGGGAGTTAGTGTTTAATGGGTACGGGTTTCAGTTCTGCAAGACAGAAAAGTTCTGGAGATGAAGCCAGGCACGGTGGCTCACGCCTGTAATCCCAGGACTTTGGGAGACTAAGGAAGGTGGATCACCTGAGGTCAGGAGATCGAGACCATCCTGGCAACACGGTGAAACCCCATCTCTACTAAAAATACAAAAATTAGCTGGGCGTGGTGGCGTGCACCTGTAATCCCAGCTACTTGGGGGGCTGAGGCGCGAGAATCACTTGAACCTGGGAGATGGAGGTTGCAGTGAGCCGAGATCGCACCACTGTACTCCAGCCTAGGTGACAGAGCGAGATTAAGTCTCAAAAAAAAAAAAAAAAGAATCAAAACACAGAAACATTCCAGTGCTGGGTGGTGGTGATGGCTGCGGAACACTGTGAAACATTCCGGTGCTGGGTGGCGGTGGTGGCTGCGGAACACTGTGAAACATGCCGGTGCTGGGCGGCGGTGGTGGCTGCGGAACACTGTGAAACATGCCGGTGCTGGGTGGCGGTGATGGCTGCGGAACACTGTGAAACATGCCAGTGCTGGGCGGCGGTGATGGCTGCGGAACATTGTGAACCCCCTAAAGTTGCTGCACTGTGCACTCACAGATGGCACCAACTAATGTCGCTCAACTGTACGTTCACAAATGGCAGATGCAGGAAACCTTAAGTGACATATTTTTATCACAAGAAACAGTGTAGTTGGGTCAAAACAACATTTATTATACAGGCAGAAGGGATTTCTCCTTCCTTAGCTAAAACTTTGTGATTTTACTGTCCTGAGTGGGTAACCAACCACCGAAATAAACAGAAGCCCTGGCCCTACTTATCATCCAGAGGATATGATGACAATTTCTCTGTAATTTATACCTCTGCTCCTCCATATCAGACAAATAAACTGTAAATGGATTTTAAAAAGAGAAAATATAATACATATTTTCATTTTGTCAATTCAAACAATCCCCGTAACGCTTTGGGCTGAGTGCAGCAGACGCCCTTTAAAATGGACCTCTCCTCTGAGCTTCCAGCAGCGGCCGTGATTCTTTTAAATTCACCACCAAAGTCATACTCGGACAAAAAATTTTATCATCTCTAGACTGCTTAACCAGCAAAACTGTTCCAGCTTGCAAACACAGATGACGCTTCATGCAAGCAAACTAATTTGCTTGGACACAATTTGTCAAAAAGAAAAGAGAAAGAGAAGAAAACTCCTATTGACATGTTAGGCTAAAGTGACTTTAAGAGTTTGTAATAATAGATGCAGATGGGGACCCCACATTAGGAACATTTTATTGCTTATATTTTAAATTCAGGAACTTCATAAATCCTGAACATTCTTCTCGCCCTCAGATATTAAGGCTAAAAATGCAACTATAAAGTTGTTTGTCAATTTCTTCTCCAGAAGCCAGTTTACTGCTGACGGTACTATGTCTAAGCACACGGATCTGCAGGCAATAAAAATCTGGAGGGCTCTTGAAAACTCTGATGCAAAAAACGAGAGGATATCACATGATTAATTATGCCTTTAATATGAGATTCCAGGAGATGGTCTGCTACAGTTAGGGGAGAAAAGCTGCAAAACTGAAGAAGAACTGAAGGAAATGGATCAACCATTCTGAGGGAGGAACCTCATCCTTATTCCAACACGGTGTCTCCAACAGGCACCAAGGAGACAGGCACTGATGTCAACGTGCTGAAATCCATCCACACACTCACATTTCTTTCCTTCAACATATTTGCCAAACTTAGTAAGTAAATGAATTCTAACAAAGAAGCCAGCTATTTATGACATCAATTATAGAAAATGCCACCACAGGGTAACTTCTAGAGACCCAAGGTCAGGCCGCGCCCCATTCTTGGTGCTCACACCTCCAGCCCATCTTCACGCCTTCCAGGATCCTGCAGGGCCTGGACCTGGAGGACCAGCCTGGCCTGACCAGGCTCTCTGCCTCCTCCCCTGGCCTGGTCTCCTGGGTCTCTTTGCCCTGATGGTCCTTGCACTTATTTGCGTTCATGTCAAATCTGCCTCCCCAGCACCCCCCCGAAAGCTGCAGGTGGGACTGACGCCTCTCCCCACTGCCCCCAGCACCCTGCACGGCCCACAGGCAAAGCAGACGCCAGGCTGCCTGCAGGACCAGCCAACAAGGGGGCTTTCAGCACCGCTTCTTGTGAGAAGGGTGTCACGGTCTCAAAATATTATTTTCAATAAAAGTTTTGTTTACCTAGAGAAGATTTAAACACACCAAAAACTTTGAAGGAAATGAGTGGCCCAGTTTTCTTTTTAATAAAAGCAGTGCTGGGTTGTACAATAACTCTTCCAAACAGAGCCACTGAAAAGGATAAAATAAAGATCAGAAAGCTCAGTATTTTTCCAGGTGATTTTTAGAAAAGAAAAACCACTATTTGGAGGAGGCTACTTTTGGGGTATCTGTAATAATTCAGAAGAATGATAAACAGTTTCTTTTTCCCTAGTTTCAGGAGCATATATTTTTAGTGGCAAGAATATTAAAGAAATAGGACAGAAATTTCTAGAATGTCTTATAATGTACATATACAAACACCTACTTACACACACCATTTTTCTATTTGAGAGACGAACAAGGGAAAGAGTCAGCATACCCCAAGCCTTGTATTTTCCTACTATAATGGGTTAAGTCTTAAAAACATGTTTGTCCTTATAATTGCAACCTAGCAAATTGAATACAGTTTATATTCCACTTTTAGCTTGTCTAAACACCCTGGCAGAAAACTCTGTGGCTAGAATGTGCATACTTCACATACAAAAAGCCCTTGCCTGGCGACCTTGTGCCAACCTTCGGCTGACGAGAGACCTCACCGGACGACACATCAGCTTCTTGGGAACAAGAACAAGTATTGCCTCCCATAGCTGTGCTCTCAGCCCAGTCCTTCTCCAGCCCCACCTGACCAGTGCAGATCTGTTTAGAAGATGCCTCTAGAATGAGCAGAAGGCTTGCTTCAGCAGCTGAAGGCTAACATTGCTGTTCTGCCAGAAGCCATGAACACTCCCCAGTGTTACTCGAAGAGAATGCAGAGACAGAGCATTTCCTAATGCTTCACCTGCCCCAGCCAACCAAGGACGGGAGGATAGCTTTCTGGAAGAAGGCACAGGAAAAGCAGCTTTGAAAGCAGTAATGTGGATTCCATCAAGAACAATCACTGCAAGAAAACGGTAATCCCCTGCCCCACCCAGCCCCCAGCACACACTATGAGCTTGTATTCTGCCAATGGACACCAGAAATTAAAGTAGCTGCCAGGCCGGCAGAAGGACCAATGTTCTCCAGAACCACTCCATGAATCTGCAGGTGTACTGAAGTCATACAGTCCATAAGCCTTTCTACTTTTAAATATTTGCATGTGTGTGTTTTGTGCATGTGGATCAGATGGGGTACAGGAGGAAAGGGGGGAGGTGAGTCTCCTGCCGATGTGTATGGACAGAGGGACTAGGGTTCTCAGAGGTCCTCAGTGAAACTAGAGATGACCCTGTACGAGAAGAGGTGGGTTAACGCCCCCAGCAGGATGAACAGACAGATACAGTGAAATCAAGACACAGGACGTTATGGAACAAAGCTAGAACTCTTCTCTCAACTGCCTTTGAGTTGTAACTATGATTTCAGTTCTATTTAGAGAGCATGGCCCAGTCTAGAGGGAAACTGAACAAACGTCCTTGTCAGAAGAACACTAAGAATTCTGCAGTGTGATAAACTGTGTTTCTGCGGAGGATATTCTCTCCCTCCTGTCCACCCCAACCCTGACACAGAGCTCCAAGAACAAATCTAGAACTTGGGGTGTTTGGGGTGAAGGAGACTCACCTCTGGCTCTGTGTCCCCACTGAGCCACCCCCACGTTCTATTTGATTCAGTTTGTTTTGTGATGGAACCATTTCCAGTTCAGGCATATGCTGAGCAAACAGCATTTAGCTGGCATCCCGAAGTCAAACTAATCAAACACAGCATGTCAGTCTCAAAGCAGACCAGGTACCAAGGAATTCTTACGTTCAGGGCCTGAAGAAGATCTGACGTCAGTGTTCCACCCTCTGTGCTCTGCCATGGAGAGGAGAGATGCTCCTCTCCGGGGAGCTCTGGGCAATCCTGACACAAAACCCGCCTCTCTCCTTCCAGCCTCCTGGCTCCATTCTCTCTCTGGTCCTTCTTGGTTTTCCTTCAGTCTCCATTGGTAGCTCTTCATGGCCACCCACTTGTTAAACTGTTCCTCCAGGTCTTTTATTTCTTTTCCTGAGGTTATTCTTTGCTCACCTCTCCCCTAGCCCTGGGAGGAAGCACCACCCCGTCAGATGCCCAAGAGGGGGCTCGCAGCCTCTTAACTGCCTCCTTCTGCTACCCCTCCATGCCCCTACATCCTGTCAGCAGCCAGGGCCTCCTGGTTCACCACCCAGTGATGTCCTAACTCGGTCAGCCCCATTCAGCTCTGTGGCCAGTCACCTAGGCTTGGGCCCCTGCCAGCCGCTGTCTTGAGGAATTCACCAATCTCAAGGTGTGGAACAGCCCACTTCCCCGTCTGCCCCTGTCTGCCCCTGAGCTGGGCTTGGGCTGCAGGTGGGGCTGCACATTCTGGCCCCTCCCCACCCCATGCAGGGCCTGCCATCTGGTCTGACACGGAGCAGGGCACTCACACGTTTAGAGAATGAGCGAGTAAATGACAGAAGCTCACTGAATCCTAAATGTATTCACAATGTTTTTATCGCAAAAAGACCCACTTCCGTCACTTGTACAGCAACTGGAAATAAAAATTCTGGATGAATTTGCCACAAGACAATGCTTCAGTTCAATTCAAAAATTAAACTCATTTAACCTTTAACTCAATTTAAATTCTGAACTGATCAGCACGCAAGAGCTACCCTGTACATTAATATCAAGGAGCTGATCTAATTACTGATAAAATTTTACATTTAACAAACCAAGTATATTGTGAGAGTTTAGAGCTTAAATGACATGAACACTTTTAAAACAAAACTGAAAACTATTCATTAGTTGCAGCCAGTTTAAATATCAGAAAATCTTACAGATATAGGAAGAATAAAAAAGCATTCCAGAAATCAAATTCCAGAGTATGAGAGGTGTGTGTTGGTGGTCGTAGAGGCCAGACGGTTGTGCTTTTGCAAAAGCAGAGGGAGGCTGGCCCGAGATGCAATGGCATCCTGAGGATGGCATCCACAGACGTGGCCCTGGGTAACTGCCACCACCATTTTTGTTTCATCTCAGCTTTTTCTCCTCTAAAACAGCACATCACCGTCCAAGGAGCTCTAATACCAGCACGTATGCGAGCTCATGTCGTAACTTTACAATGACTCATGTGTACAGTAGGCGAGTGATATCACGAGGACAAATCCAGTGCTGAGCCTGAACTTCCAAATCCAACATTACCTGGAGGACACTCTATTTTTAAGACACTGGCACTCAGGCCCCCAGGACAATACTGACTTGAGTTCCCACTGACCAAATCCCAATCAGGATGGTCTCAGAGGCTCCCTCAACTGCAGGCAAGAGTCACAGAGGATTTCACAGGAGAACAGAAGTCACTCCCAGAGTGGCAGTCTCTACTGCAAGTTCAGCTAAGTAGAGGGAATACCCACTTCTTCCCTGAAGTCTTCCCCAGGACTTGTAACCCACCATCCCTCACCCCATCTCCATTTCTCTTATTGGTAAACGCACATTGATGCCAACAACTTCACAGAGGGGTCCCAAGGACGAAGTGCAGTGACGGAAGGACACCTCCTCCCACCAGGCCAGACAGACGAAGCAGGGGCTATTCCACAGGTGCCAGTCCCTCCGAGTCCTCACTTCCTTGACATCTGCCTGACCCCTGGCCACGCCGCCTCTTCTGGGAGAAACAGAGACTCCAGGAGGAAACAGAAATGGGCTCTGAGATGTTTCTGTGGGATACTGTCAGAAATCCCACACTTGGCGTTTCTCACAGGGGTTCATTGAACCTTATTTCCCATACAATGTGGACAAGCCTGTTCACCAGCTTTTCAAGACC
This sequence comes from Homo sapiens, assembly GCF_000001405.40. Taxonomy (NCBI): domain Eukaryota; kingdom Metazoa; phylum Chordata; class Mammalia; order Primates; family Hominidae; genus Homo; species Homo sapiens. Next base: position 129,544,766 of record NC_000010.11, on the reverse strand, counting down.
ACAACTAATTAGAAGCACCAAACTGCAATGAGGCGAGGGGACCGAGAGGCAGGCAATGCAAGCCCAGCGCAGACACAGGGCCTGGGGCCGGGGGCAGGGGTCCACAGGGCCAGACTCTCTGCAACAGAGGCTGATCAGCAGGAGGGGCGTGGCCCACCCACGCAACAGGGTAGTGAGGGCCAGGACCCAACTCCACAGGGCACCAGGGCCATCGAGAAAGGACACTGTCATCTTACCCAATCCCATCAGGGATGGCTGTTGCAAGATTATGAATCCTAGACAGGATACTGTGCACGGGGCTACACCCAAACCCCCACAAGCCTCTAAGCTGGGCCCAAGGCCATGCTGGGGCTTCCTGAGGGTGAAAGCCGCAGTCTGAAGACAACCTGGAAATACCAGGGATTTGAGCCAAGAAGTGACCTTCCTGAAACCTGAACAGACGCCGATGCTGGCTGTGGCGGCAACGTGCCTATCCGGTGGCTGCCACTTCCGGGATCTTTCCTCCCCTGGCCTGCACAGCATACAATGTAATTCTAGATGAGAACTGGATTGTGCCAAGGTTCCATGTTTCCTCCTCATGAAAACAGGGAAAGGATCTCTGTGGCCACATAAAGGAGAGAGGGGCATGATCTCCCCAGAAAAGCTGCCCTCCCTTCACAAACAGAGCCGAACAGAGGTGAAGCCCAATGACTCTTAAATGGAAACTTATTGTTAAGAGCAGGGGATTTAAGGGGTTTTATTTTAACATACCAGAGAGGCAGAAACATCCACCTCTCTCTGCCTGAAGTTAACCCATTTACCTGTTACTCTAAAGTGCTCTTTTACTCCAAATGTTGGAAACTTAAAAAATCTTTTGCTCTGACACTTTGGATCATATTCTGAACTCACCTATTTGTAGCTGTCATTCAACCATTCTTTTCTTCCTTCCAAGAAGTTCCTGGCAGACTTAAAATTAAATGAAATGAACAAGTTTGCTTCTGACTCACAGACACAGGCACACACGTTTGCCATCTCTGTCTCCTTGTAACACAGTTACAAAATTGACAGAAATAAAACTTTTGCATTGCTTTTTTTTTTCTTAGATGAGTCCAGCACATAAGGACCCTAAATCTCAGTGACACTTGTTTAAATACTATCCACCTGGCTGCCACCACTGTCTACTCTGCCCCCAGGTCAGCAAAGAACCAGCTGCAGGGAGAAAACATCAAGAGCACCGAAGCTGGTGAGGTTGCGCATTGTTTAGGTTTGATTTTCTAGATCAGAAACCATACAACAATTTCACAGTGAATCCCAGAACCTCGCTCTTCTGTGGCGAGGCAGCTCTGTCCTGGGGTGGATGGGCCAGTGCTCCACAGCCTGGGATTCTCCGCAGTGCTGTAGAGAGGAGCTCTGACCTGCCCTTTCAGCTGCCAATCAGAGGAGCACAGCAAACCTCATCATTCACGACTTGGAAGGCTCAGCCTGCAGAGCCCGTCTCCTATCACACAACGGCAGGGTTTTCACGCCATACCCTCACTTAAAAGCATATGTTATGCTGCTTCCCTTTATTTTACTAAGGTCCAAGAGCTGCCACCATCACGGGCTACGCTAACACCTCTGCAGGCCCCATGTGCAGCACTGTGTGTCCGGGGGCCAGCAGTCGGCCCCCATCGTACCCTCTCGTCACGGAACATAATTCATCACAAGGATCTGTGGAGCTGAAAAGAAACACCTTGGCTTCCTGTCTTGTCTTTTTAGCCATCAACCTGAAAGACGAGGCCATTGTCTGGCTTCTAAAGGACACTGCACTATAAATGTTTAGCATGGGGTGAAGTATATGCACAATTTGTGTTATTGATAACATAAGTCACAAGAGGAACTCCCTATCCACCACTGATCATTTACCCCTCTCAGGCAGAAACGGGAGGCAACATCCGTCAGCGTGGACAGGCCTCACCGACATGGAATCGCAGAGCCAGCAGGGGCAAGAACAAGGGGTTCCAGGCTCGCCAGGGCATTCAGCCATTCGTTTTTGAAAAACAGACGATTTCTATAAAGCCAAGGAGCGCCTGGCAAGTTTTCCTCACAGAAACATGCTTATTTGACTCAAGAGACCTCCTTAAGGAACACTCTATAAAGTAAAATAATCACATTTTTTAAGCACATACAACACAAATCATTATTTCACGGCACTGAGGAAAAGCAATGAGACAGCCGAACTTGCCGCAGGTAAAAGTCCTACAGAGCGCGTTTTTTTGGATGTTATTTTTACTGGCAGTGCTTCTCTAAGTGTTTGTCCTTAAGAACAGTTTCTTCTCCTCCTTGAAAGATCAATTATAGTAACGTGAATGCGGCAAGTGTCTGTATTAATTTCCCAATCTGTCAGAAAAAAACGAATTCGTGAAGTTCCCAGGAAGGTTCTCATGGCCCGTGGACCTTGAGGAACCATCCGACTGGCACTGGTCAGACCGACCTGCACGGAGAGGCCGTGGGGATAACTGGCAGCACAGACTCGGCAGGTGCACATACCAAGCCAGCCGGGACCCCATGCACGGCTGAGGGTCGACTGAGTTCCTGAACACATTTAGAGATGAGCAGGAGAGAGGCAAAACGCAGGTCACCTCCTGCTGCAGCTGCCCTTCGGGAAGCTCAAAGGCATCTTCACGCTTTCCATGGGGCACGTTTCGAGGGCAGAAACTCATAGGGCATCCAATGACATCAGACAACTCTCCTCCCAGGTTCAACACAGAGGCCCGGCAGGATACGTTCTCACGTTCCAGAGGGTCTAGGGTCAGGCCAGCCTAGCTGGTGACTGAAGGCCCTATCTGTCCAGCCAGCCAGGTGCTCAGAAGAGGGTCAGGGCCAACCTGCATGCCCCACCCAGCCTCAATCCAAGGGCTGGCTGGGCCAGATGCCAAAAGCAGACCCACAAACCCTGTAAATGGATCCCTACCATGAAGACAGAAAAAGAGCCTCTGCAGTAGAAGACAGTCTGTGTGTAGTCCCCACATTTTCCAAAATACAAAAAGTTTTAAAGTGGTTTAGTTCAATTGGACTCTATCAGCTTTTCCTATATTTTTCTGAAAAGGCTTATGTGAAAAAAATAAAAGAATGAAAAACAAGGGTAAGCCCTTGGTAAGTGAAAGATGAGCCCCCTTAGCTCCCCAGCTTCCAAGATCTACAAGTCCTACTGCTACTATTTTTGTAATCTAAGTATGACCCAGGGTGATACGGTCCATTTTTTCAAGTAATCAAATACGGCAATCAACATTATGGAAAACTAAACAAGCCCCAAAATAACATTAGAAAAGTAAACACATACAGCCTGGCCCCTCTCATTAGACTGTGGGCACTGCAGGGAATCTGACGAGGTCAGAGCTCTGCAGCTGCGGGAAGATGGCGCGGGGGAGCTGCTCCGCTCTTGCAGAGGCCAAGTGCTCCTGGACGTGATGGCATTCACAGAAACCTGATACTGTCAGGCAGTTATGAAACTAACTTAAAAGCAGCTTATGTTGCTTCCCTTTTGGAAAATATACCACTTTCCCAACTGATGTGCTTCTCACACGTTTTTAGGGAGGGAAAGGTAACTATGCAAGGAAGTCATTGGTCCCCGTGCGAAGCCACACACAGGTAAGTGGATTCACCTGGGGAGCGGGAATCACACTTTGTACACAAGCACAGATGCAATGTCACTGAAGAAGGCCCAGTGGTCAACCTGTAATTTATCTACTAAAGAAACACCCATTCAGAGGAAGCAAGGACCACCCTGGGACTCATAGGCACTCGGAGAAGGGTGAGGGCAGGGGCCAGAGCCAGCAGGATGCTGCCCCAAATCCCAGCAGCCACTGTCACTCAGCAACCAGAGGACAGCAGCCACACAGAGCACAGATGGCTCCAGGTGGGAGCACCCCGAGATGAGGGAAGGCAGCACCCAATTCTACTAAACCAGGAAGCTTCACAAAAGGCTTCTGACACCAGACCCAGATGGCATCCAAGGTGCATTCATCCCAAAATTTGGAGATAAAGTAATATCAATCCAACACTTAACTCTTTCAGAAAATAGAAGAGGGAATGCTTCCAAATTGATCTGTCATCAGAATGAGACTAATTCCAAAACAAGACAAAGACAGTACCAAAAAAAGAAAAGTATACACCTGGTTTAAAATTCTAAAAATTTATTCTACCAAATTTAAAGAATAAAGGAGCAAGAGCACATGACTATGTCAACACATACATGAAATATCATTTGACAAAAATTCCACACAGTGAGGAAGACGCCTCTGAAACCCAACATGGGGAGCAAGTCCTCACTGGTGAAATCCTGCAAGCTCCCCCAAACCAGGAAACAGGGAAGGACGTCTGTTGTCACCACACTTACTGAAGTCATCCTGGAGGGTTCTGGACAGCTCAATAGAAGAAATTAAAGCATAACAATCAGAAAGGAAGAAGCCTATTGTCTTTATTCATAGACATCATGAATTTTTATACAGAATCCTAAGCAATCTCAAAACAACCCTGGAAAAAATACATGAATTAAGTCAAGATCCCAGAATATAAGATCAACATACAAGTCAGTTGTTAAACACAAGCAGCAATAAATTAAAAGGTTAAAAAGTTTCAACCTAATTTAGAATACCATCAAGAACAAAGTATTTAGAAATGGAGTCTGCCAGATAAGCAAAGCCTCCAGGCTGAAAAACCACTCAACGCTGCCGAGGACAATGAAAGAACCCAAACAAATGCAGACGCCAGTCAAAGCCAAGAACTGAACACTTCAGTATCAAGATGTCAACCCTCCCAAAATTGACAACCAGGTTCAATGAACTCCCAGTCGAAATCCAAAAAAGAATCATTGCAGAAATTTACACCTGAATTCTAAAAGTAATAGGCAAACTTAAGAGACATAGAAGCCAAACCTTTCAAAAATAAATAAATTTAGAGGATTCATGGACTCACATTACCTAGCATCAAGATGTATCACAGGCCGGGCGCGGTGGCTCACGCCTGTAATCCCAGCACTTTGGGAGGCCGAGGTGGGTGGATCACGAGGTCAGGAGATGGAGACCATCCTGGCTAACACAGTGAAACCCTGTCTCTACTAAATATACAAAAATTTAGCCGGGCGTGGCAGCAGGCGCCTGTAGTCTCAGCTACTCGGGAGGCTGAGGCAGGAGAATGGCGTGAACCCAGGAGGCACAGCTTGCAGTGAGTCGAGATCACACCACTGCACTCCAGCCTGGGCGACAGAGCAAGACTCCGTCTCAAAACAAAACAAAACAAAACAAAAGATGTATCACAAAGCTACCTAACCAAGCCAGCATGGAACGGGCATAGAACAGGCAAAGGTAGGCTGAACCAAACAGAGCAAAACAGGAACAGGCTCACACACCCTTGGTCAACTGATGGTAATTCAATGAAGAAAGGAGACAATTTTTATTTTCCAACAAATGATGCTAAAACAACTAAATAGCTACAGGGAAAAAATAAACTCTGTACCTCACAAAAAGGTAATTCAAAATGGATCACATATATCTAAACATAAAAAAAACTACAAAGCTTTTAAAAGAAATTACGGGAGAATTTATTTCAGACATTACAGTAGACAAATATTTCTTACAGGGAACACAAAAAGTGTTAAACATAAAGGGAAAAAAAGACATATGGACTTGTTCAAAATTTAAAACCTCTACTCATCAAAAGACACTATTGGAAAAACAAAAAAGCAGGCCTCCAACTTGTGAGAAAATCATCACAATACAGACATCTGACAAAAGTCTTACATCCAGAACCACAAATCAATAACATCAACAAAAACACAAACAAGAAACCTCTAATTTTAAAATGAGCAAAAGGTGGCCAGGCGCAGTGGCTCACGCCTGTAATCCCAGTACTTTGGGAGGCCGAGGCAGGCAGATCACAAGGTCAGGAGTTAGAGACCAGCCTGACCAACATGGTGAAACCCTGTCTCTACTAAAAATACAAAAATTAGCCAGGTGTGGCGGTGCGTGCCTGTAATCCCAGCTACTCCAGAGGCTGAGGCAGGAGAATTGCTTGAACCCAGGAGGCGGAGGTTGCAGTGAGCCGAGATTGCACCACTGCACTCCAGCCTAGGTGACAGAGCAAGCCTCCATCTCAAAGAAATAAAAAAAAAAAATGGGCAAAAGACTTGAGTAGATATTTCACAAAGAAAACATAGGAATGGCCAAGACTTCATCAGGATAAGTCATCAGCAAAGTGCAAATTAGAACCACAATGAGATATACTTCATACCAGCCAGAATGGCTAAAATCTGAAAAACTGACACCACCAAGTGCTGCCAAGAACGTGGAGTAACTGAAACTCACACACTGCTAGTGGAAATTCCATCCCGCTCTGAAGAAAGTTTTGGCAATTTCTTGTCAAGTTAAACATACATTTGCCATCCAGCCCAGCAATTCCACACTCAGGAATTTACTCTGGAGAAATGGAAACAAAAATTCACAAAGAGGACTAACTTTAGGGGGCACAAGGGAATTTTCTGGAATGTTCCATATCTTGAATGTTCTATATCTTCGGCGGTAGTTATACGGTTGTACACTTTTGTCAAATGAATTGTACACTTGAAATCTGACTTCTATGTAATTTTTACCTAAATTTTAAAAATGATAAAATGTTAAACTTAATTGACTATTCATATACTTTTATATACTATTCTCAAACTTTTAAATGCTCCCCCCACTAAAATTAACTACACACAAATACTGCTGGCTGCCCCCCAAATCCCACTCCTTCCTTACTCACAAGACACCTAATTTTAGCCCATATATGACACGCCCTCCTTTCTTTCTCCCCTACCTGTGGCAGAGGCCCAGGAGCTGTCTTGAAGCACCAGGGCAGGGACCACCATCTGGAGACCCCAAGCTCAGAGGAGCCCAAGTTCCCAGGGGCCATGAAGGCACCAGCCCCAGCTCCCATGGTTTGTCCACAGGTGTGTTTTCATGAGAGCAATCAGCCAGATCCTATTCAGGATTTAGCATTATTTCACGGCTGTTTTTACACCTGAACCTGATCCTAACTTGATTCAGAAAGTTCATAAAGTAGAAATTCAAAATTAAGCGTCTTCATCCTATTTGCCTAATCCACAATGGGCATTTAACTAAACATATCTTATAATGTTTGTTTTGTTTTGTTTTCCTTTTTCTTCCCCAAATTCACTTTGTACCTTTTTCCCAAAAGAAAAAAAAAACCAACACATAATTTCTATGATTTATTGTGCAACTGAACATGCTAAAAGACAAAATGACATTTTCCCCTACAAATTATTTGGTGCCTGTGACTTTCTGAACACTACAGCCAGATGGTTCTCATAGAAACTGAAAAGAGTATATTCACATGGTTCAAAGGTTTGCTTATTTTTTGGTCTCAAAAAGACTATATTGATTGTAACGTGCAGCTCTACAGGAAAAATCTCGACAGCGGAGGCGAGTGCTGATATTTATGACTGCGCTTGTGCTCATTATGGCTGTCTCGGACAGGGGCCCATTAAAATCAATTTTTATGTTTCTTATGTATTTTCTTTATCTAATGTTCTTGGCATTGTGTTTATTAGCCAGTTAAGAGAAACACCAAGCATAGGAGTGGGTGTTTTTTTTTTCTTCTTCTTCTTTGGTCAGAAATAACAAGAGCTACAATTTTAATAGAATGAACGGAGGAAATTAAATGTTACATTTCAAAGCAAAACACTAAGGAATGCTTTACATTTCTTACGTTTTTGCAATTAGAGAAATATAGTGGGAGCTGTTCACAAAAAGAGAAACATGTACGCTCTTAGAAATGACAAGAACTTAAAGTCATGCTGAAAAGGGGCTTTCGGGCCCTTCCCCCTGGCAGGGCCATCCTCAGCCACACCCTCGCCAAGGGTCTGACCACGGCTCTCAAAAGGCAACTGGGACTCCTGGTTAAGGGATTCCAGAACATCAAGCAGTCCTAGTATGAAACTCACCTGGCAGACTCTGGAGGAACAGGGAACGCTGATCTGGGCTTTTTTTTTTAATCAAGATTAATCCTGCATCTCCCTGTCTCTAAATTTCCAGAGACATATGCCGAAGAACCCAAATGTTCAATGCTCATCACCAACCAACTCCTCTGTAAACGTACACCTTAATCAAACATCTTAGAGCTACTAATGAAAGGGTATGAAGGGAACGGCCCTGGGTTCATCGGAGGTGGAGAGCTCCTGGGCAACACACAGGGAAGCTGCAAATGCAGGAGCCGTCGCAGCACACTGTTTTGAGAGACGGACTCGTGGTTGCGGTTGTGGGGGTAAGGCTATGCGTTACCCTGCCATCAATGGAAAACATGCCGTTATCACATATACTCCTCGGTTGCTTCAGCATGTGCGGTATACAGGATCACGTGGGCTCATACTTACTCAGCTGCAGACGTCCCCTTGCCCAGGAGCTTTATTTCGTGCAGACCCTGCTCACAACCAGACAGCTCCAGCTTCCCCAAAGGGCTGTCCAGTGTGGTGCGTTTCATTTCACAATCCTTGTCCATTTTTCCAAGTACCTAAACAGAAATAATTTTTAAGACAAAGTGTATAGGTAAGAGGCTGGTCGTATATAAAACACACAACAGAAGTACTGGTTATTTAAGACACAAAATATATTCCAAAGCTCTTCCTCATTTTTGGAATTATACGATGCATCATTTTCACAATATGATTACTCTGAAGACAGAAAATTACCACCATTACCTAGAGCAGCCAACCAATACTACAGTCTCCTTTTATTTCCTAAAATTACTGTATCCCGATTCTTCTCGTTTATCTTTAACCAACGCAACACCGAAGGAAGCTGACCTGGTAAGAGCTCCTTTTAAATAATTCCCACAACTAAGCTAACTTTGTTTTACTAAAACAATTAATAAAACAACTACCACAGACAATAAATCCCGAAGACAAACTGTTCAATATTTGGAATAAAGTACATTTTAGAATGAAGCATGTATGCAATGACTTACAAAAACAGAGATTCAACTCAGCACCTATGCCACGGCACCTGTGTTAGGAGCCAGCCCGGAGAGGATGAGCAATGCTGGGGTGTTCCACTAATGCTGTGGAAAGCACATTTAATTTACATTTAAAGAGATGTACAAGTCTGGGTGCAGTGGCTCATGCCTGTAATCCCAGCACTTTGGAAGGCTGAGACAGGAAGATCACTTGAACTCAGGAGTTGAAACCAGACTGGGCAACGTAGCAAGACCCTGCCCCAAAAGAATTAAAATTAGCTGGGTATGATAGCACACACCTGTAGTTCCAGCTGCTCAGGAGGCTGAAGAATAGAGCCTGGGGAATACAGGGGAACACATCTATAGGCTACCTTTACACTTGTACATTTCTTTCTTTTTTTTTAGAGACGAGGTCTTGCTCTGCCACCCAGGCTGGAGAGCAGCGGTGCAATCCTAGCTCACTGCAGTCTTGAACTCCTGGGCTCTAGCGATCCTCCCTCTTCAGCCTCCTTAGGCACTGGGTCTTGCTATTTTACCTCTGTCCTCCCATTGCCACAGCTTCTCAGGAAGACCCACAGCAGCTCGTGGCTACTCAAGGAAGGCCATCCTCACGGCTCCCATCACACCTGGGCTCTTTCCACTCCAACCCAACCATCAGCCCTCAAAGTTCACTGAGAACAACAAAGCAAAGGCTCCCTACATCAAGGGGCTGGAGCAGGGGCAACAAATTAGAGCCTGTGGGGCAAAGCTCACTCACTGCACCTGTCTTTGTAAATAAAGTTTTATTGAGACACAATTGTGTTCATTTATTTACACACAATCTCCTGCTGCTTCCGTGCTACAGTGGCAGAGGTGAGCAGTTGTGACAGAGGCAGTGTGGCCCTGCAAGCGCAGAACACTGACTCTCTGGCCCTCTACAGAAAAGGCCTGCGGACCCCTGGAACCCTCTACAGAAAGGTCTGCTGACCCCTGGAAGGGCAGCTCACTGGCACCTTCCTGCTCTGTTCCCACAATGAAGCAGGTCTGAATCCCACATGCATCCCAAATCTCTGCGCCTTCACTGAAGGCCCCCTCCCTGCTTGTCCGCTGGGCACCTTGCTGCCTGGTCTCCTATCCTGTGAAACCCTTCACCAGCACTCCAGCTGATCTTTCCTTTCTGTGTCTTACATATGCTTCTAAGGCCACTCTTTGGTTCTCTCATCTGTCTTTCCAAGAACGAGGAGAGAGAGGTGCATTTATGTCCCTTAAAGGGACCAGGGTCGGGCAGCGGACCGCAAACTACACAAGTGTTTTGTAGAAGCATTACTCTCAAGATTCAATCCTCAACTGTCACACTCCAGAGCCGCCTGCAAAACCTCCCCTTTTCTGTGCAGACTGACAGGGATTTGAACCGGATCCCATTCGATCACCCCAGAATATGGAAATGGGATGTGCCAGAAACCATGCCCCATCACAGAGGCTCTGCCCACATCACACTCCTTCAACATCTCACCCTGCAGCCTCCCTGCTGCCTCAAGGGTAAAAACCAGGCTTCCCGAGAGGGCAAAGAGAGCCCTGTGGAAGGAGCCACCTGCCTTCCACTTACCATGTGGCAGGGGCCAGATAAAGGCAGGGGGTGCAAATCACGGCCTCCCACCCTCTGTCCCTTTGCTGTGAGAAAATCACTCTTGGTGCTTCAACTGTCTTTGTCTGTAGGATAAATCAGACCAAATCACAACGTCGGCACGAGTTTAGAGGGAACGTATGCAAAGACCAGGCTTCCCAAAGGCTCTGTAGGATTTGGGGATCACTACTGTTCCCACCATGATCAACATTTTAGCCCAACCCCCTTCACCTCTGATCTTATCCCCTGGAGTACGCTGCCCCAACTCCCCCAAGTCTCATTCAAATCATCACCATCCCGCCCATTCTTCCAAAGTGACTGCCTCCCCTTCTCCCATCTCCATTTCTCAGAGCCACAATCTTGGCCCACAGCCTCCGCCCTGCGCCTGCAGACATCTCCCACCATCCCGGGCCACTGCTTCTCAGGCAGGATGCTGGCAGCTCTGCTCAGGGCTCCCTGAAGAACAGCACACATCACACACACAAGGGGCTCATAAAATACTTGTGGAACTGAATTACCAGTGTGACCACCATCCAGGCCAAGCGTCCATGAGATCATTTCCCAAAGTATGTTCACAGAAGATACTGGTCAGACAACAGGGCTCTAGAGGCAACGTGAGAAATCTGGATGCTCTCTCGCCATTTCTTGGAAACTCGCCCTGCACGATGGTGGGTCAAAGCTCCCAGCAGACTGGCAGTAAACAGCCCAGCTTGGGTTTCGCTCTCCATGGAGCCATGTTTGCTGCTCTATCATCCCAGTTCGGGCAGGGCTGCAGGCTGTCGGAGTCAGGAGGCCTGGGCTCAGGGCTCCAGACTCAGGTGGGGATCCTGGCCAGCCCCGAGCACCTGCATCAGGTAGCACTCTTAACAGCAGGTGTCAGAAACTGACACGGGCTAATTTAAGCACAAATGCCGTTTACTGAAAGGCTACTCCACAACTCAAAGAACTTCTGGGAAGGCTGGAGGAGCAGGCTCAGAAAATAGCAGGAACCAGAACTGGCCACGCTCCAATCACAGCCAAAATCAAGCTTCAGGAAACATCTGTGGGGCAACCAGGCACAGCAGGCAGGGCAGCTGGCACTGTTGCCACCATTGCCCCTGGAAACAGGATGTGGTGGCTATGGCCACCGTTGATTCTCGGCTGCTCTGCCTCCGTGGGACCTGCTCCCGATTCGAGTCCCAGGCAGGAGCCCAGCCCTGGTGCTGACGCCTGCCAACATGTGCCAGTGTCCGAGCAGCTGCAGGAAGGGACGGCCTGGGAGAGGAAGGGTTTGCCCACATCAGCGCCTGAAGCTGCACTGCAGACATTCGGACTGGGGAGTGCCCCATGTGGGGGCTGGTCAGACACTAGCTGCGCACTCCTCTCTCAAGCCTCTATTTCCTCATCAATAAGACCCCTGACTCCTCTACCTGACAGTGCCACTCTGAGGGTCTAACCTGAGATGGCCACGGCCAGGGCTTTGGGCACTACACACCGTGACGGGCTGGAAGGGCTGTCACGCCATTCTGCACAGACCACACCTCGAGTTCACCCCCAATCCAAGCGTCAGCCAAAGGGGAAGACATTGGAGTGTGCAGAGACAGGGCCAGGGAGAAAGGTAGGAGCCTTGGAAGGCCACTGGGGGTGAATCCCAGCAAGCTGAAGTAGGGGCATGGGGGATGGGGTGTCCCCCACCCGGAGGAAGGAGCAGGGCGGTGGAGGGCCACAGGCAGCTTAGCCCCGACAGTCTCCCGGAGAGAGGAGTCCTCAAGGTTATCATGGTCTGGGCCCTGACCACAAGAAGCCAAACTTGGGAGGCCAGCGGTTGGGAATGCGGTGGAGAAGGCTTCCAGCCAAACCTGGTGTGGCCAAGTGAACTGCCTGCCCTGGAATGACCAACTCTGCACCCCAGAGAGCACCGCCACCCAGGAAATGCCCAAGGACCCCAGCTGCTGGCCCAAGGGACCCTAAAGCTCTGGCATATCCCCGACTGAGCCCTGTGGTGCTATCCCCATGACCAGCATCATGGCATGGGCCTCTCATCCAAAGGGCAGGCTGGCCTCAAGCCCTCTGAACCAGCTCCCCTGACCAGCAAAGGTGGCCTGAAGCCATGGGAACACACTGAATCAATCACAAAGCAGGGAGCTGGGGGGACCAGGTGAGCTCCATCCAAATCATTCCAAGAACCGAAAAAAGGCAACCAGTTTATAACTGCAACAATGAATGAGTTCAGAATCTGGCTTACAAATGAGCAACAGATTCCAGCTCCTGTCCATATCCAACTGGCTAATTATTTAGGTATGTGAAGCATGAGGAAGTGAATTCCTCAGACCTGCTTACAACCTAAATAGGATCAAAATAAAGCCCTGCCTCATTTCACCTGAACACAACAATGAGCTGGAACCCACCCCCACAAACCCCCACCCCCCCCCACCCCCACCAGCCCCCGCTAAGAGCAAGCCTCCCACAAAGGCCCACAGAAATGGAATTTGATATGCCACTGAAACCTGCATACTACCTTTTTTTCCGGTAGACAACCAGAGCATTTGGCACAGTTCTTCTGTGGGCAGCAGTAGAAGTTAGTTTAGTGCCGATTCCTAAAATGCAATGGCTGAGGCCTCTACAGGACAGAAGCCCCAGGCCACCGAGCACGGCAGCGTCTCTGATGCGATGCCCAGGGCTGACCTAGCAGGTGTGCACACCGGGCGAGCAGAGAGGTGGGGGGATGCCTGCAGACTAAATGAGGGCATCACGGACACCAGGAGGGACCCACAAAAGGCAGAAATCAGGCAGTGAGAAAAGTGAGTTTCAATAGCATGAAAACCTGACAGGAGTGAAACCATCGCAACCCAGCCAGGCGGAGGCTCAACTTAGAAGCCACAATACCAGCCACACAAAGGCTGGCACAGTGGTGGCCTGGACAGGTCACAAGCAGCCATGAGGGTAACAGACCCTCTCCCAACAGCCCGCACAGTAATACCGCCATGCCCCAGACCCAGGAAGAAAGACGTCTGACTCCAGTGATGAGACCCCATCAGGATCTTCACCAATGCCCAACAACCTCAAGAGAGGGCCATTCAACGGGGGAGGCCAGACCCACAGCCCCAGGAGGGACGCTGGGAAGGGGACTGGCCCACGGAAGATGAAGATTCACTGTGACCCCTGCAACCCTGACAGCACCCCAGCCTGAGCCCAGAGCCAGCAGGCAAGCCCACACCCAGGCTAGCACGAGGTGGGCAGAGTGGCGGTTAGGGAACCACTCCGCAGGGCTGGGGCCACACTTCGGGGGGAGAGTGTGGGCAGCTGAGAGCTTATGGAGAAACTGACACCTACACAGAGAACTGAACTATGGGGAGGGGCCCCCGGGCGAGGAGCCACGCAGGCCAGGGTGAAGGCACCCGCCACGAGAGCTGGGGGATGAGGCCTGGTGTGCCTGGAGAGGCGTGGGGGACACAGCCACCCTCGGGCCCTGAGGCCGCCATGGCCAGGCCGGTCCTGCTGGCTGCCTTTTCCCTGAAAAGCCACAGAGTTTTCAACAAGAGGAGATGCAGCTGGTTTGCATTTCGAGGCTCCCTCTGGCAGCTCTGTCAAGACTGGTCCAGAACCAAGGTCGATTGTGGAAATAACCCACTGAGAAGTGAGGAGAAACCCAACCAGGGGAGAAGCAAAAGGGAGACAAAATAACGGGAAACAAACCAGGAACGATCAAGAGACGTTTAACCAATGCCTTAGCACCCCTACACAGGAGCTACTGGGCTAAGGTGCCAGAAACTGGAAGGAGACAAATGTGATCTCCTGGGGGGAGAAAAATTACCCACAAAAAGTAAACCACACCATACGTTGCTTGCAACTTTTCCAAAAATCTAAGATTATTCCAAAATCAGTTTATTTTTAAAAAATCAAATAAGGTAGGATGATTTAAACTATTCCTTTTTTATCTGCATTCTCTCAGCTTTCTACAGTTAGTACGAGTCAACTTTTCAAGGAGAAAAAAACTGTATTAATATCCAATCTGGGCCAGTCATGGTGGCTCACACCCGTAATCCCAGAACTTTGGCAGGCCGAGGCAGGAGGATCACTTCAGCCCACGAGTTCAAGACCAGTCTGGGCAATGTGGCGAAACCCCAGCTCTACTAAAAAACATAAAAACATTAGCCAGGCTGGTGGCATGTGCCTGTAGTTCCAGCTACTCGGGAGGCTGAGGCAGGAGGATTGCTTGAGCCCAGGAGGTCGAGGCTGCAGTGAGCCACGGTAGTGCCACTGCACTCCAGCCTGGGTAACAGAGCAAGACCCTGTCCCCACAAAAAGAAAGAAAAAAAAGGAAAAAGAAAAATGAGAGCTATACAAAGAAATAAAGAGTACCCCAAATTATGAATACATGGGTAAATATAACATACAAAAAAAAGCTAATGTTACACTGTTGATGTCAAGTAGAAAAACGATGGCAAACATTCTCCACTTATTGTGATCTCACCATGTCTTATATGCAAAACAAATGATGGTTAATGCTTTTCTGAATAAAAACTGAGGTGTAAAATAATTCTGAGTTAAAAAAATAAAGATTAGAATAAAATGAAAACACACACAAGTAAATCAGATCACATCTTCCCTTCATTTCCATCACGATGAGAAAACACTTCCTGTGGATATGGCTTAAACCAGGGGTCCAGTCCGTGGCCTGTTAGGAAACGGGCCACAGAGGAGGAGGTAAGCAGCGGGTGAGCCAGCGTTACTGTCAGGTCAGCGGCAGCATTAAATTCTCATAGGAGTGTGAAGCCTATTGTGAACTGTGCATGGGAGGGATCTAGGCTGGACGCTTCTTATGAGAATCTAGTGCCTGGTGATCTGAGGTGGAACAGTTTCATCCCCAAACCATCCCCCCACTCCCATCTGTGGAAAAGTTAGTCTTCCACAAAACTGGTCCCTGGTGCCAAAAAAATTGGGGACCCCCTAGCCCAAATGGTCCCAAATTCGGCAGGCCCACACTTCCTTCTCTGGCCTCAGTCCCCCATGACCCCATCGCACCCACGCCCCCGCTCCCCCTGCCACTGCCCCTCACACTCCAGCCTCGCTCTCGCTTCACAGCCTCCGCTCTACCGCTCTGTCTCCTTCCCAGCCTGCACAGTGGCCACTGTCATCTCACTCACAACCATGCTCAGACGTCACTTTCTCAGAGAAGCCGCCGAAAACAGTCACCACCTCCACCCCTTCTTTCTCTGCCTTATTTTCCTTACATGACCTGGAATCACAGTGACGTGATTTGCTTACTTGTTGTGTCACCTTCACTAGAATGTAAGCTCCAATACAGGCAGCAAATGTGTCACAACTGTAGCCAAAGAGCGAGGAGAAGCCTGCAGAGAGTTCTTGTTTTCATATACTTTTTCTAAAGTCAGATGGCACCATCCCCTACCCTTCCTTCCTTGACATGGCAGATGTGATGGCTGGAGCTGTGGCAACCACCTAGTGATCATGAGGAAAAGGCCAAAAGCCTTGACAGATCAGGGCCCAACACTGTGAGCTACTCCACCACCGCAGCTCTCCACGGCCACTCCGCCACCACGGTTCTCCATGGCTAGTCTCCACACGGCAGGTCTCTTTGGGGGCCCCCTAGCCCAAATGGTCCCAAATTCGGCAGGGCCACACTTCCTTCTCTGGCCTCAGTCCCCCATGACCCCATCGCACCCACGCCCCCGCTCCCCCCGCCACTGCCCCTCACACTCCAGCCTCGCTCTCGCTTCACAGCCTCCGTGCTACTGCTGTCTCCTTCCCAGCCTGCACAGTGGCCACTGTCATCCCACTCACAACCATGCTCAGACGTCACTTTCTCAGAGAAGCACAACTACACCACCGCAGCTCTCCACAGCCACTACACTGCAGCTCTCCATGGCCACTATACCACTGCAGCTCTCCATGGCTGGCTAGGCTTCTCCTTGTGTGAGAACAGGAACGTTGGGCTGGTTTCAAGTCTGTGTTCTGAGGAATTCCTGTTTTTTCTTCAAACCAGAGTAGTCTTAGCTGATCTACTGCTGTATCCCCAGCATTTAGAATAACAGTGCCTGGCACCCACGATTTCTCAGCAAATATATGTTGAACAAAATATCTAATTATATGAATCATGCAATGATAATTGAGATAGGAATTCAGAAGGAGAACTCCAGGATTAATGAGAGCCTGTATCAAGGGGTTGGATGTCCTGGGGAGTCCAGGAAGGCTTCCTGGAGGAGGTGCTGAGAGAGAAGGGATAGTGTTGTAGTTTTCTGGGTGGAGAGGAGGAGGAGAGGAGAGACTGAGGCAGGCAGGTGCGCACAGGCAAAGGCACTGGCGCTGGAAGCAGCACAGAGCATTAAGGAGCAGAAGGTGGTGGCCAGGTCACCAGGAGGGAGAGGACCTGGCTTTGAGATGAAGCTGCCTCAGCAGCTCCTGGAGCCGTGAGGGCCAAGTCCTGGGATGAAGTCGGAGAAACGAGGGAGAACACGGATTCCAGGCGTGTCAAGGGTGGGGACAGGGAGAGGCGTCTGGGAGGCTGCAGCCACAACCACCAGAGACAGGGTGACGATGTGTGTGCAAGCTCTCTCCAGGCAAACCATAGAGTCTGCTCTGGCTATAAGCGTGCTGTGAACAGGAGAAAAGAAAAGAGCCGACCACCTACTACACCCAAGCACAAGGTTCACAGCTGCATAAAACGGGGCCTGTCTTACAGAGAGGAATTCCCGGCCCGCCTTCCCTGAAGCAGCCCACTGGAACCTCAGGGAACACACGGGGCAGAGAGGCCCTCGGCGTACCATCAAAGGAAAGCGGGCAGCCCCAGTGTCCCGTCTAACTCAAACACGCCAGCCTCAAATCTGCAGAATAAACAGCGACGTGGAAGACCCAAATGTTTAGGACTTCCAGAATTCGAACCATCGGTCCTAAGGGGGGCTCCAAAAGCTGTAACAGGGCATGTGCACATAATGGGACAGCCGTGTTGCTGAGAGTACCATAGTCTAAGGGGCAACCAGACAAGCAGGCATCCAGTGGACTCAGTGCTGTCTGCCTCTCAGGCTTGCACAGGGACGACAACACAGCCCACATTTAGGACGCCCAGGCGATTCAACAGTCGGGCTTCCTAATGTCCCCACTTCCCACTCCGGCGAAGCACAAGCCCACGGCCCCACAGGCTGGTAGTGCTCCCGGCACCACCACGGCATCCACCTAAACCACATGAGTGGCTGATGGTACTTGGTGGCAGAAAAAAATTTATTTTTCATGGCTATTTGGAGACCTCTGGAAAAATGAATTTCGTTTCATCTCCCTTTTAACATGAATGGCGTTTAAATAACAATGTTCTGAATTAAGCAGTTGGCGCCAGAGGCCAGTTCCTGCCATATTAAAAGGAAGAGACCCAGAAACAGAAACTCTTCTTTTTCCCCTACTGGTAGTCGTTTTCCAGGCCTGCTGCACTAAAAACTGTCAGGTCTAAAAACCGTCCTTCCAGGACCATCTTTGCAGCTCTGTGTCTTTCCCTCTTAACCATTTCCACTGCTGGTATCCTGTGCAATGAAAACACACAGAAACAGACTAGCCGGGTGTGGTGACGTGCACCTGCGGTCCGACCTATCCAGAGGCGGAGGTGGGAGAATCGCCTGAGTCCTGGAGTTGCAGACCAGCCTGGGCAGCACAGTGAGACCACACCTCAAAAACATAAAAACGAACATGTTAAAAGGGAGAAATCACCAGCCTCCTTGTAAGCTGTTTACAAACAAGGTAGCCCAGGTCCCTTGTGGCCTGGGCTTCGGGTCTGTGTGAAGGGGGAGATTGGCTCACCTGGGGGAGGAAGAGGACCGTGTCTGACTGCCTCACAACCTCCCACAAAGACATCACAAGATGAAAACTAGCTTTGCAATCTCCCTTCTGAACAGGGAATAAGGGGCATTGGGGAAGCCCCTCTCATCCTCAGGACTCATGCTCAGCCCACCTCAAAATCAGGCATGAGATAGTATTTTAATTTAAAAAAAGAAAAGCATGTGTCAAAAACACTTCATCCCTATCACCTGATCATAAACCTGGCCACGTGGTGTGGCTGATGCTCACCAAGTATAAAGGGCCACGGCTGAGACCCCACCCGTGGTCCCCGCTGTAACCAGGGGTCTCCCCGTGGATTCGGCTGGGTCACATCCAGCACAAGACAGTCAAGTGCGGCTCAGTTCATTCTGCTCTCACAACCGAAAGGGGTTCTGTTACATTGAAATCGTTTCACCAAACAAAACTGGAGCTGCCACCTAGGATGTCAAACTGAGAAGGGATCCAAACGGCGTTCCCAAACGCCACCCCAAAGCCTCCTGGTGGGGGCCTAACACGGGAGCCCTGGAAAAAGGGAAACACTCCTGTTTGTGGCTAAAGTTCTGTGAACCCGGCTACACGCATGCAAACACGAAGGGGGAGATTCTGCATTAGAATTACATAACCAGGCCTGCAAATTGAAAGAAGGTTTCTATCTGAAGCCGCATTCCACAAACGCTGCTCATGTCTTGGCTTAGGCACAGACTTCCAGGGTCTGGGTCCTGGAACAGGAGGTGTGCCGGTTTTTATTACTGTCATCGGAGCCGGCCCCGCACCGCACAGCACCTTTCTGATTAATGATGCTTTGGTTGTAAAGAATACTCTAACAACAAGAGCCCTGGGGAATTAGGGATGGTCAAAGAATGAGCCCTGGTGGCAAGGTTCCAGAAGCACCCCAGGCACGTGCGTCTTATTAAAGGGCTCAGCATAGTCATCGAAATAACACCTGACGCGTGGCACATTATAAAACCAACGTGAAGATGCCTACACATCAGATCCCAGAAGCAGACGGACATCTAAGGAAATCTGTTCACTGGTCTTTAAATCACCCATTTTGAGATATAAACTGGCACCTGTCTACATTTAAAAATCATACTTAAAATAAAATCTGGTTTTCTTTTCTGAACTCTTCTCTTTGGTACATATATGGAACTAAATATGAGTAATGCAGGAAGATAAACGCTGTTCTGAAGCTCATGCACTGCTTTGAATCTGTGCAATCAAGCAGGAAATCAGTCAGCAAGCAGTTAACATACAAACTGCTGTGTGTGTGTGTGAAAGAAATAGATCACACCTAGAGAAAAGGGCAGAAAACGTAAATGTGTACAGTTTTAACAAATTGCTCCAAAAATTCCCTGGAACTTAAAGCACTTTGGAACAATGTTTCCAGATTATAACTGCCACTCCCATATCCATTCCGACAGTTTAGCTAAACCAACTCTAGCTCTAACTGACAATTGGTTTGTGATACCAGAACACTGTCAAGATGAGCCTATAAACGTCTTTCTGGGGCCGGGTGCGGTGGCTCACAACTGTAATCCCAGCACTTTGGGAGGCCGAGGCGTGTGGATCACGAGGTCAGGAGATCCAGACCATCCTGGCTAACACGGTGAAACCCCGTCTCTACTAAAAATAAAAAAATAAGCCGGGCATGGTGGCAGGCGTCTGTAGTCCCAGCTACTCGGGAGGCTGAGGCAGGAGAATGGCGTGAACCCGGGAGGCGGAGGTTGCAGTGAGCTGAGATCACGCCACTGCACTCCAGCCTGGGCGACAGAGCGAGACTCTGTCTCAAAAAAAAAAAAAAAAAAAAAAAAAAAGTCTTTTTGGAAGCTTCTTAGTAACTATCATCTGTTTCTTTAAGAGGTTTCATAAAAGGCTTTACCACTTGCCATGTCACTGCAGACCAAAGAAAAATCTATATGAAGAGATTCCATGACATCAATGTCCCAGTGTCGGGGGTATGCAAACCTGAGTACACTCAGGTGTACACGCACGGTGCATGGCAGAGCTGGGAGACACGTCCACAGGCTAAACACTGTGCGTCCTGCAGCTAATTGTGTAGAGAACAACATTTTAATGGCAAAATACAGATAAAATGAAAAATTACAAGTTGTTTTTGTTTGTTTGTTTGTTTGGCAAGGCTGCAGGGGCCTGAGCACGCCAGAGATGCCAATCGTCCTTGAGGGCGGGAGGTAGTGCAGCCAGCTTAGGCCTTAGAACCCTGGAGCCGTCCCCGTGCCAGAGCCAGGAGGCAGAGTGGGCAGCCACTCTTTTGGTTTCAGAAGGTCACTGGCTGCTCTGTCTTCACGACACTCCCAGGTCATCAGGACACAGTAGGTACCAGTGCACCTTCTCACACAGACCTTGTCTTCAACACAGGTCACAATGGACACTTGCCATCAAGAGATGCTTCTGCTACCTCCAAGGCACCTGGCAGTGTCTGAGCGGACACTTCCAAGAGGCTGGGACCCCGCCAGTCTCTAGGAGGGTAATGAAACCCACCATGGGAATCTGACCCTAACTCCAGGACGCCTGGCTTCTGACAAGCACATTGTGGACTCACACAATCTCGTGAGTCCAGCCAGGGTCCCGCCTGGTCAGAAATACCATGGCACCCTCTGCTCAGAACATGAGGCCACCTCTGCTCTCTCTATGGAGCTGGCAGGACTGTGGCTGTCCTTTAAAATCAAATGGTGCTCCCCAGCCTCTAGACAACGGGAATGCATTAGAAGAGAAGAGATTTCACAGTCCCCAAATCCCGTGAAAGCAAGACGGATTCCACGGTGGAGGGAACCCCAAGTCTTGTGTGAACCAGGGAGCTGTACCCGTCCACGTCGGCAGCCCGGCCCTCCCAGCAGCATGGGCTTCGAGACCCGCCTATGAATCTCTTCAAGCTGACCCCAGGCCCGAGACATCCGAGACCTCAGCACAGTCTCATGCCCGATTGAATCATACTACACTTGAGCCTTCATCAAGCATGATTCCTTTAGTTTACTAGGAAAAAGACAATGAGAGAACACCATGTTTTCCCTCATTTTTAACTAGTCCCGCTAGAACTTCCTATGCTAACATCCGCGATAATGCCAACTGCCTTGCAGAAGGGAAAGAAGCTGCCCCGGCCGTGTGGCCTGGCCAGGATGGCGCTCACCCCACAGGGCTCTGGCCCGGGTCTCCCGCCTGTGCCCGCCGAGGCCCCCGCCGGGTCGCACATCTCACCCCACCAGCAGCACACTCCTCACAACCTGGGAATTTTCTGGCACTTCAGGAACCAACTAACTGCTGCGCTGCACAGTGACAGTCTGTCATGAGGAGTAAAGAGGTGGCAGGCTGGTGTTCAAAATGAAATGTCACTTCTTAAAACTGTTATGGCTTGGGAAGCTTCAGCTTAAATATGTCATGGCAGAAAATAACCTCATTCTTTATAGCCTCTAAAGTTGGGTGAAGTTTCACTGACTTCTTAGAGAATAGGTAACATGTGCGAACACAAGAAGATCTGACGGAAACATCAACTTTCTCAATTAAGCAAGGTGGCCAAAGCCACCAATTCCTGCCCCGAGCAGGTGCCGGGGGCTCTCTGTGGCCACTGTGGAGCAGCCTGGACAGTCTCGTCCACTGGCTGAGGGGAAGTTCCTCTTTCTCCTCGTCCAGACATCGACATGGGATTACACCCCTCCCCACCAAGGAAGGACCTTGTACTAGCAAAGTACCAAGTGTTTGTTTGCAAAGAAGCCATGTGAAGAAAGCCATGGTTAATACAAATTTCCACCTGCACTGGGATGGAATTTGTACATTCAGAACGTGTGGTTTTTGTGTCATGTGACCCACTTAATGATATAATCAGTCAACACTGGGATTCACCATAATGTGTGTCTCCAGGTTCAACAACCAAACCCTTGTGTGCGCAGATCCTACGGACAAAGAGCACTGTGGGATGGGGGCTCCAGGACGGGCACCCACCCCAGCCTCAGGGCAATCTCCGGCAACCGTCCAGGAGTCACACACCCACACAGGAAAGGAACAGTAGCTTTCTGCAAAGCCTACAGGCACTTCTGGCCACCTGAGGCAAAGGCATTACCTGTGTCCAGGGGCCCAAGGCAGTAAGCCCCTCCTCTCCCAGCCTGTGACCCCTGCAGGGCCCCCATGCCCTTCCCAGGCATTCCTTGGTGCATTCTACAAATGCTAAGATGCACCCTGCCAAGAAGATCTGAGTAAAACTTGGGAGGAGCTATTTCCGGTGACCTCCAACCCCCACCAGACTCAGCAGCATTCTGATGGCTTCTTTATCTCCCACTCACCCTTACCCAATTCTTCTCCATTACGTTCTGTGGTTCTGTGGTTCTGTGTGCATTAAGTCCCAGCAGCTCAGTTCAGCACACAGGGCCCTTTGCTGCCTGCTCGGTCCAGACCACTGGTCAGTCCATCTCCCATCGGCCCTGCGTGCCCTGCACCGGCACGCTTCCTTCTGCACCCATGGGCCTCGGTCTGCAAACAGCAGAGGGATGTTCTCATGGCAGGCAGCCTGCATGTCCTCCTGGAGCTGCGACTCCTGTACCATGCTGGCACTAGCACCGGGGAGGCTGCACAGGCCTCAGCTGCGGCCCCCTGGACAGCAAGGTGCAGCCTCGGCCTCGTGGGACTTGCCCTGGGCCTGGGGTGGACAGCACACACTTCTTGAGCCGACACTGTGGGCGGATGGAGACCCCCTGACCCCAGCAGGTAGACGCTCCCTCCAGCAGCTCTGGTCACATCTCCCCAAGGTACCAGGTGGAAACACCCTCCCTGGGGGCCTGGGAGAGAGCCTGGACTCCTGCAGGACTGAGGTGGGTCTCTCAGCAGCTGCTCTTGGATACAGTTTGAATCTAGCCCCGGCTGTGAGCCAGACTGCCAGAGGTTCCCTCTCTGAGGCTACCAGTGGGTGACTTCCTTTCTTACATGAGGTCACTGAAGTCCCTTCCATCCAGTAATCTGGAAGAATCTTCACACTGCAGGTCTCTGAATTGCAGTGAGCTGTGAGGCCAGTGACTCCCACCAAGAGGCTGGGCGGGGCCTCGCTCACTGCATCCAGAGCTTCCCTGAACTCACCCTGCATGCAGCCACCCCGGGCAACAGGGGGACACACGGATTGAAATCCCGTGTCCAGCCTGGTGTGACCTCCTCACTTCCCAAATAATGAAACTGAGGGAAAAGGGGCACTTGGAGCTGGTGAGGTCACTCTGACGATGTGCGGGGCCTGAGCTCTGAGAGGCCCAGACACCAGCTCTCCATCCCCACCTGAGATCAGAACTGGCCCTGAAACTGCTTCCAGGAGGGCCATGCCCAGTCAGGCTGGGCACCCGGACATCTGACAGGAATCCGGGGACAGCAGGTGGCGGGGCAAGCCTGCGTGCCGTAGGGGCCCCGTACGCGCACCGTAGGGGCTCTGCACCCTCACCGTAGGGGCTCTGTAGGCACACCTTAGGGGCTGTGTACCCGCACCGTAGGGGTTCTGTATGCACACCATAGGGGCTCTGCACCCGCACTGTAGGGGCTCTGTACCCGCACCATATGGGGTCTGTACATGCACCATAGGGGTTCTGTACCCGCACCGTAGGGGCTCTGCACCCGCACCATAGGGGCTCTGCAGGCACACCTTAGGGGTTCTGCACCCTCACCGTAGGGGTTCTGTACCCGCACCATAGGGGGTCTGCACCCTCACCGTAGGGGTTCTGTACCCGCACCGTAGGGGCTCTGCACATACACTGTAGGGATTCTGCACCTGCACTTTAGGGGTTCTGTAGGTGCACCTTAGGGGCTCTGAAAGCATACCATAGGGGCTCTGCACCGCACCATAGAGGCTCTGCACCTGCACGGTAGGGGCTCTGTACATGCACTGTAGAGGCTCTGCACCTGCACCGTAGGGGCTCTGCACCTGCACCATAGGGGCTCTGTACATGCACCACAGGGGCTCTGTACTCGCACCATAGGGGCTCTGTATGCGCACGGTAGGAGTAGACAAGGAGATGGAAGGAGATGCTTTAGGACACGTGCATACAATGGGACACTCCAGTTTCGGCAACCTCGGTCTAGCATCATGGGTAGCAGCCCCACTCCTCCTCTGGGTCCTGTCTGCAGCAGCTCTAACAGCAGGGTCAGGTAGCTGTGCCAGCGGCTGTACATCACAGAGCCAGAAATATTTCTGGCCTGGCCCATTTCAGGAAACATTTGCCATCCTGATCTGAAGGATCCTGAAAGCATCTGTTTTGTCTGATCCCATCTTTTTCTGCCCACTGATGAACACGTCATGAGCTCACGCAGATAAACCAGATGCTTGCTGCACTGCCTGTGGCACTACAACCTCAACAGTGATGCTGTCACAAACGTTTTCTGGAATTTTCTTTATTCTTTTTCTTTTTTGGTAGAGATAGGGTCTTGCTATGTTGCCCAGGCTGAACTCAAACTTCTGGCTTCACGCAATCCTCCCATAGCACTGAGATTACAGGTGTAAGCCACTGTGCCTGGCTGGAATTTTCTAAGTCATGGTGTAGAGAGGCCGGCTATCCTCTAATGCAAAGCAATGCCAGGAGCCACAAGTCAACACCCACGAGCCACTGATGTGCCGGCCACCAGTCAACACCCATGAGCATTAAGCCTGCACACCACTGAGAACAAAGAGAATTAAATCCTCTTTACCCTTAGCAAAGACTAAGTTTCATGAAATTTCTGCAGGGAAGAATTCTTGCATGAGACACATGGGATGATTTATGACTCAGTGTCCCGAATGGAAGAGCCTGGTGTTCCAGACACGTTCCAGCGGCTCCCGGTGTTCCCAACATGCTCCGGTGGCTGTGGACAAGTGGGCCTTGACGGCACTGAACTCCGTAAAGGTCTCGTGCTCCTGGAGCGACAGGCTCCATCTCACCGCAAGGCCACGCAGCAGAGGAAGTGCGCCCCGCTTCCAAATGATTAATCCGATGCTCTAGTCCACAAGGCAGGAAATTTTATGTTCTAAATTAGTTACATTATACCCAAAACCTATCAGTGGCTTGATAACTTGAACATATAATTCTATACCTTTTACTCTTTAAACAATAATTCAGTCTAATCCTGCAGCTGAAGCCAAGATTTCCAGGCTGAAAGTGCACTTTCCATTTGATTAAATACTAATAAATGCAAGAATAAAATACCAGTCTTTTATCTTACAGTAAATTCTTCAAAAACCATATACTCTAACAATTAATTATTTCTCTGGAGAAAGGGACAGGCCTTTCCCCTCGAAGACAGCTTGGTAGTCTCCGAGTCTTAATTATGACAGATAAAACATAATTTATAGTAGTCCAGGGCTTACAGAAAAATGACATCATAGTCGAGGTTCTTTGATTCTTGAAGTGACCTGTCAGTAGTCAGGGCTCTGGGAGGAGTGCCCCAGACAATCACCACCAGGCCCAAGAGTCAGGACAGTCCCTCTTCCTGCGGAGACATGCCCCATGCACAGAGCTACTATAATACAAACGGCAAAATATGTATGTATACAGCTGATGCTCGGACAGTGCAGGGGTTGGGCTGTTGAAGCCCCACACAGTCAAAAATCCACATAACCTTTTGACTCCCCCAAAACTTAACTGCTAATACCCTACTGTTGAATGGAAGTCTTAATGATAACATAAACATTCAACTAACACATATTGTGTATGTTACCCATATTATACACTGTATTCTTACAGTAAAATAAACTAGAAAAAGTTATTAAGACAATCCTAAGGACGTGAAAATCTATTTACTATTCATTAAGTGGAAGTGGATTATCATGAAGGTCTTCATCATCTCCATGGTGAGTAGGCTGGGGAGGGGGAGGGGGAAGGGAGGGGAGGAGGGGGAGGGGGAAGGGAGGGGAGGAGGGGCAGGGGGAAGGGAGGGGAGGAGGGGCAGGGGGAAGGGAGGGGAGGAGGGGCAGGGGCAGTCTTGCTGTCTCTGCGGTGGCTGAGGTAGAAGAACATCTAAGTGTAAGTGGATCCACACAGTTCAGACCTGTCTTGTCCAAGGGCCAAATGTGTGTGTGTGTGTGTGTGTGTGTGTGTGTGTGTGTATGTGTGTGTATCTGTACACACATCATTTAGAATTTTCTCATCTTTAAGATTTATAAAGTTTTTTCACATATTTCGTGAATTAAGGAAGTAAACCAAGTGAAATGCTGCTGAAAGAAGGTGGCAAATTTCAGAGATGAAAAATTTTTTTTCTATCATTATAAACAGAGCATCTGGCCAGGACACCAATGCTGGACACGGTGAGATACGCTTCCTGATGTGGAGACCATGTGAGAGTGGTGCCCGGTGCAGCCATCCCACATCCTCCCAAAGGACGATGGAGACAGCGCTCCCTCCCCAGAGATGCCTGCCACTGGGAGCCCACAGAGGTGCGAAATATCTCCAAATAAGGCAGGCAGGCCCGAGCCACACAACATCTGCTAAAGCATTCGCATATTCTCACTGCGGGTGACAAAGCCACAACCCATCATGGTAGGGAACTGGGGGAAAACTTCTGTGGGAAACCCAAAGGAGAATACTCATTCATTCAATCAGCAGTCCCGGGCTGCGGCGTCGCAGTTACATTTGGGAATATGCTTTCCCGTGGGGTCACAGTGAGGGTTTGGAGTCAGGGTGTGGAGACAGGAAGCTGGTCTGGGCCTCAGCCCACCCTGAGCAAACAGGGCCCCAGACTTTTTCCTCCTCTGCAACAGGAAAAGGACAGAGGCGAGCGCTCTCGCTCATGGCCACCCCACCCTCAAGAAGCCTTGTGCGACATACGGCCTCATGAGACAGGTGAGCCCCAGCGCAGGTGCCATGCCCATGTGTGACGCCGTGACACCCTTCCTCCCGTGAACAGTAAAGCAGACTGGCGATCCAGCACTGGGCAGCCAAAAGGTAAACCGAGGTAGAGAAAGTTGCCAGAGCCATCAAATGAGCCCCAAGCACGTGTCAGTCATGTGGCAACTGAGGACACAGGAGGGGCACAGTGCAGGGAGGCCACAGAACAGAGGTGAGGTGGGGCAGGGAGGCGACAGAAAGATTCACGATGTGCTCTGGGGAGCCTGTGCTGGGCTGCGTGTTTCCTCCTAACACCCACCCATCCCATTACTAGAAATGAGCTAAGGGGGCCCGTGCCCTCTGGCCAAAGAGGACCACAGGACCTCTGAGGTCCATTCAGAAGACTGCCCCTCGCTGTCCAGGAGCCATGGGCGGAGCACCAGAAACCCCCAAGCGGAGCTCCAGCTATGACCTCTCCTCCCATTCTAAGGTGTCCCTAAGGCCTTCTTCTACCCTCTGTGCTCACATGGCCAGTCTTACCTGGAGAAGCTGGAGTGGGAGGGACGGATGCGCAGACAGCTGACTGCTGGACACCAGTTTGTTTCCATTGGAGCCCCACCACCAACCGCACTCGGGGTAGAACTGTCGACATTGCTAACCCCAATATTCTATAAGAGTTGGTATTTACATTTTGATGCTGCATAAATTCTCAAAGGTCTCCACTTTCACCGATGGCGGATTTCCATTTCTGCTATGAGTGCACATAACATTAGCGACCCATAAGCTAACGACAAAAACCTGGCTGAGTTTCCAAAGGGAAGGAGATGAGCAGGTGCCAAGAATACCGCTCCTTCCATCTCATTAGAAACAAGAAATACTGGGCCTGAATCTGTAAAATGTTATTGGTGGTGGGGGCTGGGGTGGGGGAAAGCTGTTTTCCCAAGCTGCTTCGTATTGATTCAGCTTTTTATTAAAATTAATCTGATAAAAGTTTGAAGTAGATTTCCATTGAAGAGGAATTCTTTACAGTATTGGGAAAGGGAAGGCAACGTGCTACACGGTTTTGATTCTGCTTCTATAGCAGCTCACCTGGGTCCAGCCAGTGTCTCACCTGTTCATCACACAGCTCTCCCATCTGCTTTCTGGAAACACCATGCCGGGTAAGAGGAGGGACACACCTGTATCCCTTCACCCCACCCCACGCCACTGTGATATCAGCACGCCCCCGGCCCCACTAACTCTTCCTTGCTCTGCTCAGCCATGCACGTTTCACTGAGGCAGCCACTGCCTCTAGAAAGAATTCCCTATTTGGTGATTTCAATTATGAATGTGCTCCTCTGTGGCAACACGTTTCTAACAGCAAAGCTGATGTGGGTCGTGATGAGATCTTGCCCACCATACAGACATCAAAGACAGAAAGGGCCTGGGCTATTGGCTGGAACTTCAAATGGAGCAATAAAAATAGCAAGAGGGGCTGGGAAGAGACGAACTTACAATAAAATATTTAAAGAACTAATATAAAAACTGTCATGAGCTCTTCCTTGGACGTTTAAGCTGGGAACCAGCACAGAGTGAGGCTGCTCACACCCAAACCTGTAGACACCACATACAGAGTTCAAGTTCAAAGACTGCGTTTAGATCCTGTTCCCTGGATGATCACCGTCTCATTAATTAAAATAAAATAAAATAAAAAATAAAACAGACCCTTCACAGAAAGACTGTTTTGCTCTTTTCCCTTGCTGTGGATTTCTCAGTAGCAGGCAGAGACATTTAAATGTGAATTTGAAGACTGCACCTCTGTTAGAGGCTGTCATCAACATGGGTAATTACTCCCGCTAAGTAAACCTGCTTTTACAGTCCACAGGCCCACCTGTATGCAGGCCACGCTAGCTTTCTTCCCTTGAGGTCATACCACTTACAGGATGCCTCAAGACGTCAAGGTCACAAACTCTGGCATGGCCACATTCAAAGGTCCATAACCCAGAGCCAGAGCCCAAATCTGCAGGCAGAAACTGCCCCGCGCTCAGCCAGGAAGGGATAAATATCCGCAATACACTCTGTATCTAGGGGACTGGAGCTTCCACTAAAGCACCAACTTTCCCATTAAAGAGCCAGCTGAAACATGTGCTATCAAGTAATGAGACAGGACACGTGCTATCAAGTAATGAGACAGGACCCTCACCCCAAGGACTCTGCACTGTATCTAAGGAGCACTGCCCTTCAACGGGGCCTTGCGGAAATCCCCCAAATCTGGGAACACCACAAGTGGAGTCCCCAACCCCACACTCCGCCCTGTGCTCACCACCTCCTGGCTGGACTGTGGGCTCCCAGGGCCGCAGCTGCTGCTCCTGACGGGGCCTTGGCGAGTGGGGAAGCAGCAGCTGTGGGTCCCGCCTGTCCTGCACACGTGTCCTCTCAGACGAGACACCAGGCTGCACTGTGCCTGCAGGTGGATCTGCTGCTGCTGGACAGTCAGCACACGTCTCTCAATCCCCTGAACTGTGCCCTCCTTCCTGCCCCCAGCCACTGCAGGAAGCTGAGGAGCGGAGAAGGGGCAGACCCCAACCCTTTCTCTCAGGTCCCATCTGTCTGCTGGGTACTGGTTAGAGTCCAATGACCCCCAATACCTGACACAGCTTCCGGAAAATCTGCATGGGCCCAGCTTCTGTCAGTCCTGATGCTGACAGCAAGAGGGGCAAGGCCATCTCCGGGTGGGGCATGCTCACTGTGTTAGGCCATCTGAGCTGCCATAACAAAATCCTATAGACTGCGTGGCTCATAAACAACAGACATTTCTTTCTCACAGTTGTGGAGGCCAGGAAGTCTAAGACCAAGGCGCCGGCAGATTCAGTGCCTGGTGAGGCCCCACTTCCTCGCAGATGGCGCCTTCCTGCTGCATCCTCAATCGTCGAGGGCTCTACCTCTTTGGAGTCTCTTTCATAAGGGCACTAACCTAATCTCCCCCCAAAGGCCCCAACTCTTAATACCAACAACTTACGGGCGAGGTTTCAACATGAATTTTGTGGGAGAACAAACATTTGGACCATAGTACTCACTGTATGCAAAAAAGCAAGAAGGAATCAGACTGAACTAGGAGAAATTATAGTGGTTTAAATGAAAATATAATGTTTAATATAGAAAAATCATTTGGCCAAATTATTTGATTTGAAATACTTCTAATATACACGGGGAAAGATATACATAAAATCCACATTTATACATGGAATCTATGTTTCAATAAAAACAAAAGACTACAATAAAAATAAATGACACAATGACAAAGTATTGTGCATTGTTCTTCCTTGGAAATAGGAATTATTACAAAATTATATGTAAACAATACCCAATCTTTGTTCAAATAATTGATTGATATAATTGTATCTCTCTCATATTGATATATTCTCACTATCACGAGGAAAACCTCTATTGTATATTTCAAACACGAACAAAAATATAAAACTTTGTGAATGTTATTACAAAATTCAGCAGGTACATTTTATCTAAATTGCAGCAGAATGAATTCTTCAAACAACATTCACAGATGAAAATCTCAGAGATCTGCAGTGTTCATTTCAAAGGTAGCCTGAATTAGAGGAAAAATGCTGGTTGTCAAGAATGAAAAAGCTTTGATAATTAACTACTTCTTTAAACTCTAAGAACCTAACCTATTAGCAAGCAAACTCACATTAAGTATCTGTTTGTAAACGTTTTTTAGAGAAAAGATACTGCCATTTTCTCCACTTCTACGACTACCCACAGGACTTACTGCACACTGACTGTAACTGGGGCTCAGCCGTGGAGTTTGGAAGCCTCTGTCCGCAATGAAGAAAAGACGCTCCAACATCCTCATGAAGGTCACAGCAAGAGTGTGATAAAACTCACTGCATCATGGCCTTCCCTTGTTTTACAACAACCTTTAGAAAGTCAAGACATTCTAGTTCTCCTTGTTTTCCGATGCTGAACACCAAGGCCAGGATAAAGTGTCAAGAACTGCCTTGGTGGTCCCCGAGGCTCTGAAGAGGAGCCGCGGGGTCACGTTTCCTGCCACACCCCTGCACTCCTAGACCTGGCACTGTGGATTCTGGGCCTCCTGCTCTGAGCTGCTGCTCCAGACACCTGCCAGCAGCCAGGGGTCGCCGGTGGTGCCAAATAACCAGGTGTGTCAGAGGTAACGTCCCAGACACTCCTTTTGTTTAAATGTTAGGAAATATATTTTTATTGTGGCAAAATGCAATATTTATGTTAACTATTTTGTAAGTGTGTAATTCAGTGGCATTAAATACATTCACAAAGTTGTGTATCCATCACCTCTATCTATAGCCAAAATTTTCTCATTAACCTCAGCAAAAGCTATGTCCCCATTTAACAATAGCTCTCCCCACCCCCCAGCACCCACTATTCTACTTGATCTCTGAATCTGCCTGTTCTGGGTGCCTCATGTCTGTGGACCCATATAGTACTTGTCCTTTTGTGACTGGCTTATATCACTCAGCGTAATGTCTTTAAAGTTTGTCCATGTTGCAGCATGTGCCAGAATTCCCACCCTTTCTAAGGCTGAATAATGTTCCATTGCATGGATAGGCCACATTTAATGTATCTGTTCACTCACAGATAGACGTTTGTGTGTGTTCTCCTTTTGGCCACTGTGAATGATGCTGCTATGAACACCAGTGTACAAATATCTACTCAAGACCCTGCTTTCAATTTTGGGGGGTATGTCCTTAGGGGTAGAATTGCTGGGCCACATGGGAATTCTATGCTTCATGTTTTCAGGAACCTCCAGAAGTGTCCCACAGCAGCTGCTCCATTTCACATTCCCACCAGCAACACACAGGGTTCCAATTTCTCCACATCCTCACCAACACTTATCATAAACGTTATCAAATATACTTATATTCAAGGCACTGAACGGCACAGACTACAATTCAACAACTGCTTCACGCATCGCTAAGCCACAACTCAACTCAGAAACACTTAATAGTAAGAGTTGTTTAGTGACATTGATGGTACTTCCTTCATGCCAGGCACTCACTTTCCTCTTCTCTAATCCTTACAAGAGCCCTGCAAATGAGACACAGTCCATTCCTCTGATGATGAAAGACCCGAAGCTCAAAGGCATGAGAACGACCCTTCCAGAGACCTGGTGTGGGGAAGTCACAGGGAGGCTGTGGTCTGACTCTAGGGTGTTGAACACGCCTCAGGTGGTGAGATTAGTTGAGACACTAGTTTATTAACTATAGATTTAAATTAACGTGTAACAGAATAAACAAAATGAGCATAGCAAACACTTGTTCTCACTGCAATTCCTTAGGAAGAAGTTAAAGCGGGTGTTTAAAAATAAGTTGATATAAAGAAAACAAGAAGCAAGCAGTACTACAGGCAGTCCGCAAACAGGTGAAACTGATCGCTGAGGGAATGACAACTCAGGTCAATTAAAGCAGGGATGGCTGCCAACACCTCGCCGCCTCTACCCCACCACGTGCGAGGGCAGAATCAGGGCCTGTTTCTTTCTGCGCCCCCCATCTCCAGCATCCTGCATCTGCAGAGCAGACACTTAGCAAATTGAATTCACTGCCCTTTCCTGGCCAGCCACACACCCAGGACTGAGCCCTGAGCTAGGCGGCTTTAAATCCTCGACCTGGAAAGAGGACAGCCAGACTCAGACCTAAGGAAGAGCAGCAGCCAGCCTTGGGGAGAAGGTACCACGAGACAGCGCCATTCCCTCCACAGCGGCCAGTGCTGGGAGCTTGTGCAATGCGGATTCCGATACAGCAGGAGTGGGTAGGCCCAGGTGATGCTGCCAGCCCAGACGCCACTTTGCATAGGGGGGCTCTAGGCCTGCACAGATAAAACTAGTCCCAGCTCTAATGGGATCTAGGGCTCTTGTTAACCTATTCAGAGCTCTGCCCTTAGTATATGCTAGGCCCCTCATCTGATCCCCAATAGCCCTGGGAAGGTCTCCTCACTAAAAAACTGATGGCCAGGTGAATATGGCTGTGTTAAACAAAACACACAACCCAGAACCTTGGTGCTGGCTTAACGCAACTACTTTGGGTGCCATCAGTGTTCTGACCATCAAGAAGCTCACTGCTTAATTCCTGGCATATTCAAAGATGTTTCCCATTACAAGAAGCACGTGGCTGCGTCTGGTATACGGGGTTCCCATCACATGAAGCATGTGGCTGCGTCTGGTATATGGGGTTCTCATCATGGGAAGCACCAGGCTGCATCTGGTATACGGGTTCCCATTACAGGAAGCACATGTCTGTGTCTGGCTGCAGATGGTATACGGGGTTCTCATCACAGAAAGCACGTGGCTGCATCTGGTATACCAGGTTCCCATCACAGGAAGAATGTGCCTGTGTCTGGTATACGGGGTTCCCATCACAGGAAGCACGTGGCTGCATCTGATATACAGGGTTCCTACTGCATGAAGCACGTGCCTGCATCTAATATACCGGGTTCCCATCACATGAAGCACGTGCCTGCATCTAGTATACTGGGTTCCCATCACATGAAGCACGTGGCTGAGTCTGGTATATGGGGTTCCCATCATGGGAAGCACCAGGCTGCATCTGGTATACGGGTTCCCATTACAGGAAGCACGTGTCTGTGTCTGGCTGCGGACGGTATACAGGGTTCTCATCACGGAAAGCACGTGGCTGCATCTGGTATACCAGGTTCCCATCACAGGAAGAATGTGCCTGTGTCTGGTATACGGGGTTCCCATCACAGGAAGCATGTGGCTGCATCCGATATATGGGGTTCCTACTGCATGAAGCACGTGCCTGCGTCTAGTATACCGGGTTCCCATCACAGGAAGCACGTGGCTGCATCTGGCTGCGTCTGGTATCTGGGGTTCCCATCATGGGAAGCACATGCCTGCATCTGGTATACTGGTTTCATTTATTTTCCTGCCCTTATTCTGTACCTGAACCCATCATCTATTTCTTACGAATTTTTATTTTCATCAATATGTACACTTCTATCAACTTCCTAAAACTCTTTGACACATATCTGTTACAGATCAATGAAATTACTAAACTGAAATAACCAGCAAGCCCCCAATGCATGACAGAGCTTCAGATCTGTCAGCCATAATTTCCAATAGAGCCAATAATGTATCCATTCTCACTCATCAATTCCAGTGTTTTCCCCAAGACACGTGGTTCCTATCATATTTGTCATCCACCAAAACCCTTCCTCAAGGGCACCCGCAGGCCCTCAACGTGCTCCCACCACCAGGTGTGGCTCTGCACCGATTCAGTCCTCTCACCTGTTCAACATCTTCCAACATTTCACCCATTCTCAGGTGTCAATTCCAGCGTTTTCCCCAAGGTATGTAACTTCCTACAAAACCACATATTTCTAACAACTATGTTATATTTTAGCCTCTATGAAAGACCGGAAAATATTCTCCGAGGGATCATCTCTGTGGCGCATCCCATGAACATTTCCTTTCCTTAGATGCCCCCACCTGGCAACTCCTGGAGTCCTGGTACTGGTGTTCTCCCGAGGAGACAGGGAACAGGACTTGTCAGGCAGAGGACAGCACCCTGCGGGAAGAACCCAGGCCGCTCCAGGACCCCAGATGGACACTGTGCATCCTGGCACGGCAACCTTGCCATGCTCCCACCTCCAATCTGGCCTTAAGGCCCTCCAACCCTGACCCCAGGATTCTGCCCAGCACTAGGAAACAGCCCCCAGGTGGGTGCCCCAAGTCTCTGCTGCTCTTCCTTTTCATTCTGGTGCTGGAGCCATTTGGTGTCATCCAATTTACGGGACCTTTCTCAAAAGCTGTGGACAGGAGATGCTTTCTAAAACCCAGAAGTTAGGTTTGATTAAAAACAAAATTACATATATAGATTTCAATGGACCAAGCAACTCTGTATCCCAGAATCCCATGAAAAAGCTAAATTGACAATACTTAGAGAAATAAATTGGCAGAACAGAATTACTTGTCTAAAGTCACCTCTGGTTAAACTGGAAAATACACGTAAACACAGCATGTCTTTCTTAGTCATCCTAGAGTAGAATTTTAACTCAAGATTTAGGAATTCGATCAATTCTAAACAACTTGGAACTCCAAAATAATTAACTACCATTACTGTAAGCTATTTTCCACTTGATAAAACACACCTTTTTCTATAGAAATCGCACAAGGACACAAGGAAATCCGAATGTGCCAGGCACACACACAGAGAAGGAGCCCAACCACACTAATGCACACAGGAACCGTGTGCAGGGCCTGGTGTGTGCTGGGCGTGGAAGGTGCAATCCTGCATGTCGTCTCGAGGGGCGGGACTATCATGGGCATCCTGTGAACGGCGGCAACGCTCTATGCGAACGCAATAAAAATTAAACCATCATGAAAGGAAACTTCATCCCACACCTTAAAGCAATATAGATTCCAGGCACTTCTGAGTAGCAATAATAAACATCTCATGCAGCTAAAAGGGAAAATTTCAACCCAAAAGGAAAACACACAGAGAACCCTGGTGGAGCCAGGTGATGGCAAGGGCTCTTGGCTTCACCCGGAAATGACGCAACTGCTCCTCAAAGTCGCAGCCCAGCAGAAAAGAGCCGCTTCCTTCAAATAACTGCCAAGTTATTTGATTTTACTGAATTTCATTTTATTATTTCTTTCAAATAAGTAATTAGCAATATCCACAAACCTTGTTCATGACAGAAAATATTACCTTTGCCTTTTTTTCAACCAAGTAAGCAATCTGATCTGAGCTATTTAATGGGGTTTTCCAAATTAACTAAATCTGGCCAGGCCTGGTGGCTCATGCCTGTAATCCCAGCACTTTGGGAGGCCGAGACGGGTGGATCACCTGCGATCAGGAGCTCAAGACCAGCCTGGCCAACATGGTGAAAACCCCGTCTCTACTAAAAATACAAAAAGTCAGCCGGGCATGTGGCAGGCGCCTATAATCCCAGCCACTTGGGAGGCTGAGGCAGGAGAATCACTTGAACCCGGGAGGCAGAGGTTGCAGTGAGCCAAGATCGCACCACTGCACTCCAGCCTGGGCAACAAGAGCAAAACTCCATCTCAAAAGAAATAAAAAAACAAACAAAAAACAAAAAAAAAAAAAAGAAAGAAAGAAAAATTAAATCTGTTGTATACCAGAGAGGTCAGCACCCATTTACCTCGATATACTCCACCTTTAACTTCTAAGTGTAAAACCAGTTTTCTCAACTGACAAACACACTGTTTTAGGTGAAGATCAACTTTTTTCTCCTTTTCCAGCCCTACGACTCCTCTCTTCCTCCTTCCCCTGCCAACCCCTGGTACACACCACCTTCACCCATACCTTCTAGGACCTGCCACGTATCACCAGGTATGTGAAAGCTATCTCTATGGCGGCTTCCAGGCGGGCTGGAGTGGTGTGGCCATCAGAACCACCCGCAAAAGGGCTTTTTACTCCACAAAAGGGCTGGCCCTGCCCCACAGCATCTGTCTACCTACGGGCTAGGACCTACAGGCTGAGAACTGCTACTGGGCTGTACCAGAGGTCCCTAAGAATTAGGGAGCCCCACCCAAGACAGAAAACTAACTTGGTGAGAGAAGGAAATGGGAGACTCCTCAAAAACAAAAATGTCACAGAACAAAGGGCGTCACCTCCCTGCAAAGGACTTAGTATCCCACCCAGAATCCAGTGGCTTGGTACATGTTTTATCTGGGATTCAAACTCTACAAACCTGTGGTGGAATGAGAACAAAAGCTTTCGGCTTGTTTGCTAGCTGCTGAAGTTTAACAGCTAAAACATTTTGAAAGCAGATCCATATTTATTTTGGGAGACGGAAAGGTTTCTCCATCTCACAAGTAACTAATACAATCAAAACCCTGGCAAACACAGCAGTGCGCGAAGAAATACAGTGTGAGGCTGGACAATAAAAAGTTGCACAGAATCCATTTGTCATTTTGGCCCACTCACCAGAGGCTCTGCAAGCCTGCTTCCCACAGCTCAGCTCATAAATCCCCATCTCCTCCGGCCCACTCTCAGGACGTTCCTCCCCCAGCACCGGAACTAGGACTTCCTACATACTGCAGAGCTCACTCCTGGGGCACCCCTGTCCCCAATTCAGCAGGACCCTCTGTGAACAGGGACTGAAAGCCAGATCTCCTCCAGCAGGGCCATTGCTCCCAGTGAGCCTGGCCCTGCCTCCACAGCCTGCTCTGATGCTGTAGGACAGCTGTGCACAGGGCGGCCCGCACCAAACTGGGAAATGTCTGTGTGCCACCAGACAAGACCACTGCGATGTCTCCAGGCCACCCCTGCCCCAGAGGCCTTGTCCTCCATCTACATGCTCCAGAGGGGAGATTCACATCCGTCTGGAAGCCAAACCCAAGGACATGGGATAAATGCAGAGACTGCAGCACCACGCACACCACCCTGGAGAGGCTGGCTCCAACGTCACCTGCCTGACGGCTCACAGAGACCTTTCAACACTAGATCAGTCCTGTTTCACCCGGTCCTCACAGGAACTGGTCGTCGCAGGAACATTTTCACCTAGCTCTCCACTGTAGCCTGGCAAAGCATCATAACATAGCACTGGAACCCCCACTTTAGACACAGGGAAACTGAGGTTTGGGGATCTCAAGTAACCTGGTGATGGACACATGGCCCCTAAGTGGCAGAGTGAAGACTGGGATCCTATTCAGATGGGCTCAGGGCCCACAGCCCTGACTATATTGTGTTGATCTCAAAGAAACCCAGAGAAGATGCCCTGAAGATGACAACATCCAAATCCAAGGACTAAGAAAAGTTTCATAGGAGGAGGAGTTTTGAACAATGGTTAGGAGTTTAAAGGGGGTAGATTAAGAAGGTATTTGTACTATGTACGTTGAATAAACAGAGTGTACAAAGGCAGAGAAAAGAAAAATGTGAAGTATGGAGTTGTACAAATGGCAAGTCGACTCTTTCGGATAGAGCGGATTATAGGAACGAGAGATGGGAGGACAGGGTAGGGCAGCTGGGGCTTTGAAAGCAGTCCGAGGGCTCAGGACTTGGACATCTACAATAGCATCGAGGCAGCCACCAGCGCTGGGCATGAGCATAAATGCCCCCTGGATGCCTGGAGAACAATCTGGAGCCAGTGAGATGACTGAACGGCTACTTCACCAGCCCTAAGTATGTGGCTGCAAGGGGAGGTGTGGGATGCTTGGAAAACCACAGAAATGGAAAACTCTTTTGCCATAGGGTGATGGGAAAGACACAACAGAAGAAGGGGTCCAAGATGGCACCAAGAGAATCCTGCCCAAGAGGATGGGATGCCATGGATGAACCGAGGGTAGGCAGGGAAATCCGGGGTGGGGCCAGGGACAAGCTGGGCTTTAAACAAGTTCTACAGAGACCAATGAACTGTCTCAACCACGACAGTACCGACATTGCAGGAGAGAGAATTCCTCTTTGTTGTGGGGCTAGCCCATGTGTTGTGGGATGTTCACTGGCATCCCTGGCCTCCACCCACTGGATGCCGGCAGCACCCCCTCAGTTGTAACAACCACAAATGTCTACCATGACAAAGTTCCCCTGAGGGACAAAACTGCCCCCAGTTGAAAACCACTGGCCTAGTGAGGAAATGCTGCAAAAAAAAAAAAAAAAATAGCAACTGCAGACGAGAGACCACTCTGCAGGTCTCAGCTCGTGGCCATCTGAGCAATTCACAAAGCCTGTTGGTGTGCTCAGCACCTGACCGAAGGGATCAAACTACCCCAGGGACAAGCACAACCCCTCAGGCTTCACACTGCTCTCATGAATAATGAGCAATCTCTCAAATATGATGCCCAGTATAATCAAAGAAACAGGAAAACATGGAAATAAGACACCATGAGCAAGAACAAGCCAAAAAACTTTATTAGCTTGTTCTTGAACTTTAATTTCCTTTGAAACTTTACAAAAGCTGTCTACCATCTTAGGAAAATGATGTCACCAATATCCATGCTGACCAGATGATGAATGTACAATAAGCAAGCAAAGACTTGAGATACTGGATGTATCAGATGCAGACAGAAAGTAACTCAACCATTTTTAAAGAAGGAAAAGACCAGCTTGCTCACACCCAGAGTAAGACAAAGAACCACCGTGTATCTATCTGAGCTCCATGATAATTTAATGACCCCTAAAA
Organism: Homo sapiens; assembly: GCF_000001405.40. Lineage (NCBI taxonomy): Eukaryota > Metazoa > Chordata > Mammalia > Primates > Hominidae > Homo > Homo sapiens. Next base: position 129,505,484 of record NC_000010.11, on the reverse strand, counting down.
TTCAGCCTTAAGTCAAAATGTTGGAAAAAATGGAATCTCAGTTTTTACTTTACATATTTATCACATAATATTAAATTACACAGGTATTTGATATGTTGTCAGCCCCCTATTTTAACATGTAACTTCACACTAGCCTAATCATAAAGCCTGTATTATACTTTCATTTTTACAAACCAAGAGTCAAAGTAGGCTATCATAATAATATACAGTTTATCAATAGACTAGAAAATAAAAGTGGGGTTGGGGGACTAAAAGAGATATTTATCTACCACAGAATCTTGTTTCACTTCAATTTTCTCAATTCCATTTATTATTTCTGGAAAAAATCCTACTAGTTATATTTTTCCTGAGCAATTCTTTCCCAATACTTCATTCTCCTTGGAAAAACAGCATACCAGTGCTGTACTCCCAAAGTCAACAGGGGGAAACACACGCTGCAATTTTAAGTCTATAACACTTTCCAAAGTTGGCCTTAGTTTCCAAAACTTCATCTTTGTTAGATATCCTACAAGTCACTAATACTACAAACTTTATTACCAAGTCAGAAAAAAAAACCCTACCACATTCACACAAACCTAGGCTAGACAAAATCAGGTCCTAAAGGTGGTGGAGGGCACTACAGTACAATCAATTGCCAAGGACTCTCAGCTTTGATGACATCTCTCTCCCCACTCATTTGGAAATGGATTCCCAGGCAACAGTGGGAACCAAAATCTCAGGCTTCCCATGGTGGCATGTGAGGTGGCACAGGCTCTCTGAGCAGGAGGGTGCTGGGAAGCTCCTGATCTAATCACAATCTGGCCAGGGGAGGATGTTCTGGAGGGCATCCTCTCTAGTCCTTCTCAAGAGGGGGTTATTGAGAATTTGAAAGCACTTTTTAGTTGTCACAATGGTTGTGGGAGCTATCGACATTTAAAAGGGGGGAATCAAGAATGTAGAATGTTCTCCCATCCCAAACAACAGTGTCGTCCTGCAACCTGTGTCACTTTCAACTGTCCTGCAACACATTCAAATCTAAAATTCATAAGACCCTAAACTAGAATTCTGTTTACTGCAAACACAAAATTTTCTGCACAGTTTTTCTCTACACAAAGTTTTCTAAGAACACAACTATCCTGTAACTCAATGGAAAGGTGAACTTCATTTTCTTTGAAACTTTACAAAAGCTGTCCACCATTTTGGAAAAATTATATCACCAATGTCAACGTTGACCAGATGATGAATGTCCAATAAACAAAACTGTCTCAATCTCCATTTGCAGCTGCTGTGTTCCAGGTACATACACCTGATTGCCACGTTATGTCTGCTAGCAGAGTCCTGCCCAAGCATTCCTGTTCTGAAGGCATGTTATTTTATTATAAATTACTGCTCCTAAAGTGTTTCATTTAAATAGTACATGTAGATGGATATTATCCAGGAATTTCATTTCAGGAATGTAAAAGGCAGATTACGAACTATGGGTATCAGACATGGAACCCTGATCTGATACTGTTGAAACCATCAGGCTACAATGAGATGTTCCCAGTGCACACAAAGACAGGGAAACAAAACACATTTCTAAAACCGCCTTTAAACTTAAAAAAACATTAACTAGCTATAATATTTAACCTTTGATATCTAAACAATTTAATCAAATGTAGGAGGAAAAAGTCTGTAACATTAAGACCAGGGGCATTGCTACAAAGAGAATACAACATTTCAGCCCCTGGATCCGACAGAATTCCAAGTCTGCTTCTACCTGAGTATTAGAAAAGCTGAAGCCAGAAACAGCTAAATAAAAGGTGATGCAACTAGGCATAACACAATAAAAGATATTACCTTCAAAATGCATTCTCGTTGCCAATTATAAGAATCACTTCAACTTAATTTCAAAAGCACAATCACCCTCAACAGAAACAGTCTCTTTTTTAAATTTCAAAGAGTATCACATTAAAGCAATAACTCACCTTCCAGCCATAATATCACTCTCCCTCCCTTATTGCAACACCACATTTCATAAATACTTCTCATCGACAAGTCAAGCTAATTCAGGTTAATTTTATTGTATTTTGGTGCTATCTCACATTTGTGTGCAATTACCTTTATCATTTTATTGCCAAGGCAGAAAGTAATCAGAACAATTATTTGAAAACGGAGGTTTATAAATTCTAAATCACAGTTGCTGGCATTTTCGATAAAGCAGCAGCTTTATCTCGGGAAGTGGCAGGGACATTGGATAAATCATGCATCAGTCAAGTGTAGCTGACCCCCAAGTGCATTGCACAATATCAGAAGTGCTTCCAAAGAAACTTTCCTGCATCATCCATCATTCTTCATAATACTAAAATAGCTGCACACCTGAAGAATAGGAGCTGGAGGATAATAATAAAAAAAAAAATCCAAGCAGTGTGGGCGAAACCATTAACTGCTCTCCCTTTTAAACTGTAAGATATGGCCTGGAAACTGGACCACGCACATAAACAAATACGACTTTACAATAACTCTAAATATCTGTATTCATATTCGTCAACTCAGTTTTAAATATAAATGAAATACGGGGTAGAGCCGTAAAAAGAAAAAGTGCTTCTCTGGACTACATGCATTTTTATGCTCTGTTTGGGTCCGGCTGCTTTTAACAGCTGCCTCGCTAAGGCTTGTTTGTCTCGACATCTTGTTTTCTATTCCTCATTTTGTTCTAAAGTTTATTGCTCAAAAAAAAATGTAACTTGATTTTAAGGAAAAGAATAAAGGGAGAAGCCCCTGAATCCCCACGTGTGGTTTCCCCTAAGTTAATTACACCAACAGGGAGCACGGAAATTTAGGAAGGGAGGCGGCCCCATCCCCAGTCACCCCTCTTCATGCAGGGGAAAAAATTCACCCCCAACCTCAGCTGCAGCCTTCCTCAGGGAGAGACGACTCACATATCACACCTCTGGCATATGTGAGCCACATTTTTTTTTTACTCATTTTTTAAGGCAAAATAAAACAATTATGTGATCATTTATTTCCTTTTTTTAATCAAAAAGCAAATACCACAGAGAAAGGCAGCTTCTGTACCTTTTTGTAGGTGACCTGATGCCAATGGACTGTTAAAAGGTCTAGCTGGGTAGGAACGCAACGTATTAACTAAATATGCCTGGCACCGGGCCAGGTGCTTTACATGCGTTATCTCATTTACTCCTTACAGCAAACCTAAGGAAGATCAAATGGTGTGTAGATGAAGAAGCAGACAGGGAGGTTACGGAACTAGCCTAAGAACACAGCACTCCAGGGACAGGTGGGTATTCCAGGTCAAGTCAACATTCTTCAAAGCCTGGACTGCGGCCAGGACTCTCCCCAAGCTCCAGGACATAGACACACTCCACGCTGTACTAGTCAGGATGGCTGGGACGCTCTGCAGTAACAACCACCACCAAACCCACTACGGGTCTGGGCTAGCCCCAGCAGCGGCCTTGATTCATGCAAGCTTGATGCCACAGGCTGCGCCCATCCCATCCCACAGCTGTCCCAGTATCACATGGGGAGAACCAAGAGCTGGTGTGCACACACATCTACCAAGAAGCACCACATGCCACTCCAGGCCACGCTCATTAGCCAAACCAAGTCCATGACCAAGCCACCCTTGAAGGAGTGGAACGGGGCAGTCCTCCTGCACATCCAGCAAAGGGGAACTGAAAACAGAGGTGAGCCCTGCCTCCCTGGTCTACCACAGACACGAATGCTGCTCAATTCAGGCTTTGTTTCAAATTAAAGTAGTGTTGGACAAGAAACATGTTTAGAGTCCTCGGAATGGTCGTGGTGACCATGGCAGTCATACCATTAAAATCATCACCTGCGGCAGGTGCTTCGATGGAAGAAAACCCACAGTTGCTTATCTTGATGATAAACAGAAACATGAAAACCAAAGAATGGGGAGGTAAATGACTGACTTATCAAATAAATGCATAAATCCACAAGGCAGATAAAAAGGAGTAAGCACTATAAAAACAAACCAAGCCCACCAATTACAAATCTCTGTGACTCTGAAACATTCTATTTAGTTAACTCTACAGCCACCCTCAGCACATTTTCCAAACCACTGCAAAATAAACCCTCAATTTTCCAAGGAGTTAAATACTTTCTCGGTCTTGAAAGGGATGACTGCTGTCCCTCATCATGGACATATGTGGAGGTCCAACCTTTGGCCTAGAGATAATAAAGGCATCCTCCCCCACCCCCGCAGGAGGCAGGGTAGCTCTGAGAGGTATCAGGGCCCAAGCCCAGAGAGGGAAGAGGGGGCAACTTTGAACAAGTGAGTACATGGACACCTCTCACCTCCAGCCACTGCCGTTTCCAGGTTCACTGAGGGAACTCTGCCCAGGACAGCTGCTACTGGCTAAGAGCAAGAAAGGACCTGTGTGCAAAGGATTTTGATGCAAGAGTTGCCAGAGCCTGTCAGTGGACTCTGACACCAGGAAGTGACTGACCCCGTCACTGAGCTCAATGTTTTGGCTTTACTTTACCTCTACAAGTCTGTACAACTCTGAAGCTCTGTAATTCTATCTAGTTTTAAATTTACATGAAAGCTGTCAGTGAAACAGAAATCACATTAATCAGAGACACTGAACTGTTTAGGCAAAGTAACCCTGAATTTTATGTCATACACTTAACATTTGGGCTGCGTGCGGTGGCTCATGTCTGTAATCCCAGCACTGTGGGAGGCTAAGGCGGGCGGATAGTTTGAGCTCAGAAGTTTAAGACCAGTCTGGGCAACATGGTGAAGCACTGTCTCTACAAAAACATACAAAAATCAGGAAGGTGTGGTGGTGGGTACCTGTAATCCCAGATACTCAGGAGGCTGAGGTGCGAGGATTGCTCAGGAGGTGGAGGTTACAGTGAGCTGAGATCGCACCACTGCACCTGGGCAACAGAGCCAGACTCTATCTCAAAATAAATAAATAATAACGTTAACATTCGAAATATTAATAAAATCAATCCTTACAATAACCCATGAAGAGAGATGATATTATAATCCATGTATCACAGGTGAGGAACCCAGCACAATGCAGGTGAATAATTTGCCTCAGGTCCCATTTCGAGTGAGCAGTAGAAGCCTAAAGTCAAGCGTGGAGATTCCAATCCCCAGAGCCCTGCCTCTTCACCACCGCACCCTCCTGTCGGCTGAAGCAGCCCTGGGAGGCAGCCCCCCATGGCCCAGGGCCCAGGCTGGTGTGAATCCCCCGCCCAGTTCACCCCACCACAGCACACGCTTCTACGGTAGGAAACCAGGCGGTGCCCAAATCAGCGCCAATGAGGACTTTCTGAACAAATACAACACTGGTATTCCTCTACATTGTTGAAGTTTTAAAAATCCAATCTTTATGGCCTTTCCAATCCCAAGATTTATAATGTGAGTCCATATTCAAAAGTTTGTGTCAAAAAGAGTGTAAGGAAAAGGAAGATATGCTTAAGAAAGAAAGAATTAGGAAACACCTAACCTATTAATATACAGTAGGTGAATTTTCAGGACAATTAACTCCAAATTATTTTTCAGTCGGTTATATTCTCTCCCTTCCAAAAATAAGACCTAATTATTTCACGCATATATCCAACAATTTTCAGTCATCGGGTGAAAACTGACATAAGGATGTATTTCCGTCAGCTACTTCACAGTCTTTTGTCACCAGGAAACCCAATTCGAGTAAAAACGTGATGAAGCAGGAGTCTCGTGATCAGATTCTACATAGTACAGTATCCATTAAAGTCTCCAACACTTCATAAGATTTCTGACTGTCTGTGTTCTATAGCATGAATACTGTATCACCCTTAATGTTAAAATTTAACCAGACCTTTTAAAGGGTTTTAGGTTCATCGAATGAATTTTCAATATTTCTGTTTACAACAAAGAGAATTAAGAATCATAATGAATCAGATGTAGGTATAAGATATGAATTACACAAATCATAGGAGTTAGAAAATAAGTGTAAGAAAAAGAAAAATCTCTAAATTAGCAGAAAATGCTATTAAAGGTAATTGTTATTCTTCACATAACAACAGTAGAGGGTCTTCCTTGCTTTATTTTTATTTGTTTTCCACATCCAACATGGATATTTGAGAAATAAGCTAATTAGCTGGCATATCCATTTGGAAACATGCCATCAGTTTTCCAAGAGTCAAGGTGAAAGCTGAGTAACGAAATAAGTAATGAAACAAAAGGATTTCATTTTCTATTTGAGTCCAAATGTCAACCCTATATTCCTAACCATGTTTACAGAGAATTCTATAGAAAATTCTGTGACTTTTTCCACCAAGCAAGCATAGGAAATACTGTTCTTCACAAGTAGGGCTTTTCCTACTAAGCCTCATCTGCATCTAGTGGCTGAAACACAATGACACAGGTTTTACCAGATTCTTTTTAAAGGAAGCCACCATATAAGCAAACATGTTGCAGATAAAGAGGGCCAGGTTTCTCAATGTTGGAGAAGGCAGCTACAAAGAGGAAAGGCAGAGATTAGAATAAAACCTGCTGTGATGAATTCAAGTTAGAGGCATCAGATGAACTTGCAGTTTTTAACATGCATGCAGACAGCAGACACAGAAATAAATGCAGATGCACGGGTCAGTAGACACACATACAGCCCCTAGCTCCCCCTACTGAGAAGGGCAGGAAGAGCAGTGACTCAGCAGCAGCAAGCACACTCAGCACCCAGATCTTGGCTGCTAAACATCATCCTCCAGCTAAAAGGAAGAGAGGCTCCTTGGAGAAGTGACTGAATCCAGGGCTGGGGCAGGGAAAACACAAGATACACCTGGATCATACTATGATCCCAGAAAGTAGGAAAGCGCTAGAAAAACGATGGGCAGGTCCAAAAGACATAGGAGCCAAACCCAAGAGTTTCCAAAAAGCCAAACTGGGGGCTATTTGAGTAACAAAATTAAGTAAAGACAGCACTGGACTATACCCCAGAAATTAAAATAAATATCCATGAGTCTACGCTGATGTGAATAATTCAATGACTAATAAATAAAAGGGAAAGAAAAGACAGCTCTTCCTTACAGAACAGTTCCCGTTGGTAAATGAAAAGGGAAGGAGGGAAATACAAACATTAGGGAAACAGTACAGTAATAACTGCCACAGGCAAGACACACCCACGGTCACTAAGATGAGTGGGTGAAAGCCTGAGCAGAACCAAAATGGTCTCAAAATATCTCCCCCAAGGTATTAATTACCAATGGGAAAACTTCAATTACCAAGAGGAAATGCACAAGAGATTCACCATACCCAGTGACCAAGCTAACATCACAGTAACTGACAGACATATGTCCCCAGGACAGGATGGCCCAAGGGGGCACATCACTTCTGAGCCTTCTTACCAAAAACACGTAACCTCTGTCTCTCTGTGAGACAACATCAGCAAACCCAAACGAGAGGCATCCTACAAAATACCTGACCAGTATTCTTCGAAAGGGTCCAGGGTCACAAAAAACAAGGCAAGAGGAACTGTCACAAGTTAGACGTCTTAGTTCCTTCTGGTTGCTGGAATAAAATACCTTAGACTGGGTGCTTTGTAAACAACAGAAATTCATCTCGCACATTCTGGAGGCTGTGAAGTCCAAGATCAAGGTGCCGCCAGAGCCCGTGTCTGATAAGGGCCCTCTTCCTGGTTCACAGAGAGCACCTTCTCGCCGCGTCCTCACGTGGTGGAAGAGGACAGTGAGCTCCCTCAGTCCTCTTTTATAGGCACACTAATCCCATTCTGAGGGCTCCAGCCTGACCTAGTCATTGCCCAAAGGCCCCACCTCCAAAGGCCATCACCATGGGGGTAGAGTTTCAACACAGGAATTTGGAGGAAGCATAAATTCAGACCATTGCACTAGAGGAGACAAAGGAGAGATGGCAAGGTTTACAGTAGTGCACCCGTGTTAGCGCCCTGGTTGTGGTAAGTGTGAGGTGTTAGTGCTGGCAGAAACCAGATGGTGGCTGCATACAGAAACTTTGTGCTATTTGTGCAACTTTTCAGCAAGTCTAAAATTTATCTCAAAATAAAAAGTCCCCCCAAAAAGCCATTCCGTTGTCATCTATGTACATGCAGGGTCTAATCTGACCCCAAAGTCCTGCCATTCAGAAACAGGAGAGAGGACCAGGACAGTGTGAAGAATCTGCAGGGCCCTCACCACGCCCTTGCTGCTGACTGCAGTGCCGGACCAGCTGACCGGGGAGGCACAGAGCTGTGCACCGCCCCTCCGTGAAAACCCTCCCCTTGCCTCCAGGATCCAGAACTGATGCTGCTTGCCTGCCTCTGAAACATGCTGGTGCAGAGACGGGGGAGTGGTACGAGCTGTGGCTAGGAAATATAAAGGTTAAATAGATCATAAATTAAGATTAGTGTCAGCTGGCCAGCAGCTTTATATCACATTATAAATTAGATCAGGAAATGATGCTCCCCCTATTAAAATCAGAAACCATTCAGAGTACTTGCTTCAGAACTTCTACCCCGATAGCCTTCCCTTGCCAAAAAGGGGGAAAAAAAACTGGCCAGGCACAGTGGGTCATGCCTGTAACCCCAGCACTTTGGGAGGCTGAGGTAGGCGGATCACTTGAGGCCAGGAGTTCAAGGCGAGCCTGTGCAATGTAGAGAGACCCCATCTCTACAATTAATTTTTTAAAAAAGAAAAAAATTAACAAAACAAAAATAAATATATACCAAGATCCCTTTTAAAGTGTAGTAATTAAAAGGGGAAAAGGTATAGATGATGAATGAATTTATTTAAAACAACACCAAATGCTGGCTCCCTTGTGAGTTATTTCTCTCTGTATTTTTTTCCCAGGAACCTCTAGAGCACGGGACAGCTAGCCTCAGTGCCCCATCCCCATTCCACGGCTGCACAAGCTGATGCGACAGAAATCCCAGAGACCCCGGCCCAGAGTGCACCACCCTGAGTGGGTTCCGGGTCAGGCCACCTAGAGCAGATGGAAATAATGGCTAGAGACGGCTGCCAGTATTTTATTTAGACATTTTTATATGGAAGCCAGAGGTTGCAAGCACCGCTAGGATAACTATACAAATTTTGATTTTACTAAAATGTTATGTCCCCTGAGCCAAGGTATTAATCTTGTTATAAAAGTAGTCTCTCTGCTTGCTAGCCATTCATTAAACTTTCATCAATTTTAAGATGTACTTATTGTTATTGGAGCCTATGGAAAAGGCAAATAGCATACAACACCCAGGCAAGAATCGGACCAGCTTTTGGAGCGGGATGGAACGAAGTCCATCCCCTTTTGGAGGAAGACTTAAGCGTGACGATGAAAATTCCAGGCATTCAAGTTTCCTGAAATATTTATAAAACAGTTTTCAGCTTGTAGCAACATTTGATCTCTAAGAAATAAATTACCAATTATTTCTTAAAGAGTGAGGATAAATTAAAAGTGAGACTCTAAATGGCAAATAGTAAAACAAAACCGCCTCCCATTGCTCTGTGCTCTCCAAAGACAGCTGTGTGCAGGGGGAGGCCTGCGAGTGCCAGTCCCCAGCCGCAGGGACCTCCAGGAATGTCTAATGCAGTATCAATCTTGTCAGCTGCATGCCATCCATCCGCAGCCTGCTGGACGCTGGGGAGGACACCAGACTCTGGCCTGTGAATGCTCTGGGAATGTCATTACATTCTCTGTTTACTGACCAGACACAGGCCTATTTCTGCAGGAACTTACATCCTGATGAAGTTCTGATGTCATGTGAACTACGTGAAGATGCTCTGCTGAGAAAAATGGGAAGAAGAATCCTGGTGGAAAGAGATAAGCCTAGGACGGGCCAGATTCCATACACGTTTGACAGGAAGGCATGTCCATGCAATCGTTTCTCTGCCTTTGTGTGATATCGTGTAAGGTTATGATTGTACAAAACGGCTGCAGAATTTTGGAGTAGGACCTATCAAAAGAGATGAGAATTTTCTTTCTCTACAAGCAAACAGGAATTAAAAAGTTCAGCAGTCCATCGATCATCAGTGATGAGTCACAATCAGCAAATGAAATGTAGAAGATGGTCTCTCATCACTTGGCCTATAAAAGCTTCTGATCCGTGGGGTAAAAATGCACCGACTGTAATAAGCACTCCATTAGAACAAATAAAACCAAACACCTAATTACCAAGTGACTATTTATAGTTTCCAAAATAACTTAACCCAGTTTCACAATGCAGATATTTTGAGATTCAAAGAAAACTCTTGCTCTATTCCAGCATTAGGTACTACGTTTATTTTGCTTAGACCCAGAGGATCAAGAGTTCTGTAACTCTAAATTACGTTATTTGTACCATGAATTCAAATAATTAGTCTCATTTACAAATAGCAGTTACTTATAAAAGAAAATAGAATCATAAATGTAAATTGTTAATCCTGAAAAAAATTCACAATCTGGTTTAACGGAACATTGCAGAGTCAAGGAAAGAATGTGTGCATGGGGTCGGTAATATCCTGAGTTTATTTAAATGGGTTTTGCAAAACTAGCTCATGCCAGCACAATCTTTTATTCTTCTCCGCTTCAGCCTATTTTATCTTTTTAGTGTCTTGTTCAGGCAAATTCCTTTCCCCACAGGGGTGACGTCCCTATTGACACAGCACAGAGAAGGAAGTTGGTGATCTGTGACATCCCAAAAAGGAGTTCCTGGTACTCAGAGCAGTCGTGGTAAAAATAAAGGAACAAATAAATACAAACAAGCAAAGAAAACCAGATGTCAGGATTAGAATAGACTCTAAAGACCTCTTAAGACCATTAAACAAGCATCATATCCGTCTAGACTGGCAGTGTCCATACGCAGCTGTTAGCCACATGTGGCTACTTATTTAAATTTAAATTAATTGGAATGTAATAAAATTTAAAATTCAGTTTCTAAGCCACAGGAGTCAATTTCAAGTGCCCAGCAGCCAATGTGACTAGTGGCTACCACATTGGGCAGCAGAGACACAGAACATTTCCATCATTGCAAAAACTTCTGTTGGAAAGCCCTGGCCAATCCTGTCATTGCACATATTAGGGAAACTGAGACCCAGAAGGTAATGAGGACTTGAAGTCTCTGATAAGCCAGGAACCCAGAGTTCACCGGCTGACACGCAGCAAGTGGCTGGCCACTGAGCAGGTCATTCAGGTAAGCCCCAGGGAAGCTTGAGCTCCACGTGGTTAGGAACTTGTCTGGACAGTTCAAGGTCAGGGTCCAGCACACACCCCACCCACTCCCCAGGTGACTGAGGTTTTTTGAATGAAGATATGAAAAAAATGACCATATCACTATTGGGGCTTCAAAATTACACAACACAGTCCTGAATTCAGGAAACTAAGAGGCTGGCTAAGAATTTCTCAGTGTAAGACACAAGAAGTCTTCCCTGTGTTTTGACTTCTCAAAACACTATATTAAACATCTTTGTGCACAAAATTTTAATTAATTCTTTAAGACAGAGTCTCAGATATGAAATTGCCCTAAATTCCTAACAATGGAAGAAGGTTATATCTTTACAGTAGGACACTATGCCATCTCCAAAAATGATATTAAAGAGTTCAATATATGGCTAAGCACTTACAAGGTCAGGTGAAAAAGTCAAACACACAACTGTGATGATCCCACATGCGGAAATGACTGGGGTGTAAGTGTGCACGTGATGTCTATGCGTATAAGACAAGCCTCTAGAGTTTCACTCAGCTTTGTCCCCTAGAGAGTATTGCAGCAAACCTTTCTGAAAAGGGCTGCTTCCCAGATTGAAGGCAGAAATATAAATATTAGTGAGCAAGTTGTTCTGGATTAGAAGACAACTTTGACAACCTCCCCCAGATCCCACACTGGGCCTGGCGCACAGTGACCCCTCTTAAAACCCCTCTAACTGATGGAATCCATATTGGGATGAACACTTGCAGATGTTGATAAGAACATATCTAAGGATCTATTTTAATATTACTTTTTCTAAATCTTCAAGATTTTTATCTATATTTATCTTCTGGTAGCTTTATGCAAAAACCAAACCAGTTGTTTTGGATTAAGGGACTACGATGCACTAGATATTGAATAAATGGCAATGTTTCAAAGTTTCCTGAATGGCCTCTCTAGTAAGCAGGGGCAATCCAAAGAGAATCGGGGCACTTGGAAAAAGGAGAGTAAGCCAGGGCTGGAGGAAGCAGAGGGAAAGTGGGCAGCATCAGCAGAGAAGGTGCACACCTCATGACCTCCAGACGCTCCACTGGGGCCTCCCTGACAACCCGAGGGCCCTGATTGAGTGAGAAGCCTTAGAAAGTCCTAGATCTGAGTGGTGCTGCCTTGAGACCCCCTGGTTCCAGGCAACAGAAACCCAAACACCCACCCTTAGGGAAAAGCATCCCTAATTTAGGCACTCAGGAGTCAAACAGATCAGGCTCAGCCCATATAAATTAATAATCAACCAAGTCATCAAACAAGGTCCCGTGTCATCGTAAGAGTTACAAGAAATCACAGAAAGATGAAAACCACAAAGCCCACACTCCACCCACAGGATTGCAGATATTTAAAGCAACCTGTGTAGAATACGAAATAAGCATTTATGAAATGTGTGGGCAAAGGAAGATAGATGACAGGAGAAAGCATGACCAAGGAGAAAGCAGAAATCAAAGACTTCAATCAAGATTTCAAGCAAGTGCTCAGAATGGACTTTCATTTCCAAGCAAAACGAACTAATGGAGGCAGCCCAATGTTCCCACAGGAACTGGAAAAAGTCAGAAAAATTACAAAACTCGTCTTTTAAAATGTTATAGAGCTGTGGAAGCAACCAGGACTAGGGGGACTGGGACTGTACAGTGGAGACTGCCCTTTGCTGCCCAGAAACACTTGCTGATCCTGGGTGCAGATGGGGAGCACCGTGGCAGTCCACACAAAGCCACTCCACCTGGGAAGGGAAACCAGGGAAGCTCTGGGTGGCCCATTGGGGATGGCATGAAAGATCAGAATCAGAACCCCAAAAGTGCAATCAATTTGCTATCCTATGGGGCTGCGTTCATGAGCCTAGAGAGCTGGGTCAAGTGAGGGCTCCTAAAAGGAAAAGCACACTATCCCTTAATCTAATAGCACTTACGAGACTGGGGTGGGAGGAAAGGTAGGCGGAAAGACAGAGAGAGAAGGGCCTGCTTCACACATAGTCACATCTCCCATCAGGACATTTAGGAGACTTTGAAACAGGGGACGTGGGAAGCTAAAGAGCTCAGCTCAAAACCTTCTAAGGGGAGAACCAAGGGATCTCCCAAAGCATTTACAGGCTGAGGAGAAAGAGACCATGGGCTTCCAATCAAAAGACCATGCTCAAAGGGAAGGTCCAACTAGGGACTGAGTTTTAGTAAAATAACAGGCCAGCCCTGACCCAGATCAATCCCTCATGAAACCAAGGTCCTTCACCCCTCACTCCATATGCCTAACCAAGGGCAAAGAGAGCTTTTGCTTTGATGAAAAACACGACAATCCAGAGGTTTTACAGTCCTTTATGCACAAGTCCAGCAAACACTCACAATTTTAAAAGCATGCAAAAAGCAAAAACATGTATTTAATAATAATAAAGAGAAGGGAAAAAAGAAGAAAATACAAGCAGAGGAATAGATGTCCACAATACTGGTGCTAGCAGATAAGAAGTGTAAAATAATTACAATGGATACACTTAATAATAAGAGGAAAAGACAGACAACATAAGTGGGAAAGAGAAGAATTTTAAATATAGAATTAAAATATATATTAAAGTACAAAACGGGCATTCTAGAACTGAAAAATACAAAATTTGTAATTCAGGATTCATTGGATGGGTTTAGTAACAGACTGGACACATCAGAAAACAAGGTCCGTGATCTGCCAGAGAGCTCAGCAGAAAATATCCAAACTGTGGTCAAGAAAGGGGAAAGGAATGGAAAGAAAACAAGAATAGAGATCCGAGGGACAGTCAAAAGGACTAACCTACCTATAATTCAACTCCGAGAGGAAAGGACAGATTGGATGAGGCAGAGCAATATTTGAAGGGATCAGGGTCAAGAATTTGCCAATAGATGACAGAGAGCAATCCAGAAATTCAAGAAGTTCAGCAAACCCTAAGCAGAATAAATATGAAGAAAACCTCAAAGAACCATAACACAATTAGCTTCAAACCAAAGAAAAAATCTTAAAAGCAGCCAGAGTAAAAACATTTGCATTATCTTCAAAAGTGCAACAATAAGACTGACAGCTGACTTTTCAGCAAACTTCAGAAACCAGAAGACGATGGAATGTCATATTTTATAAGGTAAAGAATTGCTAACTCAACAATCAATAACTATTAGTGTTTAAAAATGGACCAATTCACTGCCAGTTGACTAGCATTAAAAACTAAGTAAACAAACAAGTCCTTCAAGCAGAAGTCACCCCAGACGAAGGCATGATGATGGAGAACCAATGGAGAGCACTGGAGGGCAAGCATGGGGCACGGTGACACAAACACCAAACGTTTAAACAGTGACAAAAGTGACTACTGCATTTTAAATGTGTATATATAATTAAAATACAACAGCATCCAAGCTGGGAGAAAGGGAAATGACTAACATTTTGTAAAGTATTTTACTATTCAGGAAGTGGCAAAGTAGCAATTTAGGTGAACTATAGTAAGTCCAGGGTGTATATTATAATCTCTAGGCTAATCACTAAATGAAACATACAAATCTGTATAACCAGAAAGGGGAGAAAAATGGTTTTAAAAACTATTAATCATAAAGAAAGCAAAATAAATTAGAAATACAGGAACAAATAAAGATGGGACAAATAGAAGACAGATAGCAAGATGGTAAAAGTAAGCTCAACTATAATTATTTTAATGTGACTGGACTAAATAATTAAAAAATAAAGACTACCAAACTGGATATTTTTAAAACTATATTACTTTACACATATTTTAAATATAAGAACAAAGGCTGAAAGCTAAAGGGTAGAAAAAGATAGACTGTGCAAAAATATAGCTTCATATAATTAACCTAACCAGTTTTTAAAAAAGAATAATCTTAATAACAATAAAGAATAAATAACCTTAAAAACAATTAAACCACTAGTTTGGCCAAAGTTAAAAGCAATAAATTAATAAGCTTGGTCTAGAGCAGGTGTTTAAAGGATGATTCTTAGTGGCCAAGTAATGTTCATCCCAGGAATGCAAAGATAGCTTAACATTAATAATTCCCTAGAAGTCATGATCCACACTAACAGATATGGGGATGGGAACCACATAAACAGTTAAATAGATGCAGAAAAATCACTTAATAAAATTTGAAGCCTGTTCATAATTTTTAAAAAGTTTTCAAGGAACAGTAGAGGAGAAGGAGATTAAGAAGTTTTCTTCAGCTCTGAAATAGTTTCTGACAATTTTTTGTTTCCCTCCTGGAGGGAAGCAAAATAAGAAAAAAGAAAAAAAAGAAAACAAAATTCAGATAACCAGAAGAGAAGGAAAGTTCTTTCTACCAAAAGTCTATAGCAAGCATCATTTTTGTTAATGAAGAGTTAGCAGTTTTCCCTTTAAAATAAGCAACAAGATGAGTGTATTATCCCCACATCGACTTAAAATGGAACTGGAGATCCTAGTGCAATATGACAAGTAAAAGAAAGAAATGGTTTACAGAGTAGAAGAAGCAAAACTCTGTCTATGTAGAAAAAACAAAGAATATATATGTGGTATATTCATTTTAAAAAATTAGAAAGTAAATTAAAGATGACATGAAAATTAATAGCATTTCCGCATATCAGTCATAAAGAAAAATCTAATCCTAGAAAAAGATACCATTTATAATATTAATGGCAACAACAAAAAATAAGGACACGGGGAGTATTTCAAAAGGTGCACAAGCTGTTTATGAAAAAACTTATTAAAATGTGAGAGACATTAAGGAAATCCAAGAGAGACAGAGAGTGCAAGAGCGCATATTCCTGAAGAGGCAGATTCATATCCTAAAGATCTTATTCTCCCCACATTAGTCTACAGACCCAAGGACGTCAATCAAAATACCAAACAGGTTAGTCTAAGAATGTGACAAGCTCATTGTGAAATGCGAATGGATGAGCAAAGGCCCCAAAAGAATCAAGAAACTCCTGAAGAGGAAAATGGAAAATCAAGATATGAGGATTTACTCACCAATTTTTTTTTTTTTTTTTTTTTTTTTTTGAGACAGAGTCCTGCACTGTCACCCAGGCTGGAGTGCAATGGCGCTATCTCAGCTCACTGCAACCTCCGCTTCCCGGGTTCATGCAATTCCCCTGTCTCAGCCTCCCGAGTAACTGGGATTACAGGCACACACCACCACACCCAGCTAATTTTTTCTATTTTTAGTAAAGATGGGGTTTCACTATGTTGGCTAGACTGGTCTCAAACTCCTGAACTCATGATCTGCCCACCTCAGTCTCCCAAAGTGCTGGGATTACAGGCATGAGCCACTGTGCCTGGCTGACTCATCAATTTTAAGAGTTAGCCTAAAGCTATAGTAATTAATGCATTGTGGCGTTAGTACAGAAAGACAAAAAGATCAATGGAACAGGAGAGCCTAGAAAAAGGCATGCGTCCACTTGGAATAGTCAGCAGCTCCAGCACCATTTACTGTGTCTCTCCTCATTTCTCTAGGGCTCTGCAGTGCCTCTCTTGCTCTATATCCACATGTCACATGTTTGTCATATATTTGCAGTGAAGCCGCTGCAGAGCCCTGGAGAAAGGTGGGGTTACTCTATACATGGGGCTGGAGCCACTGATTATTCATATTAAAAAAGAACTGAACTTCCACTCCATACCACAGCAGAAGTTAATTTCAAATGAGCTGCAGACTTGTATATGAAAAGGAAAACTGATACTTTCATAGGAAAATAGTGGAATTGTTATGACTGGGGATAAGGAAGCACTTTGAAACGAGACACAAAATGTGCAAACTATAAAGGAAAAGAATCATAAATTCAATTACATGCAACTATATTAAAATTAGAAACTCCTGTCCATCAAAAGGCACTATAAAGAGAATGAAAACATGGCCACAAACTGGGAGAAGACAATTGCAGCACATATAACAGACAAAGGATTAGAATTCAGACTATATAAGATAATCCTATAAGTTAATAACAAAAAGAAAATCCAACAGAAATATGGGCAGAAAGGGTATGAACAGGCATTTCGCAAAAGATGAATGGCAACACGAAAAGATGCTGAAGGTTGCTCTCAATCGGAAGTGCTAATTAAGATCACTATGAGACAGGATTTTTACCCAGTAGGTTAGCAGTGTTAGTAGCATGATAACTCCAAGTTTTGGTGAGGAGGTGGATTAACTGACTGGGGTCTAATCTGCTTTAACCATTTTTACAAAAGTTATTGTCCTGTAGCATTGAACACTGACACTCCAATCATTCTACCCTTGAGTAGAATGAGAGAAAATTTCAAAACTTAACCATCTGACAGTGAGAAACAGCTTGGCTTCCCACTACTAACCATATAGGTATATTCATGTGTGTGTGTGTGTGTGTGTGTGTGTGTGTGTGTGTATACCTATGTGTGTGTGTGTGTGTATACCTGCGTATACACCTATGTGTGTTTGTGTGTGTATATATATACACACACACACACACACACACACCCCTATATGGTATATATATACACACACACAGTCTCTCAATGTCTAGGATCCAACTTAAAACACACACATAAGAAGCAAAGAAATATAACCCACAATCAGAATATATACATACATACACCTACATGGTTAGCAGTGTATAAAGAAAATGAAAATGCAGGCCACAAACTGGGAGAAGAAAATTGCAGCCAATATACCTGACAAAGGATTAGAATCCAGACTATATAAAATAATCCTATAAATCAATAAGAAAAAGAAATCCCAACAGAAACACAGGCAGAAAGGATATGAACAGGCATTTCATATATAGTGTGTGTACATATATATATACAATTTTTTGATTCCCTTCCGGAGGGAAGCAAAAAAAAAGGAAAACAAAATTCAGACAACCAGAAGAGAAAGAAATTTCCTTTCTACCAAAAGTCTATAGGAGGCATCATTTTTGGTAATGATAATATAGTGTATATACCATACATACACACACACATTCCTATTCTTTAAAACTTACATGTAATCCAAAACTGTGCAAGTGAACCCATTTTCTCCTTTACTTCCTAGCAACCCCAGAGATGTGATGTCACTGGAACAAGTTTGGCCTTTACAGATAATCAGAGTCCTACTTGAAAAACTCACTGTTCCTCTGAGGAACCACTGCAACCATCATGACTTCTTCCATTCTGTATGCTCATGTGGACCCCCATGAGAGCAGGGCAAACCATCCAAGCCACCTGCAGGTCCCCATACACTTATGCAGGGCACCTAATTATTCTTTGTCAAGAGTGGGCATGGCTTCAGGAAAAGTGTCATCTCAACAAGCAGGAGGCTAGTGCTGGGTGGTTCATACCAGCTATCCAAGTAGCCCAGGACAAAAGACAGCCCTAGTTGATTGATTTTTCAAATGCAGAGTTGCACAGGGCTCTCTAGGCTGCCCGGGTAGACTGCCATACAAGGCTTTAACGTTATCACCACTATTACATTTAACTGATTAAAGTCCTGACTGCCAGAGGCATTAATGACAGTGTTGTGCGAGTTCTAGCAGGAAAGAATACACTCTTCTTCTGTCTGGTCTCATTTTTGACAACATGAAAATGCTGAAATGACAGACATCAACAGAATACATTTCTAGTGATGACACACACTTAAGCCTGCAATGATGACAAGAGAAAAATAATGTGAATCAAAGACGCCCTTTGTTTCCTCTGCCTTCCCAATCTTGGGTCCCCTCCATATAAAGTTTGAACAGTCCTTCTTCAGAGTAGAAATACAAATAAATTTTTTTATGTTTCTTAACAGAAAGTCAGTTAAGGTTTATACCAATTTCACCAAACACCTGTGATCTGGGATTCACTTGTGAATTTCTCAAACAGTACAGGGAAAGACTGAGTATGAGCTGAACGACCAAAAAGCATACAGAAAATACAATAACCGGCTGGGCGCAGTGGCTCACACCTGTAATCCCAGCACTTCTGGAGGCTGAGGCAGGTGGATCACCTGAGGTCAAGAGTTCGAGAATAGCCTGGCCAACGTGGCAAAACCCCATCTCTACTAAAAATGCAAAAAATTAGCCAGGCGTGGTGATGGGCACCTGTAATCCCAGCTACTTGGGAGGCTAAGGCAGGAGAATTGCTTAAACCCAGGAGACAGAGGTCGCAGCGAGCCAAGATCATGCCATCGCACTCCAGCCTGAGCAACAGAGCAAGACTCTGTCTACCCCCCACCAAAAAAAAA
Organism: Homo sapiens; assembly: GCF_000001405.40. NCBI lineage: Eukaryota > Metazoa > Chordata > Mammalia > Primates > Hominidae > Homo > Homo sapiens. The sequence continues at coordinate 129,486,187 of NC_000010.11, read as the reverse complement.
AAAAAAAAAAGAGAAGAGAAGAGAACAGAGAAGAACAGAACCACACCTTGACTTGGTTAGCTGTGCCTAAATTTAGAAGGTAAATTAGTTTTCTTCAACTCTGTTTCCATGAGAAAAAAAAATTAAAAAGGCTATCTATCTATATCAAGTCTAATAAGGTAGATGAACTTAAATTAAGTCTTCTTGAAAATTATTGTCCTTTGAATTCTTATTCTGTGAGGGCCAGAATAAGCAGGCTTAAACATGCCTAGAAAGCAGTCAGTGAAGCTTTCTTTTCACCCACTTCAGGCTGGTAAAAAGTCTGGGGTCAGGGCCAGAGGGCTTTGTGTAATCTGAGCAATCTCAGTCTGGTAACAGCCCAGCAGGCCTCTCTTTTATTTTTATGAGTCCACTAATAACTTGGTGGGGATCCCACTTCTAGCCATGACAGAGCAGCAAGAACCACATGTAACAGCTAAAACGAAATAAAGTCCAGGATGAGTAGCCTGAAATTCTGGGAACCAGAAGTGCTTCAGGTTTTAGATTTTTCTGGATTTGGGAATATTTGCAAATACTTACAGTTGGAGCATCCCTAATCCAAAAATCCAAAATGCTCCAATAAGCATTTCCTTTGAGCATCAGCTTTGAGCAGCATGTCAATGTTCAAAAATTTTCAGATGCTGTAGCATTTCAGATTTTGAATTAGGGGTGCTCAACTTTTATATAAAACAATGGTCTTCAGAACAAGGACAACAGCAGCCAGGGGCTATGCTCCCCAAGGAAAGGGAAGTGAAGTGAGCCAGCCGCCAGAGAACGGCTGGATGCAGCCTCCAGGCTGTGCCAAGGAGGAGGAGGGTCATCTGGCACAAAACCAGTGGGTGCTCTCACCAAAGTGGGGAGAGAGATTAGAATTCAAAAAGAACAAAACACCTAGAATCATCAGGATGGAGTACCAGGGAAGAAGGGCCTACTCAGAGAACACGCCAGGCATCTCCAGAAGAGTCCCTGTGGCCTCTGCCTAACTACTGAGACACTGCTTGAGAAGGAACTCCCTGAGGTCAAAGAAAGATGCCCAGAAGTAGCAGCCCAAATAATTCCTGATCACAGACAGAGCTGGGAATATTTCATGTTCTCACCAGCCAGTGTGGAAAGATCTCCTAATACAACATTCATCAGGTAAAGACCTCAGAGCTGCCTTATTTTTCATATATATACATATATATGTAATACATATATATTTAATACACACATATATAAAATACACACATACATATATATAATACACACACACATACATATATACACATACACACACCCTTATAAAGTAAAGACATTATGTAAATAGTAGGACTAAACTATCCCTGGACTAAAACCTGGTCTGGACCTGCCCTAACAAAACCTTTTTTTAAAAAAAGCATGATACCTTGAAAGGATACAAACAATTTCAAGAAACTGAACCTGCAGCAGAACAAAGTCCAAAACTGTTTTTTAAAAGACAACATAATCTAGCACTCCACAACAAAACTCTCAATGTCTAGGATCCCATTTAAAACACACACACATGAGAAGCAGAGGGATATAACCCACAATCAGGAGAAAAATCATTCAACAGAACCAAACCCAGAAAAGTAGAGATGCGTAAAACAAGGGGACTGGGACATAAAAACAGTTCTTATAAACATGCTCCATATTTGAGAAGATAGAGGAGAACCCACATATGACATGAGAAATAGAAGATATTTTAAAAGGCCCATATGGAGCATATAGAGATGTAAAATGCAGTCTCTAAAGTAAAAAATACAATCGATAGGATGTACAGATTAGATGCAGCAGAAGGAAAAAATAGCAACAATGAGAAAATAACGTTTTTTAAACTATCAAGGCACAGAAACACAAAAAGACTGAGGAAATGAGCAGGGCTCAGGGAGACACAGGACAGTATGAAGCAGCACATGCGCAATTGGAGCCTCAGAAAAAGGGGAGGCAGGAAAAATATCTGAAGAAATATTCAGTGACATTTCCTCAAATCTGATGAAAAATCTATATGAGGTAAAACAAGGTTGAGCACACCTAATCCAAAATGCTCCAAAACCCAAAAACTGCACCAACACAATGCCACAATTGGAAAATTCCACACCTGACCTTGTATGACAGGTCTCAGTTGAAATACAGTCAAAATTTTGTAACATGCACAAAATTATTTAAAATAATACATAAGATTTCCTGCAGGCTATGTGGATAAGGTATATGTGAAACAAAAATTCCATGTTTAAACTTGGGTCACATCCCCAAGGTATCTATATCTATATCTATCTATCTATATATCTATTTATCTACCTATCTATCTATGCAAATATTCCAAAATCCAAAAAAAATCCAAAATCAGAAACACTTCTAGTCCCAACCATTTCAGATAAGGGATATGTAACCCATTCTCACAGATGCAAGAAGCTCAGTGAAACCCAAGCAGAAGAAACATAAAAACAAATAATCAAACAGCTGAAAACAAGTGACAAAGAGAAAACCTTAGTGGCCAGAGGTGGCAAAAATGCCAGATTACATACAGAAGAACAAATTTAAGAATGACGGCAAACTGATCATCAGAAACTATGCAAGGCAGAACACAATGGAACAACATCTTTAAAGTATTAAAAAGCAAAAAAACAGGTCAACCTAGAATTCACATTTTTTCAAGAATGCAGGTGAGACAAAGGCTTTTTTCAAAAAACAAAAACAAATGCATGACAATTCAGACACCAGCAGACCTGCACTTGAGAAATGATGGTACAAGGTTTTCAGGTGTAAAAAAAATGGTACTCAATGGAAACTAGGATCTACACAAAGGAATGAGGATTTCAAAAAACAGTAAATATGCAAATAAATGTAAATTCTGGATTTTTTAAATCTCTTTAAAAGAAAACTGATTGCCCAACATAAAAATAGTAACTCTATATATTGGAGAATATTACATATGTAGCAATAATATAACAAAAAATGGGATGAGAGAAATTGAAGCATACTTTTGTTAAGGTGCTTATTCTGCATGTGAAGTTGTATTATATCACATGAATGCAGATTATGATAAGCATAAGCTAAGTATGTACATTACACATCCTAAAGCAGCCACTAAAAAAGAAGAGAGATAGCTAACAAGCCAACAGTGTAGACAGAATGTTAAATTGGAATCATTCAAAAACATATCCAAATAACTGAAAAGAAGCTACGGAAGATGGAGGAAGGGCAAAAAGAACAAATTGGTGAATGACAAATGAACAGCCAGATGGTATACTTAAACCCAACCATATTAATAATTACATTAAATGTAAATGGTCTAAATACTCCAATTTTACAAAGACATTGTCAGATTAGATTTTTTAAAGCAAGAGACCCAACTGTGTTTTCTACAAGAAACACACATTAAATGTAATGACAAGAACAGGTTCAACATAAAAGAATGGAAAAACAGTTACCACAGAAACACTAATCAAAAGAAAGCTGGAGTGGCTATCCTAATATCAAATAATTTCAAAAAAGGAATATGACAACAAAACTAGAGAAGGCCATTTCATAAGAGTAAAGGTTAATTCCCCATGAGGATGTTAAAATTCTAAACATGTATGCACCTAATGAAATCACTTAGAACAGATGAACCAAGAACCAACAGAACTGAAAGGGGTAATAAGTCTCCAATCATAGCTGGAGATGTCAATACTCCTAATAATTTTTAGAATAGGGAAACAAAATTCAATAAGGATATAGAAGGCTTGAAGAGCATTATCAACAAACCTTACCCAACTACATTTAAAGAGCACTCCACCCAAGAACCACAGAGTATACACTTTTCAAACATCCACCAAGGTAGACCATATTCTGGGCTGTAAAACAACTCTCAACAAATCTAGGAGGATTAAAATCATAACAGGTATGTCCTCTGATTACAAGGTAACTCACCCCTGCAGATCAATAACAGAAAAATACTGGGAAAGTACCCAAATATTTTTTAAATCCCCAAATTCTTGGAAATTAAATGATGTACTAATAAATAACCCAAGCATTAAAGAAGAAACCACAAGGAAAATTGGGAAATACGCCACTCTGAATCAAAATGAAAACACAGCATGTCTATCTGTGAGCACACCTAAAGCAGTGCTTAGAGAGAATTTTTAGCATTAAATGTTTATATGAGAAAAGAAGAAAGGAAAACCAAATGATCTAAGCCTCTACCCTAAGAAACTACAAAAAAGAAAGCAAACTAAACTGAAAGTAAGCACAAGAAAGCAATAATAAACAGGAGAAATCAGTAAGAGAGAAAAATCAAGTAACGAAAGTTGGCTCTCTGAAAAGAAACAGATAAACCTCTAGCCAGACCAGTTAGCAAAAAAGGGGACAAAGTGCAAATTACCAATATCAGGAATAAAAATAAGGACATGACTCAAAATCCCACAGACATTAAAAGGATAATAAAGGAATATAAAAATAACTTTAGGCCAATAAATTCAACAAACTTAGATGAAATGGTCAAATTCCTTGACAAATACAAAATCCCAAAAAGTCACTCAAGAAGAAATAAATGACCTGAATGGCCCTATAGCTACTAAAAAAAACTGAATTCATAGTTAATGTTATTTTCACAAAGAAAACTTCAAACACAAATGGCTTCACTGGTAAATCTTATGAAGCATTTAAAGAAGAGACAATGCTAACGGTACACAAACTAATCCAAAATATAGAAGAGGCCTCATTTTATGAGTGCAAGATTGCCCTCCTAACAAAGCAGACAGACACTCCAGGAATGCTGCTGACCAACACCTCTCATGAACAGACACACAATCCTCAAACATATCCACACGTCAAATCCAGCAATCTATGAAAACAGTAATTCACCAAGTCCAGGTGGGCATTTATCCAGGAACACAAAATTGGTTGAAGACATGGAAACCAATGAGAGTTATCCACCATATTCACTGCAGAAAAGAGTAAAACATCCCCCATCTGCTAAAGGGCACCTGCACAAACTATGGCTGACCACACACCGCACGGTGAAAGACAACACAGAAGCCATGCTGGGGAAAACCGTGGATGCCTCCGCAAGGGCCAAGATATTGACACCAAACTCTAGGAGGAAGGCACGGTCAGGGCAACAGGCAGGTTCACTTCAGAATGCCCTGAGGAAGCAATCAAACTTCACTAAATCTTGACCTTCTAAACATTCTGTGACCTAACGGGAAGCGCAGCAAAGCACTTCTGCCACAAACCAGAATGACGCTGCCACCAGGAGGGCTCCGCAAATGGCAGAGACTGCTGATGAACTTACCAACTTCATTTTAGAACAAAAGCTTTGCTAGTGTGAATGACTCACAAACAACAGTTATTCAGACTTGCATATCTGGCGGATGTTTTCTCAAAAATGAATAGTCTGTACCTGTAATGAACACAACTGACAGTATCTGCTGCTGATGATAAAAGGGGAACTTTCTTTTTAAAAAATGTTTTTGTAGAGACGGGATCTTGCTATATTGCCCAGGCTGGTCTCCAACTCCTGGCCTCAAGTGATCCTCCCACCTCAGCCTCCCAAAGTGCTGGAATCACAGTCATGAGCCAGTGTGCCCAGCCAGAACTTTCAAGTGATGATTAAAATGTTAGAATACTGGTACCCACCACCATGGCTTCCCAATACTAAATGACTTTCCTAAGGAGAAAGGTGGTGATATTAACAAATATTATTTTTAGGACTGTATTAGGAAACATCAATATTTGAAAGATCTGTATAACTCAATGAAGCAACATTTTCCACAGGGCCGATGAAAGACGCTACAAAATCACTCAAAGTGCAAGGCATACCTGTGGATTTTAACGTCATAGAGAGCAAAAAGTTCACAGAGCGGGTCTCGGATTGCACCCTGCTACAAACCCTCAGGAAATTACCACTTGCCGAGTCCTGATGTAGTGTCAAAGGAGAACATCCTCAATTATCTGAGGAAGCTGTTAAAACACTATTCCCTTTTAATTACTTACCTGAGTGAGGCCAGATTCTCTTGATGCGCTTCAACCCAAACATATCACAACAGACTGAATGAAGCAGGAGAAGCTAGCTGTCTTCTATTCATCCAGGCATTATGAAGTTTTAAAAAATGGAAACTGATAACATTCCTCCCTAATTGGTTTTTATGGAAAATATAGCTAGTTTTTATTTTAAAATGTTATTTATGCAAAAAGCTAATAGGTTTATTGTCTAAATGAATCAATATTTTAAAATTTCTCACTGCTAATTTCTAATGGGGTATTAATATATAACTCAGGTAATCTCTTTGGGATCCCTCATAAGTTTTAACTGTGCAAAAAGGCTCTGAGACCAAACAATGTGAGGACCCCCAGCAAGGAGGGCAAACACAGATCCCACCCCACCACTCCACCCCCACCCCAACCCCTCCACAACACGGAGAGGGCCCTTTAGGGACCTAATCTCACCTTCTACAAACGTGAGAACGGAGAAACACACTCATGTCCTCCACCAAAGGAAGAACATGAGGGTTCTTGTCTGCCCTCGTAGGAAAATGCTTGTTCTCCCTTTTTTCATAAAAGCTTTCCACCACCTCCACTCTACCATCATCACTCACACAAACTTTTCCACAAAAACATGACTGATTCTCTTTGGGAGACGTTCTCATAAGGATCCACTCGAGAACTTTTCACTATTTTAGCTTAAAGTTGGAAAAAACGAGCAGAATACTTTGGCACAGCAAGTCAGTATATGACTACAATTCCATATGAAAACATTTAAAATACATTAGATTTTTGGTCAAGATGAAAGACAAAAAAAAATCAACCAATCTATTTTAATTGGGTTCCCATGGTAACTGTACAATTGGGTTTTTCAATATAACATCCCCAAGGCCCAACGCATACTTGTAAAATATACTTCCAACAGCCTGAATTGTTTTTACATTACAGCACTCCCAGGAAGATCAATTATTATATGTCCCCACCCTAACTATTAGTGGCAGGAGATGTTAACACTATTTGCCATATTAACATAACTCATGTAAGGAACACTACATATCACAATAATTATATAAAACTAATCATACACTTCAGATTCATCAAACATGTTCTGGGTAATAAACTGATACAACTGCTGTCACAGAACCGTGTTTACGAAATGTAAGAAATCACGCCCAACTACAGACCAAACCATTATGCCTCTCTTATTGATTTCAAGGATAAACAGAATCAATCATTAATAATTACAGGATAAGATGACCCTCAAGGTTAATCATATTCTTAGAGATTCTCACTATGGAACTGAACAACAAACAAGCTGTGCTAATAAGTAAATAAATAAATAAAAGATAACGAAGAACTGAAATCCACACTTCAAATAGAGCACTACAGGAAGCAGAACACATTCCCCAAGCCAGGACTCTGGCTTCACCTGTATTCACCACAGCATCTGCTCCCTGCACAGCTGGGCCCCCCAAAGCCAGATGCCAGGGGCACAGTGCCAGCCTGCACTGCAAGGCCACAGCCAGCCAGAAGTAGGGGCATAGCCAGAGCTTAGGAATGGCAAGATCCTTCAGGAAAAGGCTGACAATTTGAGTTTCCTTTGCAACAATCATAAAATCCCTGTGAACTTGATATATTTTGCAGATCTACAATCCACAGCATGAATTGGTGAGTTAGACAGAAGTAAATTTAACCTTTTCTATCTACCTTTTCTATGTCCCCCCATCAGTAGCCACATAAGCCAATTTGGTGAGGTGTGGGCCAGCGGGGCTTTCAGCAAGAAATGTCTTGCAAGGCCCCTAAATCAACAGAGACCTCCAAACAGTCTCAGAGAGCTATCTTAGCCTGAAAAGCAGCAAAGAGTATGGTTCTGAGAGATGTAGCTGGTGTCCAACCAGACGACCACATGCTGTCCTTTGAACCAGGCTGGATTAGTGTGTGTATACTGACCAATCTGGAGGGGGGGAAAAAATCAACCAACCAACAAAAAGAATCCCAATGAACCTGTAGAGACTGGTTTTAAAAACCCAGTCTGGCAGCATTTGAGCTGGTCTCTCCTTCCCATCAGGGCGCAGGTTCCTCTACCGCTTACCAGAGCAAGCCCACCCAGGGCCAGGACAGCACCAGGCCTTTCCATGGTCTGCTGGCTTCTGGAGTCTCCTGTCTTGCCTGCTGTCCCCTATTCCCACAACCACTGATGTTTCTGGTCATGAAATCTGGGTTTCTGTTTGTTACTTGTTTTTTACTGCAATACACTCATATCTTTTGGGATGCCAAGAGCTAAACCTGAGAACAGTGCCTTTTTGGAGCACTGTCTGATGACAAAGTTATCCTCAGCCCCAAATTCCAACTTCATACACAATCCCTTGATGAGTTTTGTGCCTTTGAAACAACTTTAGTCTGTAATTCACCTATATATTGGTTTGCCTGGGCTGCCGTAACAAAATACCAGACTGGGGGCTTAACCAACAGACATTTATCTTCTCACGGTTCTGGAGGCTGGCAAGTGAGAGCTGCTGGTCCTGGCTGATTCCGTTTCCAGTGAGGGCTCCTTTCCTGGCTTGCACACAGCCTCCTCCTCGCTGTGTCCTCACACGGTATGGGAGGGAGAGATCCTCTCTTTCTCTTCTAAGAAAAAAGATCCTCTCTTTCTCTGCCAAGGCCATCAATCCTAGCAGAGTAGGATCCCACTCTTATGACTCAGTTAGCCTTAATTTCCTCCTAAAGGCCCTGTCTCCAAATACAGCCAAATTGGAGGTCAGGACTTCAGCCTGTGAATCTTGGGGACACGGTTCAGTCCACAGCACCCTGTGTCCAGCACTCTGTGCTGGGCCTTCCATCCAGTAGAAACCACACACCAGGCCTTGGAGAGCATCCAATCTAGCATCCCACCATCAAGAGATGGAAACAATACAAGTCTAGTAGAAAACAGTGGTGTGTGAAGGGCCCCAGACAGAGAGAGATCGTGGGGGCTGAAGTAGCTTCTGGAAGAAGTGAGAGTGGGGAAGATTGAGAGAGAGGGCAGCAGAGCATGTCTGCGTGGGGATCGGGTCAGAAGAGGTTCCCTGAGGATAGAGCAGAGGCTGCTCTGGGAAGAGAGGGACACGAGTCCCCCACTCACCCAACCTCAGGGCAGAGCACAGATGCAGAGGCCCAAACACAGGAGGCCAGCACTGCCGGGGTCCCACGAGCCCACAGACTTGCCTGGCCTGAGAGAGGGGTCCACAGGCGGGGAGGCTGCGAGGACCATGCGGCTGGCTCTCACCCTGTCTGTGCCAGTGCCCAGCTCAAAACCATTTCTGGTCTTCACTAAGCTACTCCTGTGGTGGACCCTGCCACTCAGTCTGGTGTGGGTTTGACATGTCCAGAAGCTTCCCAGGTGTCTTAAAGATAGAAGAGGGAGGCAGTGTGGGCGTGCAGGACACCCTGAGTTGGGAGGGTCCCCGGCCCCTTGTAGCAGGACACACAGGGCAGCACCCCTTCCAGCCAAGCCCTGCAGCCCCAGCATGGCCTTGGTGCCAGAGCTGACCTCCCCACCCAGCCACTCCCAGCAGCCTGGCGATGGGTCCTAGCATCCTGAGTCACGCCGGCTAAGCTGGGGCAGTGTGAGCACCCAGGAACCCCAACAGACCATGGAACCAGCACTGCCCCAGGCAGCGGTTCCCCCAGGAGCCATGGGATTCCTGGGAACCCAGGACACCCCTGGAGACCACGGAGCTGCTTCTCCTCAGCCAACACCAGAGCCTTCTACCTTTCCAAGAAGCCGTCTGCTGCAACTGTCATGATCTCCACAGCTGGGGGAGAAGCGTCTCAGGCCCAAAGAAGGCAAGTCTTATGAGCAAAAGATCCTCACACCCAGAAGAGAAAAATGTCTGAGGAAGTGAGAACCATGACCCTGAAGGCTTTCTGGAGTGACAAACAATCCAAAAAATGTGACAAGGACAGCGGGGGCCATGTCCAGCTAAAGGGAAGTGACCCAGGCTCTGGGAGATGTTCTAATTACACTCATGGCAAAATACAACAGGAAGGCTTATAAGCCCATGCTTCCGGAGAACCAAAAAAAAAGAAAATTCAACGACTGCTTCTGCCTCAAGGCCCAGGTGGACTCAAGCTAGTGGCAAAGTGACAGCAGTGATGTCCAGGAGGACCCTGGAATGAGAGCCGAGGGAGGCAGGGACCACCCACCCCAGTCTGCCTGGGACATCCCCATTTTAGCACAGAAAGTCCTGCCTCCTGGCAAATGGTTGGTCAGCTGTGAATATGGTCATGGATTGTGGCTTTCCAAGAGCCTGTGCTCTTGCTGGGCCAAGGATGACCACAGGGTGGTCAACTATGGCCAAGAGGGTAGATAACGTTGAACTTTAAGAACACTAACTTCAGAACCTGTGCATTCCTTCCAAGGAACAGTTCTTATTTCAGAAGTGGCACCATGGAAGCAACCTCCTCAGCAACCTCCTGTGTCCTGGTGGGAAGCCCCTCCCTTCCCACGTCGCCTGCCTCTCAGGCTGGCCTGGGCTGGAGGCTGACGGCCTGCAGAGGCACTGGGAGTGTGCTGATCGGCCCGCACCCCGCACAACCACAGCATCCATCTGACTCGACAGCTTAATCTGATGATAACACAATGGTGACAGAAACGAATTTTTCTGCACAATAAAGAATAGCACACATGGGCTTTTCTTGGGCTAGCTAGCTAAATTCAGTAACTTTTAGAAATATATCATTCCTTTTCTTCGCCCATTATTCTAGGAACTTCCCCTCGAGCGTTAAAGGCCTTATAAGACCCGCAGCATCCGCCGTGCCTCACGCCTCTCATGCACTGTGCTGAGGGTGGCACGCACTTTCTCATCTGATCCCCCATCACCCAGACACACACAGCCCTGCCCTGCTGGCATGACTTTAACTAGATGACAACTGCAGGAGGCTGAGACCCTGGCTTTAACACTCCTAGAGTGAATCCAGGCCTGCAACAGTGGCCTCAATGCTCCCCACCCCACCCCGTGACCCTCATAGGACCTCCCATCTGTGCTTCCAACACACCGACCTGCAGCCATCTAGGCACCTGCAGCTCTCACTCGTCCCCTGGAAGCCTCCTCCCCAGACCTTGCCACCTCTCACTGTTCAAATCTCCACTCGAAAGCCACCTCCTCAGAGGGGACTTCTTCAACATCTTCAACCACTTACCAAGCTCCCCAACACCCCCCCCAACAAAGGCCAGGCTCTTCACCTCATTCAGTCTAGCCAGCCCTCACCAGTACCTACAAAATGTATGGGTGTGACAAGCACGTCTCCCTACCACACGGGGAGCCCCTTGAAGACAAGGCCACTGCGAGCCCAGGGCCCGGAGGAAGCCCAGCCACCCTCGTCAATCTCTGCTGCCCAGGGGCACACTCAGCCGCACCAGCCCACGAAACACGTCATGGTGTTTAAGGCCCCAGCACACACTATTTCTAATTTGCATTCTGATGTGACTGTACCTCTAACACCTGACGGTTTGGTTTTTAAAATTCCGTGACTCCTGCAGGACGTACAGGTTGCCCCCAACAGGGACAGGCTGGGGTGGGAGCAATGGTAATGAGCCTGGGTCCACCGCTGCCATCCTCGCCTGAACGCGGCTGCAGTCGGGAAATCTCCCGCCTCAGAACCCAGATGCCAGGCAGGGCAGAGGGCGGCCTGTCTACCCTTCCAAAGCCAGATCCTTTATCTGGCTTCCCTCACATAAAAAGCACACACACCAAGGCTTTCGTCTCTCTCAATAAGAAAAGCGATTCTAAACTTAGTCCCTCACAACCACACTCTGCGACTCCCACCTGCTCCGCTCTCACCAGAAGCCACCAGGGTTGACCCCAGCTATACCTCCTGGAACTGTCCCCGCCCTGCCAGGCCTGCTGCCACCATCCTGCATCCTCTGCCCCAATCAGTCCCCTGCCAGCCCCGTGATCTTCTCTGGGAAGCACTGACAGGCTAGTGTTCCCCACTCACAAGACTCCCAAGGCCCTTCACCCAGCGCAGCATTTGGGCTCCGCAGGCCCTGGCCCCACTGGCTAGCTCTGCCTTCCTGTCCAGCCCCACATGCTTGCCACACCCTGCTCAAATTCAACTATGGCCAGGTCCCCAAATGTACCCGCATCCATAGTCCCACTGCTCTGCTCAAAATGCCCACCCCTTGGGCCACTTGGAGAAACCTGACCGGTAGCCACAGTCCCGCAAATGTTTCAGAGGGAATCAGGCATGGGTCCCTGGCCTGCAGGGACATGGTGAAGCGTGTGCACAGTCCCGGGACATGGCTGGCCCTCTGCATCCTCCCATCTTTCCTCTGGCCCCACTGCCCTGGTCGTTCCACTCTCTAGTGGGGTGCGGGGTAGGCACAAGGCACACGCAGGGACAGCTTTGCCATCCCCAAGTCCTCACTGCACCCAGCCTCAGCTACGGCTCAACGCCTTCAAGCAGGAATACACTTGGGCGAATTGCTTTTCCCACAATGCTAAAGACAACACTTGGTCACATTGATGTTCAGAAAACATTAGCTACATAAACAGGTCTGTGTCTGTTTACACCCTGTCTTGCCCCTTAAAGGACTTCTAACAGCTTCTCAGGCTCATCGTTGCAAAGCCAGCCTGGCACAAGTGGTTATGAGCCTGCACTTGGTTATCAAATAAATCTGGGTTGAAAACAAAACTCTACCTCTATCCCAGGAGACCTGTGCAAGTCACTCAAACTCTCCGAGGCCCGGGTTCCTCATATGCAAAATAAAGACACTCACAGCGCCTTCTCCTTCATGGGGTGGTGGTGAGCCTTTCCTAAGTTGGTCTGTACAAGGCAACAAGCGCAGCACGCCCAGAATAACCACCAGGGTGAGCTGAACCATGACAGGAGATTAAGGAGACACCCCAAATAAAAATAAGGCCCATTTCCACAAACACACGAAATGCTGCAGACTTCCCATTTTTGACCAAGTTTACCCAGCGGACCTGCGTTACCCCTCACTGCTGTGATCTAAACGGCCGTCACACATGGGAAAATACTGTCACATGCTGGTGTCACTGCTGGTTCCTGGCCACTGCCATCGTGTCAGATCCTGTGTCCGTCCTTTGGGAAGTTCTTTCAATATAACAGATGAATAATGTCAAGGCTCCCAGTGTCTCGGGCTATCAGCAACTGCCAAGTGCCCCTAGGAGCACACATGAAGCCCACCTGCCCACTCTAGGCCGATGTGGCACACCTGAACCTTTAGAATGCTGCCACGTCGAGAATGTCTACTGTGAAAAGACAGAAGCAGGTGGCAGAGCCAGTAGCCTCTTTACAGACAAAAGGACTTCAGGGACCTAGTAAATGAATAGGGAACTACCTTATGCTGCACACAGACAATGCACTGTGACCTCAGACGCACCAGAGGTGGCAAATGTGGCCAAGTGATCCCGACCTCCAGTCCTGCCTCCACCAAAACAGAGCGACTCTGCATCCGCAAACACCAACCGCCTTCATTCAGGCCTCCCCAGCGCCAGGCCTCCTTCTGGATGGGAACTGTCCCTGGCCCTGCTTTTGGAGAAATCTGGCCTTGGAAGGTTAAGTAACTCTGCTCAAGGGCACAGGATTGTAACTTGTAAAGCAGGTCCAAACGGAAGCCCATCTGTTCCCAGAAGGTGCACTTCTGACCACCGTGCACATGCCCCCAGTGAGGGCTTGGGTGTGTGCAGATCTGCAAAATACAGATTCGGATTGGACTGGGGGGAAAACGAGGGCTCGAAATGGTTCTTCGCCGTCTTCTCGTTTCATCCTTCCGTGAGACTCAGCTCCAAATTAAAATTTCTATCCATGTAGTGGATAGAAATTTTACTTTTAAAAAAATATGTATTTACTGTCTCGTGTGCCTATACTTACCCGGGTAGACCGAATAAGCATAATCGTCCCCACCCAATGGATGAGGAGGTGCCTGGAGGGCTAAGAGTTGCCCAGGGGGACCCAGCTAGGAAACAGCATCACTCCCACACACGGCCTGGCACTTCCTGTAGAAAAGCTCAATTCAGTCCCACAAAATGTATTCAGCTGTGCCTCTGAAAGTGCACCCTCACCTGAGACCAGGAAAATGCCTTGACCCAGAGGGGGATTAAAAACAAGACAACCCTCTCAAAAGGAAAGAAGGGGTGAAATATGATACGGGTTGCCCGTGCTTCGCGTGTGTTTGTAAAACTGACGCCAAAGTTTTGGTAACATCTGCATCTTGTCATAACCACAAAACTGAAAACTCAAAAGCAATAATAACATGTTGGGTTTGCAATTTGAAGAGATTCACGTCTCTCAGGAGTTACAAAACCGTACTCAGACCCATATGCACAGAAAACCTGCAGCAATGCCAACTGCCGATGGATACTTCTGGAAGGGGGACTCGGATCTTGCCTGGGCTGGAGAGTGCTACTTCCCAGAGGATCCTAAGGCCTTCCCTAGAGGTGCTCAAGCATTAGGGTCTGCCAGAATCCCCTGGCATCCCCAGGTTCTGGTCCTGTAGGTCTCCCATGGGGCCCTGCAATCGAGAGACCTCTCTAGCCAGCACCCACAGTAATTCTGATGCAGAGGGCCCAGGTCACCCTCAAACGCTCCTCCACTGTTGCCTGTGAAGATCCCACTTTACGGAGAGCAACAGGTTCAAGGGGCTGTGACTCGTCAGGCCTTGCTGGAATCGCATTCCAGTAGTGGCTCTTACCCCACACAAGCAGGAGAGACACCTGAACATGATATCCCCGGCTGCCCACCGGAGTCCTCTTGACTGGGAAGTACAATGTAGCTAAAAGTTTAAAAACAAATGATAAATAACTAGCGATTATTTATTGCATTTCAACATATAATGCCCCATCTCCTTCTCTGCCCTGAGATTCATTCACTCTCTTCACCCACCTAAATATCTCTGAACATCCCGTGCCAGAATTGCCTGATCCGTCAATAAGGCAAGCGCTTTCTAAACCTCTATGCATATGACTCAATTTGTCAGTAAAAACTGCCACCCGCGCTGTGCTTGCAGAAAAATGTCCATAAACACATTATTGCGACTGGCAGAACGATGTCTATAATAAAAACACATAGATTTAACAAGTACCTCCTTTCACAAGCCACGCCGCTGGTGGACTATCCATTCGGTGTCCCCCAGCCCAGACTTCTGGGAATGGGCGGCAGGGCTGGGTGGGAGCCTCTGCTGACTTCGCAAGCATCACAGGTAGGAAATTATTCTACCAAGAAACTTTTAGGAGTAGGAGAGTGAACACACCAGGCATTTATTGCACTCTCACCATTCCTTTCATGGTTACACACACTATGACTAATTTAACAACCCTAAGAAAATGTTTTTGTAGAATTTTTTACTGGTTTTAGAACAGCTACCTCCAGGTGGGGTGAAGGGGACACGAGGCCTCCTTGGAGAACCCTGCTCTGCTGCTGAGCCACTGATTTAACTGAAAACAACTTGTGGTGTCAAAACCAAGTTTCACCATTCAGAGCATCCGCATGGGCAGCTCCCAGGGCGGCCTATTCAGTTACTTAGCTGGAGGAGCTTCGGGAGCGCAGGCTGCTGAGGACTGGCTTTGCTGCCGGGACCGAGCACCTTGGCAGGACTCAGTGTTTGATTCCTTTCCGGGTGATCCACACCTGCCAAAGCCACTCTAATACTTCAAAGATCAACAAAGTCACAAAAATGATTTCTTCCTCTTCATAAATCACTTCAATAGCTCTATGAAGAAGTCAGTCATTCATTACATTCCATACTATATTCATTAGTTTCCCCCAAACTATGCAGCCCTCCGATATAAGCTGTACTGTTAATTTTTTTAAGTCAAAAGAAAACTAGACTATGTCCACCAACCAGCAGATATGCAGCAGTTAATGAAAAGCCACAGAACACACATCTTGCAACATTTGGTCCACAACACAAGGTCTCCAACTTCTACTTACCTATGTCCAAGACAGGCCTGCAGAGCTAACAGCGTAGGTTCACAAAATCCTCATGCCAACCAAGGACCCTCCTGCACAGCTCAAACCTCCTCCCTCCCATATAAATCCTTTCACTTCAAAACAAGAGTGGGGCGAAGGGCTGGCTTGTGCATCATGAGTGTCTATATAAAGACCACTCTCACCCCACAGTCAGGTGATGGTTTATGTGTCTTCTCTGATTTTAAATCCTTCAGGTTTCGTTTAAATAATATCCTGCGAGGCCAGGCATGGTGGCTCATGCCTATAATTCCAGCACTTTGGGAGGCCTAGGAGGGAAGATCACTTGAGTCCAGGAGTTCGAGACCACCCTAGGCAACATACGGAGACCCTGGCCTCTAAAAACAACAACAACAACAATTAGCCAGGTATGGTGGCGCACACCTGTAGTCCCTGGTACTTGGGAGGTCAAAGCAGGAGGTTCGCTTGAGCCCAGGAGCTTGAGGCTGCAGGGAGCTATGATCTCACCACTGCACTCCAGCCTGGGCGAAAGACCAAGACCTTGTCTCTAAAAATAATAAAATAATATTCTGCGGTAAGACCCCAGCTCTTTCAGAAAGTAGCTGCATTAAAAACTACTTGTCCCAGGAAACAGAGGGTCAGGAAGGACCGTAGCAACAGCCCAAGAGCCGAATGAGCACAGGGCCCTGCAGGGTCTGGGAGGCTCAATGTGTCCCCTGGAGGGACTAGAGTCCCAAACGGAAGTCAAAAATCTCAGGGCAAGTGGATCTGGACATGGAACTTTATGCTGGGGAAGGGGGTCAGAATGAAGTGCAGAAACAAGAATAATGCTAAAGGAAAAGATAATGCAGAAAATTCAGTTTTGCCTCCATTTTTTTTCTATCAAAGAGAATATACTGAAAAGAGCATTAGCACCAAAAAGAAAAATGGAAGGTCTGAATCACTGGCTCCTAAATGTGTGTCCTCTGCAAAACAGAACAGACAATTTAGTAACTTTATTTTATTATAAAATACTGAAAGAGTCAGGGTTTTGGTGTCCTAAGAAAGGGTGGGAAGAGGACTGGAGAGGAACAAACTCTGAGGGGGCAATGGGGAAGGCAAGTTCTTTTTCAGGCCCTTCCTACCCCCTTCTTCCCTGCAAAAGGACAGAGGAGGCCCTGATTGAGACACCTGGGGAGGAAACCCAAACAACGAAAAGTAAGGCCCAGGTGATATCAAAGTAAGACCTCAACAAGGTTCAAGAATCTGAGCAGCTGAACAAGGTGCTACCCAATGTATACCTAGGGCTCTATTTCTTTCAACCTTACTAACAGCAAAGCCTTTTTAAAGTAGTGCCTAATACTATTAGTTAAATCCTTATTTTGATACAGATTTTTTTGTTTCCCCTTCAGGACAGTTTCACTCTCGTCGCCCAGGTTGGAGTGCAATGGCGCAATCTCGGCTCACTGCAACCTCCGCCTCCCAGGTTCAAGCAATTCTCCTGCCTCAGTCTCCCAAGTAACTGGGATTACCAGCATGCACCACCACGCCTGGATAATTTTTGTGTTTTTAGTAGAAACTGGGTTTCACCATGTTGGCCAGGCTGGTCTCAAACTCCTGACTTCAGGTGATCCACCCACCTCGGCCTCCCAAAGTGCTGAGATTACAGGCGTGACCCACTGTGCCTGGCCCAGATTTTTTTTTTTTAATGAAGATATATACATTGAAAAGTACCTGAGTATAGCTCCGTACTGGTGGTCTACTTCATCCAGGCCCCTGACTGTGGCAGACACTACTCCACTATTCAAATTCCAACCCGAGACAGAGGGCCCAGGAAGAAAGACACGCGGCAGAGCAAGGCCAGCTCTCCTCTGCTACTTGCAGGCAGACTCCGGGTCTGGGCAAGTATCCTGGCCCTCTGAGTTAACGTGATATTAACAATCAGCCAGGCTCTTGACGCGGTTTCCTTCAAAGTTTTCACACCCCCACCCACCAGGTGCGCTAAGCTTTGGGTTTTTAAAATCTTGTTCATCTCCCAGAGTGTTTTAGCCATTGAGAGGGCCCTGAAAATAACAAAACCATCTCCTAGACACCTGCCCAGGGATGGGGGAGATGACGGGAGAGCCTGACTTAACAGATACTCTATAGGTTTCTATTTGGATGTCTATGTAAATAACCAGTCTAATTCTCAGCTCTCTGTGCTTAACATTCTACTGAGAACAGCTCTCTGGACCAAGCCGCTTCCCTGTCTGATGATGATCTCAGCAGGCATAGGTTGCACACACATGTACAAAGTCTGCTTTCCAGGACAGAAAGCCAGCTACTCAGCTGAAGCAACTGAGAGCAAACACCACCCTGAGATTTCAGGAGATGATGAACCCAGGAGTGCGAAATACATAGTTCAGAACTCCTCTGCGGTGTTATAACCGACATTACGGTGCCCAGTGTGTGTGGCTCTCCAGCGAGCCTTGCTTACTCTAAGTGTTGATGAATACAGTTAGGGTATGATGTACACAAACACCAGCCATAGTAACCAGAAGGCCCCTAGAACTTGGCCTCCAGCAGGAAGGAAATATGGGACTCTGCCTAAGTATGCTAAAGGGTTGCTGCAAGCCAAGGCCCGCGCAGGGGCTTCTGGAAGCTTCCTGGAGCAGCTGGCGGAGGGAAAGCTGGCAGCATGGAAGGGTAGGAAGAACCCGGGGCCCGGGCCTGGGGCTGGCACCTAGAGGTAAGGCAGGGGCTGCCACGACCCCCGCCACACGCCAGTCCACAGTCACTGCAGCGCAGCCTAGTCCAGGAACCCCAGGCCCGGGGAAAGGCTGGGCAACACCTGGGAGGCACTTGGGGCGCACCTGGAGCTCGCCCGGGATGGGTGGGGGTCAGGGCGGCCCCACACCCGACGGCGAAGTGAGGGCGCCTGCAGGACCACTCGAGGCTGCCACCGTCCCGAGGGAGAGCTCCGCACTCTTCCGGGAGCGAGGCGACCCAGACACTCACCAAGTCGCAAACGGTGCGCACCGCGAGGACCTGCGGGCGTCGGGACGCAAAGCGTTCTAGGGGCGCGGGCTGTCCCAGCATATCCGGGGCGCGGGGGCGGGGCCGAGGGGCACGGGGATGGCGGCGTGGGGCGGGGTCTAGAGCGGGGCGGAGCCGAGGACCTGAGAAAAGCAAGAGAGCGCGCGGGGGCGGGGCCGGGGCGCGCGGGGGCGGAGCTGGGGCGGAGCCCGGGAGGGGCGGGGTGTTCCCGCCCGACCGGGTCGGCGCATGCCCTGTGCGGCGGCGCCGGGCCTGAGGCAGTCTGCGCATCCTCGCTGGACGCCGGCACGCCGGCCCTGGTCCTCCGGCAGCGCCGCTGCCCTGTGCGCCTGACCCGGATGGCCCTTCGGCCGGTACAAGCCGGGCGGCGCCTTCCCAGCTTCCGCCTGAGGCTCTGTGCCTTAGTTTGCCAAATGGCCCGTACCTTTTCCTGTCACAGGGATAGTCCGCGGGCGTGCAAGCGACCTGCCACGTGCCCGAGTGGTCCTGAAAGCGCGCGGGGGTCGTAGGACGGCGCCCGCTTAGTGAGAATC
The DNA here is from genome assembly GCF_000001405.40 of Homo sapiens. Classification (NCBI taxonomy): domain Eukaryota; kingdom Metazoa; phylum Chordata; class Mammalia; order Primates; family Hominidae; genus Homo; species Homo sapiens. The sequence continues at coordinate 129,466,724 of NC_000010.11, read as the reverse complement.
CCGGTCCTGCTCGGGGCGGCTACGCTGAGCCCGGAGCGCGAGTCTCTCCCCTCCTGGTGCCGCTCCCCTAGTCAGGGACCCCCAGACCAGCAGAGACCCTGTCAGGGGGCCGTGGGGGCAGCCTCCAGGGCCTGTGGTGGGCGATGCCGTCCAGGGGCTGCAGTCACCGATGGCCTAGACACTGCCAGAGCCTGACTCAGCCGCTCTCCAGAGAGCACACAGGGTGCCAGGCCCTGCTTGGGGTTGTGTGGACGTTATTAGGAGTTGAATTGTGTCCACCAGAGAAGCTATGTTGGAGTCCTAACTCCCAGTACCTCACAATGTGACCTTATTTGGAGATGGGGACTTTACAGAAGCCATCAATTAGTGGGCCCCTCATCCAGTATGACTCGTGTCCTTATAGGCAGAAGGCCGCTTGGGGAGGAGGATTGGAGGGCTGCACCTGCAAGCCACCAGAAGCCTAAGAGGACAGACCCTTCCCTGGAGCCTTCGGAGGGAGCAGAGGACACTCTTCCCTGGAGCCTTCAGAGGGAGCAGGATCCTAACACACCTGGGTTTCAAACTTCTGGCCCCCGGAAGTGTGAGACAATAGGTTTCTGTTGTTTTAAGCCACTCAGTGTGTGGCACTTTATTATGGCAGCCCCAGGCAATGGGTACAGAAACCATTGTCTCTAACGTGGTTGGCATAAGCACCCCAGGGAGTAGTATCATCCCTGGAGGCTTCGGAGAGGTCACACACCCCTTGGCAGGATCCCATCCAAGGCCCACATGTTCTAAGCCACCATGCTACGGGCCTTCTAGGTTCTGTTTGTTATCTTAATGGAAAGGGGTCTTCACCTTCCCGGTGAAGTTTCCCTGTTGGGATTCGGCCAATGCTCATACCTTCGTATTTGTGACTTGCAGGATCCAACATATTAGCATGAGTGATAAGGGTTGTTCAGAGGAGAACTTCAGCAGGATTTGCTTTGGGATGAGCCCTGGTGACAATACAGGCTGCATCATTGATCCTCTGAGGTTCCCCACCCCGACCCTGCCTTGGATGAGACATGTTTTAAATAGCTGCTTGTGGGAAATAAACTAGGCCCTGAGTACACGATATAATGGTCAAATCAAGGCACTTTTTCCCCACTGAACCTGGACACAGCCTCGGAATCCTTCTCAACACTGTGTTCCAAGCAGCCATTCACATTTAAACTAATGTGGAAGGACAGATGAAACATGTTTGCCCTTGGCTCTGGTTTTTTCCATTAGCCTTCTATAAGACTTCGGGAAACTCGTCTGACTTCTCTAATCCTCAGTTTCATACTCTGTAAAGGAGTCTCATGATAACGTACCCTACGTGTGTACAAACTATCCTTCCATATTAGGGCATGTGTGCATAGGGAAAATAAACCACCAGCACCACACCACACTACTAAGAAATAATGCTATACACCTGGCCACTTACAGCCTGTTACTACCAGGACCCAGTTAGAACCGGGATCTTAATAGAACCAAAGGAAAAACAATGCCGAAATGGAATCAGAGTGCCGACTGATATTCTAACAAGTGTGCTGTTAAGTAGTTTTGCAGTTAACACATGACTCATACGTTTATCTGAATAATATTTTAAGACGAATCCCTAAACTCTTAAGAAAAAGAGACTGGCCAGTCTTAGCATCTCTAATTCCCCACCCTAGGAAAGAAAGGCCAATGTGGTCATCCAAAGGCCCTTTAGGAGGGCCCTGTGGGAATGGGGAGGCGGTCCACGAGAGAAAGTGCTGGCTTCCCAGGGAGATGTGTGGACCTGGCCCTGGCTGTACTGAAAGAACTCAGTCCCCTTGCTGGCGTGGTGGGAAGAACTATGTGAAGGGCCACAGCTACTTCAGTGGTAAGGACTGTGTCAGGGGCTCCAGGATCAGGAGCCAAATAAGGGTCTCAGTGCAGAGGGGAAAGAGGAAAAAGGCCACCACCTGACCAAGGACTGGCCTGCAAAAGACCAGGATTCAAGGATGTGACTGCTTAGGCTGTCTGATGAGCAGAACTCAAACTCACACTCCTTACACCTGCTGGTGCAAGCTCCTCCCTTCATCATGGTAATTTCAAAAACCCAAGTTTTCATCAAGAGCTCCCCACGCCTCTCCCCCTTGTCCCATTACAATCTCATCATCGCCTGTGTGTTCGTCCTACTGTTAAAGGAACACAGGATGGCTCCAAAGCCGGGAGGTCGCCGGGTCCACTGAAGAGTAAGGAACACAGGACAGGGAGGCTCGGATGTGGTGCCAGCCCTGCCCCTCACTGAGCAACCACCTGACTTCTCTGTTCATAGGATGACAGTGCAGGACTGGTTGGGTGAGATTCCTTTGAGGTCTCCCATCTTCAGATTAACAAATCACAACCCCTTTTCCTCCAGACACAGATTCCTATGAAGAACTTTTTACAAAAGAGGTGGGAAAACCACAAAAGGGTATGCTCAACTGCAGTCCGACTTCCTCAAGGAGCTCCCTGGATTTCCTTTAAGATCAGCCAGCTTTCTTGTGGGCACTGGGAACAATGTTAATCTGCATAGTTTCTTTAAACATCCAAATGGATACCTTTCGGGTTAAGCAAATGAACATGACATGCGATTGCTTCTAATGATTTGCAACCCAAGAAATTTGTTTAATAAGCCTGTCTTCCCAAGCTACTTTTGTGACATTAGAGACCACTTACAACAAAGCTGCCTTCAGTAGTCAAACTTAATCCTTACTACCCTACCTTTGGGAAATGAAGGGATTTTATAACGATCACATAAAACCTTATGTGGTTTGAAAGCCCCAAACTCCGGACAAATGTGTGATGGTCGTGTAACAAAAGAAACATATTACAGAGCTCCCCACGTTAAGTGTTTTACATATAGTTTGCTTTTAGGATAGCATCTCAAGTGGAGGGTTTTGCTGATTAACACAATTGATTTTCTTAGTCCCAGTGTTCCTGTAAATGTTGGAGCCAAGAGCTGGAGTCAGCGCCTTGGACCTGGGAGAGGCCAGGAGGCCAGGGAGCCTCAAGCACTCTGGAGGAAGAAGCCTGAAATGAAAAGGTGGGGGCCATCGGTACCGGGGTTGAATGCCAGGTGCTTCTGATTACGCTCCTGTGTGACACTAGTTGTCAGCATGGCAGAGGCATCATGGTGTAACTGCAGCAGGGAGTGTAATCTACTAGTGGGCAGGAGAGAGGGCGGGAAGGAGGGACTTCAGGCTTTGCCTCACATAGAGGGTAAGGGAATGGTGCAGGGTGGAGAAAGGGGATGGAGGTGCAACTAAAACAGGAGGGGCTCCTTAGCTCTTGCTTTCCTCCAAAGAGGCAGAACATCCTCCTGCCAGGAGCCCCTGGGAGCTCCTGTTGAGAACTGGAACCCTTCAGGCCCTTTTGTGTCAAGAAGGGCATGGAGGAGAATTCCTAAAGAAACGAACCAGAGGCAGCCCACAGACTCCTATTAGAAAGACTTTTCCTGAAACTTCCTTTGCCAGTTTGTGGGTGCAGGGCCTGGAGATGGATTTATGGGACTCGTTGCAGGCCCCTGTGGGGCTTGTAGTGGAATGGCACACAGATGAGGAAATAGTTTGCTCTCTGGAGCAGCGACCTCTACCCAGGAGATGCGTAGGGGCAGTGGGAGTACGAAAGAGGCCCTTTCCTGCACTGACTGTCCCTGCAGGAAGCCCTTTCTTTTTTTTCTTTTTTTTTTTTTTCTCTTTTTCTTTTTTTGAATTGGAGTCTCTCTCTGTCGCCTAGGCTGAAGTACAATGGTGCCATCTTGGCTCACTGGAACCTCTGCCTCCCGGGTTCAAGTGATTCTCCTGCCTCAGCCTCCTGAGTAGCTGGGATTACAGGTGCACACCACCATGCCCAGCTAATTTTTCTGTATTTTTAGTAGAGACGGGGTTTCACCATATTGGCCAGGCTGATCTTGAACACCTGACCTCAGGTGATCCACCCACCTCGGCCTACCAAAGTGTCAGGATTACAGGCGTGAGCCACCGTGCCCAGCCCAGCAAGCCCTTTTCAAGAGCCCCAGTGTGCAGTGTAGCCCCTCACAGAGAAAACAGGCTCAGCCAGGATATCTGCTGGGGTTGGAGGGGTGATGCAAGGAAAGACCTGCAAGAGAAAATGCATGGCACTGGATGTCTCAGGGGAGGAGAACCATGCAGGTAAAGAACCACAGCTATTTGTGGAATTTGGATCCAGTTGTCCAGTAACTGGTGGACAAAGATCATTGCAAACCTTATATAGCTCTTCCCTCCGAACTGTTCCAACTTTAGACAATTGACTATCAAAGGAATGTACATAATGTATGTAAACAAGCAAAGTCCGCTCATCAGATGTATGTATTTGGATACGTTGGCTTGAAGAACTACTCACACAAATGGAAGTGCTTTGGAGGACATTCCCACCCTGGAAGGGGCTATTTGAGTGTCTGTGACTCAGGACTGGGATTTTGTTTGATGTTGGCCCTTTTTAAACCAGCTCCTTCACTCATTACAAAGTGTTTTTGATCCATTTTCGGGAAGGGCTTTATTTGTAACACATGGTTGGCAGTTTGGGCAGAATCCTTTAAATGGTGTGAAGAGCTGGGGAGTGTGCACCTGGGTCACTAGAAGGAAGTGGGTCCCCCCCCTCCCCTGCCCCACTGGGATGAACCAGAAGTGCCCATGCTTTTGTGACTTGGAAATTAAAGCAAGAGACGTGGGGATTTCGATGCTGAGATTGTGATTTGCTGTCATTTGCTTCTGACTGGGAAACCACGAATGAAATTAAGACAAGAAAAACAGCCACACTAAGGGTTCTGTCTCAGTCACCAAAATACAAATTTAGAAAGGAAAAGTGGCTGCATTTCCTCCCAGGGTAACTGCTTCAAACCAGCCTAGCACATTGAACCACTGCTTTAAGGTAACAGGAGGCAGATGTGGGAGAGTGATCACCACCTGAGCGGCAGAATTGGAGCTGGGGCTGGTGCCGGTGGCCGTCTGTCCCATTGTCTCTTTGCCTGAGATAACCCCACTCAATCTAGGAGTGGGGAATGACAGACACTGAGGTCCTCAGAATGATCCCTCCATCTGTCTGATCAGCAGCGCCTGGAGATCAGAGACTCTCCCTTCTTTGTCCAGGAGCCCGCTGGACAGGAATAGGACAGCACCTTCATTCCTGGCAGGGGTAGGGGAAAGTTGTGAAGCTGGGGGTGCTCATTTCTTGGTGAGGGCAGTGTCAGGCGGCCTTTGCTGGTGCTCCTCACGATGCAGGTGAAGGAGGCCCAGAACAAAGCCGCCAAACCCAAAGGACCTTTATTAGAAAGTGAACTACAGCCCAGAGAAGGAAAGGCAGGAGGACTCCAGGGCACAGAGGCTGAGCTCAGGTCTCGTTCACTGGGCCCTCCGCAGGCCTTCCTCTTCTCATCTTCCCCAGCTCCAGGCAGGCTTTACCCACCCAGGACCCAGGCTTACATCCTTTCAGCTCTGTGCCCTCAGAGTTGAAATACACAATGGTATTGGTGTATCGAACCACATCAAAGCTCTCTCCCAGCTTCCCCCAAAAAGAATCTTAGGGAAGGGCTCTGACTGGCCTACCATGGATGATTAGGACAACCTCTGGACCAATCACGGTGGGCAGGGGAATGAGGTACCTTCCCAGCCACGGTCACATGCACTCGCCATGGCCTGGAGAACAGATCTGATATGGGAATGAAGGGGAAGGGGTGGGAAGGGCAGGATCACCATGAGGCAGTAAGCCACCAAGTTTGTATCCTCCCTGTTCACAAGGATGGTGCACCTGCTGTGTGCCAGCCCTTGAGCCCTTTGTGCTGAGCATGCATACTCACATGCTGCCTCACCTTAAGTCTTCACAACTCTTCATCCACCAGCTGTGTATGGATTGGGTTGGGGAGGCCCTGGTGAGGAGGGGGCTGGGGGTGCTCTGCTTCCTGCAGCCCCATCTTCCCCAAAGCAGTAGAGGGAGTTTCTGGCCACTAAATAAGTGCCCGGTGGATCTGACTCTGTGCAGCGGAGCTTTCCAGGGAGGCTGTTGACAAGGGGACGCATTTCATGAGGCTGGACAGCGAGACAACTTGGTGCCAACCCAGGGCACTCTCCTAGCCTTGTCCCTGCCCCAAGGCCAAGCAAAAGCATTGGCAAGTCTGTGCCTTGGTTCTTTGTCTTAGGGATTAATCTTAATTAGGACATTTATTGGAGATTCATTAAGATACTAAAGAACTAGAAAGATAGGACTTGTAGAAATTAATGATAATACAGTCATGTGCCACATAATGATGTTTTGGTCAACAATGAACTGCCTGTACCATGGTGGTGCCGATAAGATTATGATGGAGCTGAAGAATTCTTATTACGTAGTGATGTCATAGCTATCATAATGTCGTAGTGCAACATATTACCTTATGTAGGCTTGGGTATGGTTAGATACACAAATACCATGTGATACAATAGCCTGTCGTATTCAGTACATGAAGGTGTGTTGCCTGGGAGCAATAGGCTACACCAGCTGGGTTTGCGTAAGTCCACTATGATGTTTGCGAGATGACGAAATCACCCAACCACACATTGCTCAGGATGCATCCCCGTCGGAAAAAAATGTGTAATCATATTTGAAAATGATGATGACTTTTTAAGTGACAGGCTCTGGGCTAGGTGCTTTATACCCATCCTCTTTCTGCATCCTCACAGCAACCCTATTAGGTAAGTACTGTCATGATCACAGCTTTAGAAATGAGGAAACAGAGTGGTTGAGTAACTTGGTAAGATCACACAGCAGTAGGTGTTAGAGTCATTTATGCCCCAATTTATTGCTTCTTTGATGAGTAGAAGCCGCAGGAAAATGAGAGCCAGCATTTACTGGGCCTCATAGGGGACATTGATGGCTTTTACCTGCAAGCTCTACTGTCTCTTTGTGTACAGCAAATCTCCCATTGGTCATAGTGGTGGACTGATCAGAGTTCTTGCCTGGATGGATGTACAGTTATTGCAGGGAGTTGCCTTTTCCTGCTGGGGCACAAAGCAGGGACCACATGGCTCTGGGGCTGCGTGTGGCCATCTTTTCACGAAGGAAAGTTGCATGGAGATAGAAACAGAGCCCAAACCACATTGTTGAGCCCCTGGATATGACCAGATCCGATCATGAGTATAAAGCCACCCCTGGACTTCTCATTTCTCTGTGACAATAAATTCTCTTGTTTGAATAAACTGTGAGTTGGGTTTCTGTCATTTGTGACCAAGAGTCTGGAACAACACAGGGGTCTCTTGTGTGCAGACACTCAGTGCTGTGTGTTTTTACATGTGTCATCCTTCTAAAACTCACAGCTTTGGCCAGGCATGGTGGCTCACGCTTGTAATCCCATCACTTTGGGAAGCCAGGGAAGGCAGATCACCTGAGATCAGGAAGGAGTTTGAGACCAGCCTGACCCACATAGTGAGACTCTATCTCTACAAAAATACAAAAATTAGCCAGGTATAATGATGCGTGCCTCTAGTTCCAGCTACTCGGGAGGCAGAGGCAGGAGAATCTCTTGAACTTGGGAGGTGGAGGTTGCAGTGAGCCAAGATCACACCACTGCACTCCAGCCTGGGCAATGGAGCGAGACTCCACCTCAAAACAAAACAAAACAAAAACAACAACAAAAAACCTTACAGCTTTGTGAGATGAGTATCATTACACCCATTTTATAGGTGAGGAAAGTAAGGATTGCAGAGGTCAAGTTACTTGTCCAAGGCCACTCAGCTATGAAATGGGCAGAACCAAACCTTACAGAAAATTACTGATCTGCAAGCATCAATATTCTGAGAGTATTCCCGATTCCTAAGAACACAGGATTAGGGAGGGGAGGGGAAGAAGGAAAGATGAGAGAGGGAGAGAGGAGGGAGGAGGGAATGGGGGAAGGACAAAGAGAGGGAGACAGGGAAAAGACTGTGTTAGCATTTTTCAATTGAGGAATTTGAAATCTTTGGGCGGCAAGTTATGACGGTATATTTCTAGGGCTTAGGAATTTTATCCTGCTATTTGTTCTTCAAATAAAAGAATCAGAGTTGCTGACTTAGTTTAAACCAACTCCAAAGACTGCAGAGTTGACTGCTGATTAAAAACTTGTCTTTCTTTGTCTGAGAAGGAAATAGTAGATATGGTTTCCCCGAATGTGTCACATTTGCAAATTTGATTTTCATTTGCAGCATTTGAAAATGCCAATGACTGGAAAAATATAACTTGATTATTAACAAGCTAGAAATAGTAACTGAGGATTCTCTTTGGCATCTACCCATGCTTGTGTGATAAAAATAAATTAGAAGAAGTCTAAATATGAATTTAAAGGTGATTTTAGGATCAGCAACCTAACAGTTTTTCTGGTCACCCCATGCTAGTAAGTCCATGGACTAATTCCAAAGTACAGTGGGTTCTTAGATGAATAAAATCTCTAGATTCTAGTAATGCAAAAGGTCAATTTTGATTCAATCTGCTTTGCCATTTGTGAACTGAGCCTGAATCTTTAAAAAAGTAAACACATTCGAGCCACTTTATTTCTACTCTCTTTTAGAGACGTGCAATCATTTTTAATGGTTAAACCTGTATTCAATTGCATTTTTCAAATCCTCATTGTTTCATTTCCTTTCAGTTCTGCTATCTAAAAAATTTTTTCCACCTCATTTTTCCTGATCATTTGTTCTTCATACATATTCCACAGCCACAGGCCCCTGGTTGCTGAGCACTAGGGAGAGTTGATAAGAGGAATGAGGTGGTGTTCGGGAAGGAAGGAGTCAGCCCCTCCTAACCCTGCTAGCCACAGAAAGACTTTCAGATTTCTATCGACTTAGGAATAGAGTCTATTGGAATGTGGTTCAAACCTGCATCTTGCATCAGTGGAAATGGGCATTGTGATTGCTGTGCTGAAACCTGTGCTCAAATGCATTGGGAGTTTTATACTGTGTTTCGAACTTCCAAATAGATAATGTCAGAACATTTCTGAAATGGGATACTAACATCAAGATATACGACACCAATCAACAAGCATCAGGCAAAGCAGTGCATAGAACTCGGGGTGGAAGAGACTCCTAGAGAATTTCCATTTCCATTCCCTGTGTCAACAGCGTGGTAACTCACCTCCTAGATTGCTTTATGGTTTCAGGAGAAATTCTCAGTAGGCTCCCTGTGCTGTACTCAGCTCCGTGTTCAAAGCCCAGGAATTAGATATGTCGTAGTTTATGAAACTGTTTATGAAAGGATCTTTTTTGAATTGTTCAAAATCCAAAAGGAGTCAAACTTTGACAGTTTAAGACAACGGCAAGAGGGTCATAGCGATCTCCCCAGTGCAGCCTTGGCACTGAGGCTCTCTGGTTGAAAATGCAATTTCTTTTTTGTGAATTTCTTCCAGCCCATAATGCTCTGTTTGAAACTTTTGCCTTTTTGAAAGGATTTCTTTACTATGAAGCAGCTGACAAAGGTCATATGATGAATATGTTTCGGGGATGATAACATTTTGATTAGATATGCAAGAATCTTCTATCCTTCCCTAGGATGTCATATTCTAACGTTTTCCATTATTTTAAAAAAATCTTGTTAAGTTGATACTAGTCTGCAATAAGAACTTGAATTTTGTGGCTTATTTTCTTTGCTGTAATGTGCCAGCACCGTGGGCATCGTTGCAGGGAATAAATGACTCTTCCCCAATAAACCAAATGCCCAAAGAAGCCCCTGGAGGAGGCAGGGATGTCCATAAAAGTTGAAATGGATTTCATAATATGGTGTTCAATTTAGTATAATAAGTAGAATTCAAAAATAGCCTAATCTGCCAAACGAAAATACCTTTGCTCATCGCGGAGGGTGGGACCTTGTACAGGAACCAAATGTATGTGGCTTAAGACATGCCAAAATATTTTCATTAAATTATTCATTTTCTTCCATTTAAGTCATTAGTTACCTGAAAAAATGGAGATCTTTCTCTCTCTCTCCCTCTCTAAGCTTGAAAAATTAGCCCCTTAAAGACAACTTCCAGAAAGCATTTATCAAAAGGCCAATCCTGGTTCTGGAGCTCATTGAGAAAAGGTCTGTGTTTGCAGCTTTGTCGTTCTCCTGCAAAGATTCTCAGTAACAGAAAATATTTCAAAAGTGATACCGGTAAGCTGACATCATTAATTGTTCTCTAATACTGGGATTGCTGTGGAAAATGAAGCACCAAGGCTCAGCCTTAGAAGGCAAAGTGGGAACCTGTTTAGAAGTTTGATAGATGGCATCATGATGTTCAGAAGAAAAAAACGGGCAGTTAGAGAGAGACGGAAGCACCCGGAGAGTGATGGAAGCGGGCTCTGGTTCCTGTGCCACTGGGTTTGATGAAAAATCAGCACAAAGACAAGAGAGCAGGGAAAACGAAGAAAGATGAGGGCACCCCCAATCCACAAAGGTGTTAAACACGCACTTTCCACAAACGCAATGCTTCTAAATGATGTTCCCAGAAATCAAAATGATCTAATAATCTCTGCAAAGTACGTATTTACCAAGATAAAACTTCTCAATCTCAAGCATCATTTTGGAAACTGAAGGTTTGGGAGTTTATTTAAAATTCTTTGTAAATTTTTTTCCCTAAACCCTTAATAACAGAGAAATAAAAACAATGGACACATCATCTGATGCAGTTTCATGATTACACTTCCACAAAATGTTCATGCATCCACATTTTACTCCATTCTTAAGCAAAATGATCCATAAGTGGTAAGTAAAATGATTTCAATGTCCACCTCAATAAATATTTTGGTAATGAGATCTTTAAAAATGTTTTAATTAGCAACCAAATGCCAATTTTTCCAGGCGTGTTTCCCACTCCCTCTCCACCCAGGGTCAATAGCAGCATCCAGTGTTTTCAGGCTGTCCCTGAACTCTTTGTTCAGTGATTGGAACTGATGAATTGTAGCTTCCTTTGAGCCAGACTCTGCCAACAGACCTCAACTTGCGTTTGTTATGGAGCCAAAAATAACCTTTAAATGATTAAATTCCTCAGTTTGTTTTGGTGGCACGACATGAGAAGACGAAAGTGGCCGCATTGCACCCCAGGAGGAACTCCAAGGATGAACCTGGAGGCATCCTAGCTCCATCGTGTCCTAGCTCTGTGGCCTTAGCACGTTTCTTAGCCATACAGAGCCTCAGTTTTATTGTCTGTAAAATGGAGATGATAATACCTGACTTACCAGAAAGCCTTGCAACTGACTGTGATAATGTCAGTGGAAATGCCCACCACAGTAAACCCTAACCACAGCAGGGGCTCAAATCGTTAGCTTCCTTTGGAAAGGATTACACAGCACTAGTTGTAGAATCTTATAACCCTCATGTAGTGCTTTAGAGTTGTTCAAAATGCTTTAATATCAATCATTGATTTCTCTCATAGTAACTTCAAAAGCCAGTGCTCACCTCTCTCCTGACCTCCAGGCCTGGTATGTAGTGGCCTATTTTGCATCTCGTGGAACCCGCCCTTCCCCTGGAGTGCCAGGTCTTTGTGAAATGTCACCAGCATCCTGGCTGCTCTATGCTACCCCAATCATTGGCCCCCAATGCAAGTCTTTTTTTTTTTTTTTTTTTTTTTGCAGACATTACACTGGTGTGCAATTATTTCTGCAGCTAGACGGTGCTGAATAAACATGTCAGACAAATGAAAACATGAATGAAGGAACCCATGAAACAATGCAAAGATAATTCTACAACGGAACTGAGAATTAAACTCCACAGGCTGGGACGGCTAGGGAAGGCATCCTGGAAGAATCAGGACTCAACATGGAGCAGAGGGGGAACTAGGGTGGGTCTCAGGAAGGAGTGGAGGACTGGAAAATCAGCCTAAGATCAAAGTGGGGATGCCAGAGGGGCACCTGCAGGGATCGGGAAGCCAAGAAAGTGTTTGAACTTGATGCAGTGGTTAATAGTGAGCCAGAGCAGGTTCTTGAGCCCAAGAAGGATGTGGGAGATAACTCCCACATCTACAGGTTTTCCAGCTGTGAGAGATGGATGGGACTGGCTCTTCAAAACACAGGAAACATGGCAATGGCCACCTCACTCCAACTAGCTAGGAAAACCTTCTGAGGAAAGGCTTCAAAGAATAGGTATTGTTTATCAAATGCTTTTTCCTTCCCCAAATGTATGGGCCAAAAAATTGTACATTATAGCTATGATAATACAGTAATTATTGACCTTTGCTAATTAATTTTTTATTTTTTTAAAAAAATCAGGACTCCATTTGAAAATGGCAGTTCCACCAGGCAGCTGGAGGAATTTCCCTGGAGCTCGCCCTCCTGTCACTGCACCACCTCTAACGCCTGTGCAGATTAAAAGCTGCCATTTACGGGCAAATGTGGATCCTATATTTTGACTTTGTCTAATTCTTCTTAAACTGGGCTAGCTTATTTAATATGAGGACGTTGTGGCTCTTGCTGAAGGCAGAATTAGCAACCATTACCTTTTAAGAAATCTGTGGACAATCTTTCCCAACCATAAAATCATTTCCATTCTCCAACCATCAAGTTTTCAAATGGATTTCGTAAATGTGCAAAAACTCCAAGCAAATCTATTTTTTAAAAATGTCAGGCTGCAAATAAGGAAAATCAGAAGGGGAGAAGGGAACACCATCTGTCAATGCCCCACCGGCCTTCATAGCAGCCCAGTTCTTATGATTAACCTACCATACTCCCCATAAAGTCTAAATCATTCTCACCTTCCCGGGAGTTTGTAAGCCAGACAATTGTGAAGGGGAACGACTCATAATACGACTGCAAAATTTCACAGTTGAAAGTCAAATAGCAGTGATTTTGCTTTGCCAGCCTGACACCACCTTGACCATGTGGATGTAAGTCCCTGGGCAGTGAACATGCTCTGTGAAGCACTGGAGTCATGTTGGTGCAAGCAACTCCTCAATTTAAAACGTGGTAGGACACAGTCACAGAGGGCATCGGGCACTTTTTTCTCCATCAAAATTCCATACATTATGGTAACTGGGGAATTAATGCCAACCACAACCACAATATAAAACCTCCACCAATTACGCTGTGTGTGAGTCTGAGTTCTCCAGGTAAATAATATATATCCTATTGGTTCTGTTATATCTATATATCTTGTAATTATGTGTGTGTGTGTGTGTGTGTGTGTGTGTGGTGTGTGTACAGTCATGCCTTGCTTACTATCAGGGATACATTCTGAGGAATGGGTTGTTAGCTGATTTCATCCTTGTGCAAACATCATGGTGCATTTACACTCACCTAGCCTAGCCTACTCCACACCGAGCCTGTATGGTATAGCCTATTGCTCCCAGGCTGCAGACCTGTACAGCATGGGACTGTACTGAATGTAGTAGGCAGCTGTAACACAGTGGTAAGTATTTGTGTATCTAAACATGGAAAAGGTACAGTCGAAATACAGCATGAAAGATAAAAAATAAGAAACCTGTATAGGGCGCTTAACCATGAATGAAGCTTGCAAGACAGGAAGTTGCTCTGAGTGAGCCACTGAGTGAGTGGTGAATGAATGTGAAGGTCTAGGACATGACTGCACGCTATGTAGGCCTATAAACATTGTACACTCAGGCTACACTAAATTGATTTCAAAAATAATTATGCTGTGACATTGTGACAGCTATAACATCACTCAGCAATAGGAACATTTCAGCTTCATTATGCTCTTACGGGATCACTGTTGTATATGCGGTGCATTGTTACTTGAAATATTATGGCACATGACTGTATATATATATAATAATATGTATATAATGAGATTTATGTCTTATTATAAGGAATAGGCTCCTGCAATTACAGAGGCTGAGAAGTCCCAAGATCCACAGGTGGCAAGCTGGAGACCCAGGAGAGCTGATAGTGTAAGTTCCAGTCCGAGTTTATGGGTGTGAGAACCAGGAGGGCTGGTGGTGTGGTTCTAGTCAAAGTCCAAATCTGAAAGCAGGAGAAGACCAACGTCCCAGGTCAAGGACAGCCAGGCAGAGAGAACTCGGTCTTTTTTATTTTCCATTCAGGCCCTCAGTGGATCGAAAGGGGCTGACCCACATTGGGGAGGGCAACCTTCTTGACTCAGTCTATAAATTTGAATGTTTCTCATCCAGAAACACCCTTGTGGACACACCCAGAATAATGTTTAACCAAATATCTGGGCACCCTGTGGCCCAGTAAAGTTGACACATAATATATACCACCACATGCTGGTACTTAAAAACATTAAAGATCATTTCACAAATGTGTTGACCATTTTAACTCACTCCTCCCCTGTGTGTAACTCAGACCATGCAACCTGAGACCCCGTGTTGAAATTCACCTCTTGGACTATGTCTTAAAGACGTCCCCATGGGTCTAGAGATGCCACACATAGATTCATTGACAATCCCTGAAGAGAACTAAGGCAGGCATTCATTTTCCTCACATCTATATAGTCTTAAATAAGAGCTGCCATTCAGGTACTGAAATGTGTGGTGCATTAACCTCCTGAGAAACACTCACTCTATTTATTATTTCTGAGAAAGACCCCACCTCTACTAACTAGCACTCTTGTTCTCTTCTCCCATGTCCTTCTGCTCTTCCTTCTACAGGGCAAGCCCCAACCATGGGCATGATAATGTCAAAAGCAGACTTGAGAAGAGCAAGAAGACACTTCCTTATTGACGGACCACCTCATTGATTCATTCATTCATGCACCATTCATTTTGAAAAGAAATAATCTGCCATTTGGGTGGCAGGGAGGAGATGACAAAACTGAACATATTAGGCACAAGAGAGTGAAGTTTAGAATTATTTGCACACAAGTATTGAAATGATGAGTGAGTGGGTTAGAGGAGTGACTTATTGACTGAGGTGGAAAGAGCAAGTGCAGTGGACAGTGACTGAGATCCAAAGTCCAAGTCCAAAGTCGGAGGACTTTCAAGGAATAACAGTGACCAGGAATAACATCCAGTGAGTGCAACATGCCATGAGACTTTCTGAGCTGGACAGAGAGCTGCAGGCCTGCAGAGAGGAGTGTGACTTTGGCCAAAGTCACACTGCTGCTGGTTCCTCCTTCTCTGTCCCTGTCAATTGTCCCTGATCTTGTACCCAACTCTTCAACTCTTTCAACCCTTATTTTAATCTCTCTCTCTCTATTTTAGCATATAAAATCATGGTAAAATATACATAACATGAAATCTACCATCTTAACCATTTTTCAGTGTGTAGTTCAGTGATATTCATCACAGTCACATTGTTGTGCAACCACCACCACCATCCATCTCCAGACCTTTTTCATCTTGCAAAACGGAAACTCTGTCCCCATTAAACCATAACTCCCCATTCCCCTTCTCCCCAGCCCCTGGCAATCACTCTTCAACTTTCTGACTCTATGAATTTGACGACAAGGGACTTCATTTGGTGGAATCATACCGTATTTGTCCCTTTGTGTCTGGAGAATATCACTTAGCAAGTCTTCCAGGTTCTTCTATGTTGTCGCATGTGTCATTTTCCTTCGTGAGGTGGAATAATATGCTATGTGTGGATGCGTCACAGTTTGTGCATCCATTCATGCATCAGCAGATGCTTGGATTGTTTCCATCTTTTGACTTTTGCAGATAATGCTGCTGTAAACATGGATGTGCAAATATCTGTTTGAGTTCTTGCTTTCAGTTCTTTTGTGTATATACCCAGAAGTGACATTGCTGAATCATATGATGATCACATATTTAATTTTTGGAGAAACTGCCATAATGTTTTCTTTTTTTCTGAGACACAGTCTCACTCTGTCACCCAGGCTGGAGCGCCCAGTGGCACAATCTTGGCTCACTGCAACCTCTGCCTCCCGGGCTCAAGCGATTCTCCTGCCTCGGCTTCCTGAGTAGCTGGGACTACAGGCGCGTGTCACCATGCCTGGCTAATTTTTGTATTTTTAGTAGAGACAGGGTTTCACCATGTTAGCCAGGTTGGTTTCGAACTCCTGACCTCAGGTGATCTGGCTGCCTCCGCCTCCCAGGGTGCTGGGATTACAGGCATGAGCCACCATGCCCAGCCTGCCATAATGTTTTCTGTAGGAGCTGTACCATTTTACATTCCCACCAGTCATGTACAAGAGTTCCAATTTTTCCACATCCTTGCCAGCACTTGCTGTTTACTGCTTTTATTTACTTATTTTTTTGCTAATATTTATCCTAATGGGTGTTGTCCCCAGCCTTCGGGTTTCATGCCCTAGGATCCAGCCCCTGGACTCTCTCTTTCACATCCACATTCATACTTTAGTGGTATCTTCCAGGCAGAAGGCATCATAGAACATCACCCACTAATGACTCACAGATCTGTTATCTCCAGCTGAGATTTCTCTCTCAAAATCCAGACCCCTTTATACAGCTGCCTGCCTACTTTCCTCTGGGTAACTAAAAGACACTGCAAAGTCAACATCTCCACTTCTGAATTCCTGATCTGTACATCCCCTCCCAAAGCTACTTCACCCACAGCTTCCCCATCTAGAGGATGGCAAGTCCATCCTTCTAGGGGCCACTGCCCTTAGACCTTGCCCAAAGTGGGAGGCTCTCAGGGGGTCTCCTTTCCTACAGGGCCCCTCTTACTGCAGGCATATGTGCACACACATACACATGCCATTTAGGCAAGAACATGTGGGTTTCTAAGTGGTCATGGAGCAGGGCTTGGTGCTGGCAAGGCAGGACCCTGAAACATTTGCTCTGAATTCTGATGATACTCGGGTCCTGGGAACACACCCTCCCAGCCCCCCTACACACAGAAATCACCCACCTTGTGCCATCGTCTTAGTACCACAGAGGTTTGTGGTGGAGCTGCTCCATGGGAGACAGATGCTGCCTCTGTCTGTAAGGGGGACTTGAGTAGGGAAGAGCAAAGAGAAATGTATTAACTTCTCACACCGTTCTTTTAAGCAGGGTTACTATAGATTGTTGTATAATGAAGTATCACTTCCCAGAATTGCCCAGTGTCCATTTTCTTACTTGTCTTCATGATCCAATGTGTGATTCCAGAGCTGCTCCAGTGAGCACGGGGTCCACAACAATTGCATGTGGTTGCTGAGGAACCATGGCTGACAATATTAAGCAATGCATAGTCTCAAATTTGCATAAATGTAGGTCTAGTTATAACCTACATGAAGTGAGATATGCTTTCTTTCTTCTTCTCTCCCTCCCTCCCTTCCTTCCTTCTCTTTCTCCCCTCCCCCTCCCTCCCTTCCTTCCTTCTCTCTCTCTTCCCTCCCTCTCTCCTTCCCTCCCTCCCTCCTTCACTCACTCACTCACTCACTCACTCCTTCCTTCCTTCCTTCCTTCCTTCCTTCCTTCTTTTCTTCCCTTTCTTCCCTCTCTTCCTTCTCTTTTGTTTCCTTTCTTTCTGACAGGGTCTCGCTCTGTTATCCAGGCTGGCATGGCACAATCACAGCCCCAACTAATTCTTTTTTTAAATTTTTTATAGAAATGGGGTCTCCCTATATTGCCCAAGCTGGTCTGAAACTCCTGGGCTCAAGTGATCCTCCAGCCTCAGCCTCCAAAGTGTTGGGATTACAGGTGTGAGTCACCACACCTGGCCTACTTTTTTTTATATAAGCAACACAGCATTTTCTGGTCTGGTTACAGTTCTCAGTGGAATCATAAATAGTTTCATTTTTACCTAAATATTTCAGGTGATTTAATTAAATTTTCAAAGTTTTTTTTAAAAAACTAGCTTTGATTAAAGTTACTTCCATAATTAAAATTTGTGTTTTGCTTTTTAACAGCTAATTTTGAATGTTTTAGAGGCAATACTTTTTGAAAATATGAAAAATTATTTAAATTTATTTTCTAAATTTACATTTAATTTCCTTTTTAAAAAAAAAATTTTTAGAGACACGATCTCAATCTGTCACCCAGGCTGAAGTACAGTGGTGTGATGACCATAGCTCACTGCAGCCTTGAACTCCTGAGCTCATGTGATCTTCCCGCCTCAGCCTCTGCCTCTTGAGTAGATAGGCCCACAGGCATGCACCACCATGCCTGGATAGTTTTGTAAACACATTTTTTAGAGATGAGGTCTCACACTGTTGCCCAGGCTGGACTCGTACACCTGGCCTCAAGCAAACCTCTTGCCTTGGCGTCTCAAAGTGCTGGGATTACGGGTGAGAGCCACTGCACCAGGCTTAATGTACATTTTTGACAAAAATGCATTCAAAATTTGGCACTTTATCACATTAATGTTAAAAGATGAATTATGTGAAAATCTTGCTCATACAACATAATTATTGATTATACTGAATGAGGCAAGAAAAATAAATTTTACTGAAAAAGTACATACTCATTTATGAATTATGGATGTCTTTATTTTTGACTTATTCAAGCATTGCTGGCCCGTGAGTAAAACCCCCAGACATGTACAACAAGCATTACATTCAGCCATTGAGATTTTGCCAACTTTCAGCCAATAAAAATCATAGCTTTCCACGTATTTTTTGGTTTCATCATTAGGAAAGCAGGAGGATAGCCAATATTTTATTTGAAAGTTTGCTGGCTCGATTTCTTCTTTTGAAATATTTAGACCTCTGGTCTGTGGACTTGCAGTTGTGTTCTCCGTCCAGGATCCATGTGTGCTAAGTGAAGGACAAATATTTATCGCATCCTTGACACCTCACTTTTTTTTTTTTTTTTTTTTGTGGGGCAGGGGGATGGAGTCTCACTCTGTCACCCAGGCTGGAGTGCAGTGACGTGATCTCGGCTCACTGCAACCTCCGCCTCCTGAGTTCAGGTTATCCTCTTGCCTCAGCCTCCTGAGTAGCTGGGATTACAGGTGCCCGCCACCAGGCCCGGCTAAGACACCTCACTTTCTTTCTGGTGCCTCATTCAGTGTGGCAGAGAAACTGGAGCTTCAGGTACATGCAGTCGCCCAAGACTTTCATCACCTCCACCCTCATCTGTCACCTAATATTTATTCTAATGGGTGTTGTCCCCAGCATTTGGGTTTCGTGCCCTAGGATCGTGTAGGTGGCTTCGACTCACTCCTCTTCATCCTCTGTCAGAGCCTTCTCTGTGACTCCACTCCCCTCCGTTCCTCATCCAGGGAGCCTTCCACGCCCTGCCTCTAGCCTCCAACCACCCAGACCACATCTCTCCTCCTCTCCCAACTCTGCCAGTCACATGTTTCCCCCAGGGCTCCAACTGTTCCTGCTGCCTAAACACTGTTCCCTTTAGCACCTTTGCTAACCTGCCTACTGCCTTTGAGACTCAAATACCACCTTCAGGAGGCCCTCCTTGACCACTCTACTTTAAATTGCTGTTGTTCATCTGCAACCTGCCCTGAACCTCCACCCACCTGAGCATGCTCTAATTTTTTCCTAAGCTCATTTCACCTTCAAAAATCCTCTATCATTGTCTTAGTCATCACACGTATTTTCTAAACATTTCCACTTAAATACAAGCTCTGTAAGAGCAGCGATTTTTGTCTGCTTTATTCATTTATGTATCCTGGCATATGCTGACACTTAATAAATATTTATTGAAGAAGTGAAAGTGGGCCAAAAAAATGTTCTTCAGTGGGGAGTAAAAGCAAAGTAAGTAAAAGCAGTTAAGGAGAAATTTGGGATCATTTGGTCAGCCCTAGGCTGGTCCCCACCCCGATGGGGTATTCAAAGCTCAGAGAACATGAAAGTCTTGGCTGAGGTTTTGTAGATTGCAGGGAAAGAGCCCTGGTGGGCACCTGGTCTGACCATGGCTGCTACTCTTTCAGTCTTACCTTCGAGGAAGGGCTCCCATGCTAGACCCCAGAATGGAGATTTGGCCTGCTAAGTGACAGGCAGCCCCTGGTCTTGAGCAGTGGAATCACTGAGGATGAAGATACTTTTAGGACTTGCTGGTCAGGCGACTTGGGTGGAGACAGACAAGAAGTTGGGAGAAGACTCACCCAGGACCTTCCTGGCTAGGGTCAGGCCAAGGTTCAGGCCCAGGTCCTCAGGCAGCCACCTCCATCTCAGCCCTGGCTATGGCCTCCCACTGTCCCCAGATTTAGCAAATAAAAATCCAGGATGCCCAGTTAAATATGAATTTCCAACAAACAACAAGATTTTTTTGTGTAAATATGCCCCCAAGATTGTGTGTATTGTTTATCTGAAATTCAAAATTTTCTGGACATTTTGTATTGTATCTGGCCATCCTACGTCCAGACCACTGTGAGGGGGCAGGGACTGGTCTCCGCTACTCACCTCCAAAATCCTTTCCTTCCCCAGCCTACAAGCGTAAAAGGGCCCGAGGTACAGCCACTCCCCTTGCATCAGCTCCAGGTAAGTGAAGCCCTTTCTTCTCCTCTTGGGGCAGCCTCGCATCCCAGCTGCTGGGCTTTTCCAACCAAGGATGGGTGGGGCTTGAATTCAGGGCAACTTCTCAAACATCAAAAGAAGCATTTAACTTCTCCCTGGGCAAGCCCTAACAGAGTCTGGCTGCTGTTCTTGGGGGAGACAAGCTCAGATTCTCTTTCTCTCCTACTCTCTCTCTCTTTCTCTCTCTCTTTCTTTTTTTTTTTTTTTTTGCTGAGAACCCCATAGCAGTGGAAAAGGCAATATACCAGTTATTTTTATTTTTATTTTTGTTTTTTTACCAGTAATTAACCCTATTACACCAAGTTTTAAAGAATTGGAATATAATGGAACATACTTAATGTGAAGTCTGTACTGAGCATAATTCAGCCTTGGATGATTTGAAGGCACTGTGTGACTCTACCAGACCTGCCATTAATCTCATCATGGCAAGTACGAGGACATGACTATGGGCTCTCTCATCAGAACAGGGAGTGGTGGAGAGCTTGCTCAGCCAGGCACGACTTATGGCCAAATCGCTTGTGCCTACAGTCCAGTGATGGGAACGAGTGATTTCTTTGACTGTTTCTTTCTTTACCAGGAAAAAAAATGCATTCAGAAATAAGTCTACATTGCACAACAAAATGGCACTTTGTCTCAGTCCCCAAGGAATCCGCGGCATTTTGGTCGAGGCACGGTCTTGACTGACCACACTTTCTCTCAAGGTGTGGCCTACTTAGCCGAATGAGCAGAGCACATCTATAATTAGCATTATATGCAGAATAAAAAGACTCTTTAAGGAACATCTCTGGGTCCTCACAGTCTTAGGCATCTGTTGCCATGGAAGCCGGCGGCAGCTCCAAAAATCTAAGTGGTGAGCAACAATTACCCACTCGCCGCTGAAGGGCCTCTTTAAATAAAGTTGCCTTTTTTCTTTGGATTCTGAATAAACATAAACCTGGGTTTTTAGTGCAAAATCCTGATTTCAAGGTTATTGATGCCATCCTAAATTAATACAGTCTGCGCGACAGCACACACCACCCCAGCCAAGCCAGGGATACTCCTGTCTTCTGAAAGCTTGACATTTGTTTTTCATCATGAACTTAAAGGTCACAGGCTACAGATGGATCAGAGTACCTGCCTGAGTTTACATTTACATGCATTTTATTTTATTCCCACATGCACTTTTTATGAGATCCATCACTGGAATAAAACTGTAGCACTCCCATATTCTCTAGGCTGGCTAAACTAGGAGAGTTGTCAAGCTGCTATCTCTACATAATTTGAATTAAAATAAGAAATATATGCTGATTTGATATTTCGAAAGCAACAGCTTTAAGTCTAATGTTGGCTAAAACTGGCCATCACAGAGAGTGCACACATTTCTAGACGTTACTTATTAGTGTAATTTGGGGGGCAGATTGATGATAGACTCTAATCCTATTATGCACTTTGTATTTAAAGCCATAGACTTCTCACAATCCAGCTAACCCCAACATGATTAGCCAACGATCAATTCACAATTGATGGGGGAAATGCACCTGGTCTTATTTTCTACAAATGGATGTTTGCGTTTGTGTTTCTGTGCGAGGTAAGCATGCCACTTGCATCATTGTGTTACTACTGTTTCGCCCTTTTTTGTGATGCCAAATAACATTTTATATTTTTACCAAAATACCTGTGGAGCTGACAGAGCATGATGCATTCATTTTCCTTGATTTTGTAGTGAGGGAAAAGGCTAGCATGAATAATTCAAAAATAATGCTGAGACTGTTAAGATTTAGTATTGGAGAGGTCATCACAGTTGGGAGAAATGAGCTAGGAGACTATTACTATTCCACGATCTTTGAATCTCAAGGTGACATCATTATTATTTCTCTATATCTATAATGTGGTGCTGCAACCAGCTTATTGCTGTGTTTCTCATGTAGGGGAGAAAGATCAATTACATACAGACCTCAAAATGTGAACCATAAGCAGAGTGCCCAATAAAACTGTCATTAACAGTTCCCACAATGTTAGCTGCATGCTTCCAGGTCAAGCTGCTTTAAAAATGATAACTGACATTGAAAGTTTGAATAAAGAGCATCCGTTCTAAAGGCAGCCATTTCTTAGCCGCATAACTGAAACTCTTTAATAACACTTGCTAATTTCAGTCTGAACTGCCAAAGATACCCTAATGATAAGCTCAGCACTGAGGATACTTAGAGAATGAACACAAGCCCCAGCGTCCCCCTTTGAAAAATAGGTTTGTTACTGGATCGACATCAACGGCAAGCACTCTTGAGTAAGCATAAAGCAGTCCCATGCAATCATATTTAATTTATTCCTCTTTTCAACCAGAAGCGGAAGGATACCACCAAAAAATAAAATGCATGCTAGAGTAGTGTTTACAGCGCTTCCCTCACCATTTGTTACTGCTACATAATCAGGATAAATCTTGCTTTCTCTAGAACAGGATTAAAAAACACCTCTACATTCAAAAATATTAAAATGGAATAGAGCTATTACTACTGCAAAATCCCTTTTTTCTACCCCCAAAGGGTCCCTACATGTTTAAAACATCTTTTTTACTTCACAGAATTTTATAAGCCTTCCCACCAGCTTACTTTTTAATTAAAATGTTCCTGTTAGTGTCAGAACTCTGAAACATCACATTTGGTTTAAAGGTTGAGCAGTTCATAGCATTTGTGATTTTTGTAAGAGGGGATATAAAAGCACTACAGATTTCTTCTTTTAAGTGATACGAAAGCACATGGAGCCAATGTTTATCCCGTTCCTGAACGTCTGTTGTATCCATCCGGCGGTAGGTCCCCTCTGACTCACGGAGGTAGTTGCTAACAAAAGACGCTTCTCAGCCCTGCACCTGAAGCCATGCTGGGTTTTTGATTTGTTTGTTTTTTGATAATTTTGGTAATGATCATTTTGATATTTCTGCATCTGTTACCAAGTGGCTAATGAGTCTCTGCTTTATCTCCTTAAATTGTATTTAAACATTTATAAAGTGGTATTTATTGTGAAATGATGATCTCTAAGTTAAAATGAAATATGTGCGCAACCGTCATGGTTGGCCGGCTTCCTAAAAGACACTTTTTCCTCCTCCTCCCTCTTTCGTCTTCTATCTGTCTTTACCTCCTCCTGTCCTTCTCTGTCTTCAGCCACATGATGGTTGCAGAGAGCCAAGCCTACTACATGCCCCCTGAGGATGCTAGATGGAAGGATGGAAGGTGCCAGGGCCCTTGTGGGTGTCACGGGGCTCATGACTGAGCCACTGCTGGAACTCTTCAACCACTTCTTTCTGGACAGGGCAGTCGTGCCACTTTTAGCTGGATTCCTGAATCTTGCCTTCAGATGCATCCTGACTCATACAGTGCGCAAAAAGCACATGGTAAATTGCAAAAGCCTCCACAAATGAATGCTGAATGTGTGAGTAATATCATCCACTCACCAAGCTCCATGCCCAAAATCCGCCATGACTTAGGGAACGAAGGCAAAGTATGAGCCCAACTCCTCGCTGGCTCAGGAAAATGTGCTAGGCTAGACGGGTTGAATGTGCCCTTGGTTGGTACTGCTCAGCTGAGAGAAACATAGAGTTCATTCTTTTCAAAACATCAAAGGAAAATTAATGGCGTGGTATACAGGAGGAGTTGAGGATGGAGGCATAAAACATAAGCAACATAAATATACACGCACAGCATGCAGTGTGCATGAGGTTGTTTATCTACAGATGAGGCTTTAACCCTCTGTGTTCTGATGCCCTTGTTCCAGCTCAGAGAGGAGCCCTCTGAGAGCCAAGTGGGCAGCCTGGCAGCTGGTCACTTTACTCCCAGCAAAGGGCCTACCCTGACATCTGTTGAGGGCTCAGCGAAGTCATTTGGTTCCGTATTAGTTTCCTGTGACTGCCATCACAAATTACCACAAAGCTTGTGGCCTAAAACAACCGAAATTTATTTTCTCAGAGTTCTGGAGGCCAGAAGTCTGAAATCAAGGTGTTGGCAGGGTGGGTTCCTTCTGGAGGCTCCAAGGGAAAGCCTGCCCCATGCCTCTCTCCTGGCTCGGGTGTCTTCCAACAGTCCTCAGCGTCCCTCAGCTTATAGAGGCATCACCCCAATCTCTGTGTCTGTCAGCCTGAGGCTGTCTTCCTGTGTATTTCTTCACATGGTGTTTTCCCCTGAGTCTGTGTCCCCAGTCTCCCTCTTTTTATAAGGACACCAGTCACTGGACTAGAGCCCTTCCTAATCCAGTATGATTTTCTCTTATCTTGATTGTGTTTGCAAAGGTTCTATTTCCAAATAAAGTCCCATTCACAGGTACCAGGCCTAGGACTGGAACATATGTTTTTGGAGAACCCAGTTCTACCCACCAAAGCCACTACTCGTCCAATGAAAGTGTTGTTCCTGAAGCTGTGGGATCCTTGGGCCATAGGAAAGACCCGCCCTGGCACAGTTTTGAATGGCCACAGCTGCCCCCAAGGTGTCCAACATTGTAAAGGGATTTCTACAATGCTGCTGTCCTGCTCCTTCTCCCTGAGTAGCCAGCCACTCTGGGTCCTGCTCCTCGAGGCTGTTTGGAGCCCAGAGACTGGGGGGAGGGGGAGGGGGAGTTGCAGGGCCTGTGCAGAAGCTCGGGGCTGGGAGCCTGGCACAGGAGGAGCAGGGGGCTGCCCAGGAGCCCAGTCCCTGGTCCCACCCTGGGGGCCGCCTTTGAAGCTGGCAGCAAGTCTCACAGCACGGGGACAGAGCAGAGCAGGGAGACCCAGGCGAAGTCTGCTCTCCCCACCGACACCCTGTTCAAAGAGAATAGTTTGGGCAAATAGCTTAGCAAATAATGAATGAACGGCAGAGCCTGGGCCAGCCCAACAGGAGACTTGCTTGCAAAGGCCCAGTCCTCGCACATTCTCCACACGCCCTGCCTGAGCCCTGCTGGGCTGGAGGCTGAGCCAGAGAGAGAAGCAGCCCCTTGTCTTTTTTTTTTCTTTTTTTTAACATTTCATATGTATCTTGCTGTCCTGGAGATGCTCAGTACTAATACAAGTGGAGCACAAACAGGATTTGTCAGCCAGCATCTTATTTACTCACCTGTGCCTGCAAGAAACTGCAGGCAGTCTCAGGACGAGGAGCCAGGCTTTCCGTGGGTAGAGATGACTTGAACACTCTGAAGGCTTCTCTCGCCAATCTTGCAGAGGCTGTATCCCCTTTTGGTCCATAATCACAGCTAATGGGCTGGCCACAGAGGCATCAGGGGCATAAAATGGTCTAACACTACATTGACTATAAATAGCAAAGCCATAAGTGACATTACTTTGCAGATAAGAAACAATCACATCATTAAGCAGAGGTGTTTAGTGTATCAGTCACCCTAACTTTGATTTATTGCAAGGCATTTGTCTGTCACCAGCACAATGGAAGCTATAATGCAACTCAAGGGTTTAAAGAGAAAATTAAGATGAATATTGCTGCTAGCACTTGGGTTTACACAGATGCAAAATGGGTGGGCTTGCCTCGCTGTGGCAGGGCTGGCCTCAGCCTCGCTTCCAGGCCCAGAGGCTAAGGACTGCCTGCGGTGGTAGAGAAGCAAGCCCTGGGGGCTGGAGGCAGGGGCGCCCAGGGCAGAAGGCGGTGACTACCAGCCAGGAAGAACTCCCCACCACCTAGGTTTCTCCAAAGGGAATAATGCATTCCGAATGGCAAGGGCTTCCCCCTTTTAGTTGAGACTTTACAGCAGAAATATGGAATGGAAACAGTGGCCAGAGTTATTCTGATCAACATGATGTTTTGAAAAGCACTCTTGCTAAACACACCTGCTCCTGTAGTGAACTCAATCTTAATCTAGCGGTTTGGGAAACCTATTGTAAGTCAGGCACTGAGCCAGGCCCGAGAAGTGTAATGAGGGATAAGTCACAGTGTCTGTCCTCCAGGGACTCATGAGTCCCATGGCCCAATCGGATGAACTCATAGTGCATGGCAGGTGGCAGCTGCTGGGTGGTTGAACAAGTGGGTGAGGTAGAGGGAGGATGGTGTCATCGTAGAGGCGAGAGGCATGGGTAGATTCCAAGGAAAACAAACATTGCTCCTGGATGGGTAGATCTGAAAAGACAGGATAAGGAAGAAGGATTTTAATGGACTCCTGCAGGCTGGAGAGATTCTGGGCCAAAGGCAACGGAGGACGGAAAGTTTTGCAAGAAGATGCCATTGCTTGTCCAAAGACATGGTACATCCGCATAGGGCCGGCTGGGATGCTGAGTTCTGATGGGGCTAGTTCACTGGCCACGTACAGAGCCTCTGGGGGAGAAAAGGCTGGAAGGACTGTCAGTCGGACTGCGTGAGGAAGGGTCTTGGGTGTGTAGGCAAGGACGTTAGACTTATTTTGATGGACAATGGGGGTACTGAAGGATATGTACAGTCTGACTTGGAGTGTGGCCACACAAGAGGCAGGAGGGAATCACTGGCTGAGGAATATGAGCCATGAGAGGAAAGGAGAGGCTAGTTGGGGGTGGGCAGCCTGGGATGGTGTGGGTGGTGGGAGGCGGTAGCACACAGAGCCAGCAGCTGGTTGGATGGAGGTTGGTGCCCAGCCCAGCCCAGGTGTGGTGTAGCAGGTGCTGGTGGGGAAGCTTCACAGAGATTTGAGATCTGGATTGGACATGAAGATCTGGGAGTGATCTTTGTTAGGGCTGTGATGGAGAAAGAGTTGTTTTATTGAGATCATCAAAAAGGACACAATAGATTCATCTCCATTTGGATATAGGGTTATTAAATGTCTCCTTGGAAATAAATGAAATGCTATCTTGTTATGAAACTATTTCACCTACTTTAAAACAAGAATAAATCAATCGTGAATAATCACTAAACCCATCAGTCAAACCATTGATAATCATTATATCAATTAATCAATAATCATTAAATATTAAGCTAATCAATCATGAATAAGCCCCACTCTGTTCTTCACTGGGCCAGGCCCTGTAGCAGTCAAGGGGCAGGCTGAGTCAGGACTCTCCTGCCAAAAGCTCCATGCGCCCAGCTTCCTACAGGGTCCTTCCCACTCCATCCCACCCCCACAAACTGGGTACCCCAGAGAGCTTGTAGATCCTTCAAGAAGGAAACTGTTCTCATCCTTGGGTGCAATCTCAGCACTTACAACTCGTGCATAGGAACAGGTTGAATTTAGAAATTGTGATACCACTCGGGAAAAATAAAAGAAACACCTTATGTCCTCAGTGGCATTTCCTGAAGTTTGGGTTGGATTTCTATGATTTCTATGCTGCTACAAAGTCTTTTCTTCACTAGCTTCAAAAGCCTATGAAAATCTGAGCAGCCTCTGTGGTTTGTTCTCAGTAAGGAGCTACTTCAAAAGTGACTCAGCCAATGCATTTTGCTGCCATCCTTCAGACCGAAATGGTTCCTCAGCCAACATCACTAAACAACCTTGCCCATGTGTGGGTCAGGGAGACCACTTTGCAAACATGCCCAGTGTTTAAAAGATGTCACGGTGCCCTGAACTCATCCGAGTTTGCCTAGGAATTGAAGACATTCTACATGCTGAGGGTAGGGGTGAGGCAGGCCTGCTCAAGGTCTGGAGTGATGCTGTAGGGGCTGCAGGGGAGAGCAGGTGGGGCCTGGGGGGCAGGTCACCCGCCTGTGTCTAGATCTCTCAGCCCAGGCCTCAGGCCCCACAGCTGGGAAGACAGTGGCTGACTGCCAACCTCCAGCCAGAGGTGTCTCCTCTTCCTTGTCTAGGTCATTTGTCCAGGCTGTATACATCCTGGACATCCATTGAGCACTTTCTAATTCAAGTCTCATTGAATTTTGCTAGTATATTTCCCAAGAATACACTCACTTTTGATACCGCAAATGTCCATTTTTACAAGTCAAATATATGGGTTTAAAGAAAGTTGTATTCAGGCAGATCACCTTCCAAATCTAGGGACTTTTGAGAAGTGCTAAGTGGGCCCTGTTTTCTTTCCATCGTCCCACTTGTTCTTCTGCTGCAGACCTGCTGAAAATGCCACTTCCAGTGCCTTGGCTGTGGGATGCAGGCATCGCCGTGTTGATTTCCTAGCATTGAACACCCAGTGGCCTCCTGGAGTCCTCTCCCCTCCAGCATCTCGGCGGGGGTTTCCTTGAAGGGCCTCCTGGGCCTTGCCTTCCCTTCCTCTGCTGCCAGGAGCTGCCATCCTAGGTGCCGGCCAAGTCCCAAAGGTGCGGAGCTAAGTGTGGGCTTCCTCTCCAGCTCCTGGACTAGCCCTTCCTGCTAGGATCCAAAACAATGCTGCTTCCTTTGTGTAAAACAGGGGAACTAGGGCTGTCGTTAACATCTGAATCAGAACTATTTTCTCAGATCCCCCTTTCTGCGAACTGGCTAGCTGAGACTTTTCATGTTTCATCATCTTGAAGGCTAGGTAAACAGGGGGTGCCAGTGGGATGGGGGCACCCAGAAGATGATAGCAATGGCATAAAAGTGATTAGCTCTTGCTGAATGCTCACTGTGCATCTTTGCAGCATTGTGTTAAGTACACTGTGTCTACAGTCTCATCTGATTCTCTAAGGGCTGTAGGTAATGTGGGTACCATGATTATCCCATTGTCCACACATCCTAGTCAGGGATGCCACAGTGTCTCACAGCCACAGGCTTAGGAAGTGTCCCCGCTGGAATTCAAAGGCAGCTCTGGCTGACCCCAATGTCATGGTGACTGGGGATAAATGATCCCCCAAATGAATTTGAGGAAGGTCTAGGTGTGGTAATGTAGGCAACTTGCAGATAATGCAGATTCTTGGGCCCTACCTCCAGGGAGCTGATCCAGTGGGGCTGTCTGGGTGGAATGAGGAAGCTGCCATTCTGTCAGCACTGCTGGGGACTCCAGTGCTGCCTGTGGCTCTGCAGTGCTGGGGCTTGTCTATTCCTTTTTCTCTGACCTCAAGCTGTGACTGGTGGAGGCTAAGTGTCGTTTTGGACTTCCGGTCTCCCCACAGCTTCTTCTTGGCCCTTCCTTGCACTCTCCCTGGAGCCCAGCTTCTCCATGCCTACCAGTGGTGTTCCAGTCCTACTTTTCTGCAAGGGGCAGTCAGGACGTAGTCCACAATCACTGTGGAAGCAGCGGCGTTGTTGGGCTGCAACACCCTGGGGACCCCCATCTTGAACTAATAAGGCGTTACTGCCTCTCACTGGAAGGATTGAGGCTGGGCGTCCTCTGGGGCTGGGTGGTAGAAGGATCTGACTGCTGGCCATAATGAGGATAGGGTGAGGCCGATGTTCTCTGGAGCGGCCACGTTCACAACCCGCTGGAGATGACCTTGTGGAATCAACACCAGGGTGAGGCAGGAAGATGGATGAAGACACCAGACCTTCCTAACACACATCAGAGCATCCTTCCATCAGAGCATCCTAATCCTGGGTGGGAGCAGTTTTATTTTCCTTGTATTCTAAGTTTGCTGCTCAAGAACAACAGGTGTTACCTGGTAGGTTTGAGAAGGGGTTGCGGGGAACAAAAATTCTGGGAAACACGTGGTTGGTTCCTGTCGCCCTGGCAGACTTCTTCCCTTTACCCTCCCATTGCTACCGTTTGTGTGCTCCAAGGGTACTTTGTGTCTAAGGGTATTTTGAGGATATGACCTGCATAAAAATGACCTGGGATGCTTGTGCTGGCTCCCAGGCCTGATCATAGACATATTGGGAGGGAATTTCTGGGAGTGAGCCTGGCTATTTGCATTCTAATGAGCTCCCTAGATGAGGCTGATGCTGAACACATTTGGCTGCCAGACATGGAATACCTGACGAATGACAGCTGGCCCTAAACAGAGGCTTTGGTTTTCCCATAGAATGTGTGGGGAGGCAAGGCCAGTGTTAGTCCCCCTGCTTACCAATGCCATCACGGCCAGGTCTGTTTTATCTTTTCAGTCCCTTATTCTTGGTGTGCCAGCTTTTGTCCTGAAGCTTCTTGCCTCGTGATTGCAAGATGGCTGCCACAGCTCCAGACGGACTCCAGGTTTAAGGCAGAAAAGATGAGGAAGAGGAAAAAGAAGTATGCTATCAACAAATGTCCCCTTTAATCAGGGAAGCTGTCCCAGAAACAATTAGCTCCATACCCCACAGCACACTTTTGTGTAAATCTTGTTGCCTGGAATTAGGTTTCCTGGCCACTTTTAAGAACAAGGGAGACTGGGAAAATGGGGAAGAACATTGAGATGATTGGTTTGGGCCAATTATGATCCATCACCTGGAGCTGAAGACAAAAGGGGAGTCTGTTAGGAAGTATGAGGGGGGATTTGGTGACCCACAGTGTCTGCACACAGATGCCCACTAAAATTAAAAGTTCACCTTCCTAACACACAACAACAAAAGGCAGGGTAGTGATTTCTGGACCTCTAAGATAGGAGAAGGGTTGTACAGGCACAGGGTTCCCCCCCCTCTTCCAATCTCTGTTCTCACCCTGTATGATGGTAAATACTGAGTGTCAACTTGATTGGATTGAAGGATGCAAAGTAATGTTCCTGGGTGTGTCTGTGTGGGTGTTGCCAAAGGAGATTAACATTTGAGTCAGTGGGGTGGGAAAGGAAGACCCACCCTGGGTGGGCACCCTCTAATCAGCTGCCAGTGTGGTCAGAATAAAAGCAAGCAGAAGAACGTGGAAAAACTAGATGGACCTAGCCTCCCAGCCTACGTCTTTCTCCCATGCTGGATGCTTCCTGCCCTCGAACATCGGACTCCAAGTTATTCAGCTTTGGGATTCTGACTGGCTTCTTTGCTCTGCGGCTTGCAGATGGCCTAAAGTGAGACCTCAACTTATGATCGTGCAAGTCAATACTCCTTAATAAACTCCCCTTTATGTATACGCCTATCCTATTCATTCTGTCCCTCTAGAGAACCCTGACACACCTTAACTAACAACTTTAAATCAACAGCTGAAAAAAAAACCCAACAGTAGGACTTTAGTGATTATGAACCCTTTCTTTGGGGAAACATAAAGGCATAATGGAAAGTTAAATGGCCCAGTGTCTTCAGTACTAAATGAAAGCATGGGAAGGAAGCTGGTCATTGTGGGGTGCACAGGCACACTGGCCAGTGTGCTTCCTAACAGGGTCCTCACCAGTTTGGAGGGGAATGTTCACTGTGCCAGCATGACACACCTGGCAGGGGAGGGAGCAAGCAGGAAGCCACAGCAACAAACAGAAAAGGAACCCAGAGGAGTGACAGCAGGATGCATTTTCTTTGCATTACAGAGTGATGTGCAGTACCAAGTTTTCCACAAAGGCTTCTCCTAGGAGGGCTTTCCGGGAAAACTTGAATGTGAATGGAATGTCAATTTCCTAAACTTCTGTACAGAAGCAGGTGACAAGAAACATCAGTGGGTGGTGTTTCCTATCACCAGTGATTCAGATTACTGTGTGGCTTCCTTCACCCCCTTCTCTCCTAATTCTACAAGCTCCACTTCATATCCAGTGGAACTTACATTTATTTGTAATCTCACTGCTTACATTCCACTGAACAATAAAAGTACAATAAACTTAATAAAAAGCGCAAGTGATTGGAAATTGCTCTGGGAATGGCAGTCCAGTATGAAAGCTATAAATTTACTTGTGTGCTCATGACAATGTCAGCTAATTTTTATGAAAAGCCTATCACAGAACATGGCACCAAAATGCTGTGATCATTCGTGTGTCAGCCATCACACTTCCCATGATAACAAAATAGAAAATGCGTCATAAAATGATGTTTCAAGTCACAAATTCATCTTGAAATGCTCACTCTATCCAGGAGTATTTCTTTTCTGACCCTGTCTTGCACCTGAACTTTGAATTAATCATTCCTTTTCTGTAGTGTTACACAATACCCGCTGGTACCGTTGTTGGGGGGGCGTGGAGAATCTAGAAAACAACCACCAGAAATATCATCCCATATGAGGAGCTTGATTGGGCCACATTAGTGAATCGAAGGTAGACATAATTAGTCCATGGAACAACAGCAGTTATCAAGGAGACTAAAAACTTAATCTGAGCACCATTATCTTCGACAACACACTTTTAAATAAACCATTGGGGGCCCATTTCTCACTGCCTGTGACCCAGCGGGAATACACAGTTGCTCAGCAGTCCCGTGGGATTATAAAGGATGAGAAACTGGGCTTCCTTTCCATGTTCAGAAATATCTTTTTTGCCTAATCACTTATGATGATGGTTTCTAAACTGCTCTTCAAATCCCCAATATTTCTCATGTTCTATAAAATCAAGTTGGTTTAAAAAAAAAAAAAAACTTTGGCCAGATGATTGAAAGGAAAAAATAGCCATCTTGAAGAAAAATGCTCTGTGTAAATGAGCGAGAGATCAGCAATGGTAATTTATCCCCCGGCCATGGCGAGTTTGTAAACTTTATGGCTGTGAGCTGAGGAGTGGAGCCCATCTGTCCTGACTTCGTGTGATTATAATCATCAATAGATAATGCAGGAACATTTATGGTCACCCAGGGAGGAAGGGAAGGGCAGTGGGGAGAGGAGGGAGCTTAGAGCGAACCCAAAGATGCTCTCTCTGTATGTGACTTCCCAACTGACCGGCCGATGCGTTGCAAACTCCCTGGCATCTGTCCCTGGGTCTAGCACCAAGTCAGCGTCCATGGACATCTCTGGAGTCGTCTGTGGCCAAAAGTGGAGGAGGGCAGGCTCTCATGGTCTCATGTAAGCCCCTGATGGGTAGTGGCCTAACATGAGGGCTCCAGGGGATGGGAATGCAGGTGGAGTGGGGAAAGACTTCAGGGGCCCGGGGCCCAGTGCCCCTCTTAATTTGGGAGTGCTTGACGGTGCAGGTTCTGCAGACACCTGCTGAGGCCCAGCCCCGAGAGGCTGCAGGACTGGCTGGCTCTGGATTGGCTTCCAGTCCTCCTTTGGGAAAAGGGCTATGTCTGGAGCCAACCAGAACCACAAATCCCCAATCCACAAGGTCGCAGGCAGGGCTCTGATGGTAAGCCAGACTGTCTGGGGGCTGCTGGAAAGTTGCTGGGGTTGGGGCCAGGAGCTTTCATGCTTCCCCAGGAATCTGGATCTACCAGGGCTGGCCTCGGTTCTGCTGAGTGTGGGGATGCTGGAGACAATGGCTGCTAGACCACAAGCGGCCTGTGCGTTGGTTTGTGCCTTCGGTGCAGCCCACGCTATGCCATGAGCTGCTCTGCCCCACCCATCCTGAGAGTGCTCCTGTCCTAAGGGTGCTCCCCTTCCAGCCCTGCCCCGGCACTAAATTCCTGCTTACTCTTCACAGCTGAACTAAAGTGTGCTTCCTCTAGGAAGCTGCCCTGGATCCCTCCAGTAAAACAGATCTGTCTACCGTGTCTGCACACTCTCGATTGCATCAGAGGACAGTTACTTGAATCCTCCCTGCCTCCCATCTGGGCTGTGGGCAACCTGGACCAAGTGCCCACACCTGAGCATCATTGCATGTTCTGTTCCCAGCCCGGTGCCTGCCACTGTGCTGTCCTCAGTACACACTTTTCACAGGATATTGAAATGCAACTTACCATTATGGCATGTTTTTAAAAATAAGCTTTAAAAAATGGGGATCTTTATTTCTCCTGGAAAATAGCATGCAGCTTACAATTTGAATCAGGAGCGTATCGGGTACAATCAGCTAAAAAACCTCGGTGTTTATTTTTCCAGAAATGCACTAACATCACACAAATAAAATTAAAGCCACTTTAATAAAGACTAAAAGTTAATACTAAATGAATCAAGTCCTAGTGCTTAGCAATACAGCAATTTTTTTCCCATTTAGAGAGTGTTTAATACTTAAGGCTTGGTGCCTCCGTATGATTAATTACCAGGATATGCAGCAGACTCGAGTCTTATGAAGGTCCATTTATTGCAAGTTAGGCTGCAAGAGGATCGTCCCTGTAACATCACCAACTGCAGTGTTTTCTAATTCCTGTTGGAAGTATGGCTTACCTTTCCCTTCTAAATTTAACTCAGTCGAGGGAGGAAATGCAGATTCCATTGTCTTCTCCAAAGCCATTGACTTAACAAGCTTTGCAGTATTTCATCAGTGCAAGATCGCATTATTATCACAAACTAGATGCATTGTATATGGCTTTGTTTTGTCTTCTAGGCTGCAGAATTTTGCAAGTCCTAATTTTAACCTGGTAAAATCCACTTTGTTTTTTTGTGTATAAAAATAGGTATTTAGCTATAATCATTATAAAAGGAACATATAGAGAGATGAATAACTGATTTATAATCCATTCTTATGTAATTAAGAGACAGTTTTTGATTTCAGTGAAATGACAATTGCATAATGGATTTTGAAAGCAAGATAAATATGAAGTGAAGAGGAAGCGACATTTATGAAGTACACAGGGAGAAAAGCGGTGAGATTTATTTTTCAAGTTATAAAACATCATCCAATCACGATATTCACTTTTATGGTTACAATTTGCCAAATGATCTCAAATCTTGTTAATTAAAAAAAGGCGGGAGGGTGACATGGCTAAAAACAGAAGAGAAGCCTTTTGTGCTTTGAAATGGAAAGATGCCTGCTAATTTTCTCAGGGCCAACTCACCTAGAGAAAAGGACTTGATCAGAAGTATTTAACCAGTGAGTATTTCTCATTGATTGATTGTACTTGTATATACCTCTAGTTATTAAAACTTGATTTATAATAGACCATCAAAATATTTGAATCTCCCTTTTGTTAAAGTTTCTTGTTCTCAGTACTCAATTTCTAAAAACTGAAAAAAAAAAGTGAACTGGTATAAAGTAATACAATTTTTTTTTTCAGGACCAGTATAGTTAAGGGAGTCACTCTGCCTCATACCCAACACTTGGCTCGAGTTTTCAAAATTAAGGGTTTTTATCTTGCCCACAATAAGTATAAGGGTGAGGATGAGAATGGAGACATCTATTTTGGCTCCAAGCCAGCCCAAATTGGCCAAGAGACAAGTTTCCTATAATTTGAAGATCTGCAGTAAAAAATGAACCTATTGTTTTTGCCAGCCTTTATTTAGCTGTTTGCAATAAAAAAGTTTCTATATTGCTTTAAAGAAAGCCATTCTTATAACTTTCAATTCCACAAGACAGAAAAGTTAGTCATGGCGAATGAATGTACAAGGTTTCTATATGAGATTTCTGCTTTGGTAGTTCCAATATCCCATAGCTGTGTTGATAAAACTAGGATTGCTTGTCTCCTAGAATCTAATGCCCACCTTTTAAAAATGAAAAATGTACCAGAACTCACTGTGATAAAACTAGATAAAAATGTAAGTGATATTTTGCACCTGGTTCCATCGTACGAGTTGTCCTCTACCTTGTTTTTAACAGGGTTGATGAGAATTAATCTCTGAGTTGAGTAAAAATCAAGGCATAACAAGCAAAATTAAATACAACCTCATTTTAATGTAGGACACATTACGAATGCATTAGTAGGTCAATGCTTAGATATATTTGTCTTTTGACTTACGGATATAAATGGGGACCTTGGGACACACCTAACAGGTATGGTGACAAAGACTGCTAGCTGTCCTCCAATACCCTTTGCCAACTCCTTTCCCAGTGATGAGATTTTTAGGAGCGCTTGAGTGCCTAGGAAGAAGGTTACGTTTTCCTCTGCCCTTGCAACTTGTTGAGGCCACGTCCTTAAGTTCCAACCAATGGGATGCAGATGATCTCCTGTTGTAACTGTAAGAGAGAGGT
Organism: Homo sapiens; assembly: GCF_000001405.40. Classification (NCBI taxonomy): domain Eukaryota; kingdom Metazoa; phylum Chordata; class Mammalia; order Primates; family Hominidae; genus Homo; species Homo sapiens. Next base: position 129,430,788 of record NC_000010.11, on the reverse strand, counting down.
TAGGTTCTAGCTGCTGGTTGCCATAGGTGCGTGGTGAGGAGGCATCTTGGACCAGTGAAGAGGGCAGACCTCAGTGTGGATCAGTGATCGCCACCACCTATGCAGCGCTTCGTGTCTGCTAGGCACTGCTCAGAGTGCTTTACACCTGAGATCTCACAGCTTTATGAAGCTGGCACTACTATGATGTCCATGTTACAGATGAGGAAACTGAGGCACAGAGTAAATGGCAGAGTAGAGACTTTCATCCAGGCAGCCTGGCTTCAGAGCCTATGCTCTTAACTGCTGCACAATATGGCCTCTAGAGATGGAAGGGACCAGAGAGAAGGGCCTGGGCCCCTATAGCACGAGACCACCACATTCACCCTGTACCACCTCACCAGGACTGTTATTTTATTTCTCTCTTAAAGCAGCCAAACTCTTATCCTAACAAATGAAGGGACAATGGACAGTGTACATAATTTGATTATTTCGTCAGTTAGGCAAATGCAGTCTAAATGTTGACCTGAAATGACAAGGCAAGAAACCTACAACTAAGAACAAGTTAAGCCACAACCAAGATCTGAACCCTAATCTAGAAGTTCTGACATCCCAGAAAATACATTTACTGTTACTCAATTCAACCCTCAAAAGCCAGGGTCTCATTAAAAGGAAAACTGTGCTCCCCTTGAGAAAAAAAGGTTGCCTGTCAAATCATTTTTCCAGAATTTGTTTTTTATCTTTTTTCCCAATATAATGAGTTCCACCTCTACTTCATAGAAGAAAAGCCCCTCTTCTGGTAAAGGTACTATAAAGGTTACTTCTTTGTGGGAAGGTAAGGCAGATCAAAGCAATACTCAGGATTTATATTATCATGACTGCTAATATGGTACAGAACTATTTACTTTCATTACATTTATTTTATTGAAAACCTTTTTTCCTGTAGTTAGTAATTGCATCATTCTTTAATTTGCTTAATTTTCTATTTGCTTTATATTCCAAATATTTGCCTGGGGTATAAAACTTCTCTTAGCGCAGGTACGCATCAGGTGATTAATCCTTTCCATTTGTTAATGGTAGGCATCCTTCTCAGAGTCCTCTCCTCTCTTGCTTTAGTTTTCTGGTAACATTCTAGGAAAAGGTCTATGTGAGATAAGCTTTTGAGATCTTGCATACCTGAAAATGTTGATTCTGCACTCATAACCTGACAACAACGCCTCATACTTCATTGGGTGTAGAAGTCTAGACGGTAAATGATCTTGCTTTAGAATCTGGAGGCCCTGCTCCATGGTCACCTTGCTTCCCGTATTCCTGGGGAGAACCCTCATTCTTTTTTCTTTTTTGGTATGTGAATTATGTCCTCCTCATCATTGCAGAAAACATTTAGAATCTCCCTTTTATTACTGGTGTCCTAAAATCTTATAATAATGTGCTTCAATGTGAGACTATTTATTTTCATTAGACTGTAAATTTGGTGAGCTTAAATCTAGTGACCAATGGCCTTTAGCTCTAAGGACATTTTTATAAAACAATAGTTCTTCATTATCTCCTACTAACTTACTTTGCTTTCTCTTCATAACACTCCTACCATTCAAATATTAGACCTCCTTGATTAATCCTCTTAAGCTTCTTATCTTTTTCCCTCCTATTTTTCATCTCTTTAACATTTTGTCCTACTTTCTTGGAGATTTCCTCAATTTTATCTTCTAAATCTCCTCTTGCATTAAAAAACACTTTTTACTATGTTTTAAATTTGCAAGAACTCTTTAGTTTCTGAATATTCCTTTTTTTAAAAAAAAGTGTTACATTCTTGTTTCATGAATGCAAAAGGCTCTCGTCTCTGAGAATATTAATTGCATATTTATTTGACATTTTTTTCTGTTCACTTCATTGTGTCTGTTTCCTAAAAGTTCTTTGTCTCACGCTGTTCATTTATTTTGACCTCAGTCTTTCAGATTAACGGCTTTTCTCAAATATATGGAGACTGTAGCTGTTGGGTGCAAGGCGCTACACAATTTCCTGGAAATGCTCTCTGTGATGGGGCTTCTTGACTGGTAGCCCTGCCATCCAGTATTCAGGCAACACTGATGCCACATGGTGGGGCATAATTCAGCTCAGAGAGTCTCTTCTGGGTGGGCCAGTTTCTTCAGAGGAAAATTCCCCAAATGCTTATCTGGAGGCTGTAAGTTCTCAGAGCTGAGAGGAGAAGCAAACTAGGAATCTCGGCATTCAGTACTAAGACTCTCAATTTCCTGCTTTCAATATGGCACCTCACTTTGACCCTCCAGTGGCCTGGTGTCCCCAAGTCTAGACAGTCTCAGGTTCAGCCTCCCAGAGAACAATCTTCTGTCTGTCTTCTGCCAAGGTTGGGGTAGGGGACAGTTGCTAGGCAGCCTGGTTATGGTAGAAGAATTGGGAGTCTAAGGGCCCTTTATCATTTATTATTTTAAGGGCTCTTTATAGAGGTTTCCAATTGCTTCTGGTTTTCCAATCATTACCTGTACTGATGCCTGCAGAGGTACCAAGTGCCTCCAAATCTAAGCCTTTCTGGAGTTTTATGGCATAAATTGACTTCATTATTATTAGGAAGGTAGGTTTCAGCTGTTTGGATTATTCTCAGTGTGTACACTCATCCATCTGCGTTCTAGCACCCAAAACTTGGTGTCTTTTCTTGTTGACTGTCATCCCCTGTCCTGTTGCTTTGTCTTTATGAGTTCATGACTTTTTCTAATTCCATTACTATCATTTTAGTGGCACTTCAGGAAGAAATGGAGAGAAACAAGTGTGTTTCGTCTGCTACAGTTAACTGGGAGTCCAGTTTTTACTCTTTATATTTACTTTAAAAATAATTATTTTTAGTGGTGAAAAATGATGAAGACACAAATTATTTTAGAAAAAAGTTAATTATTTCTGCAAGGCAGAGAGGATATTATGAGGTTCAATTATAATTCTGTCTTTTTTTCTTTTTCACTATAGTCAATGGCAATGAAGTTCCAGTGACCAAGAGACCATCCTCCTCCAGCATTGCTCATCCTAGAGAGATATTTCTATTGATTTATCAGTGCCTTTGATATTTCCATCTGCCCTTATTTGGCTTCATTTTCTTTTAACCAGAGTAACCCTTGATCATCAAGACCGAATCTCAAAAGAATAGGTGTATTTACTCACAACTCTGACTTAAGCTGTTTTATTGCACTTTTTCTTTTTAGGACTGGTAACGTGGTTTGGGCCAAATGCTCTCATAGGCTTAGGTAATTCTTTATTCAGGAGTTTCCAAGACTTGAAGAACTTGTAGCATGTACAATCACTTTCCAGAAACATTTGAGGCTGTTCCTTTTGTTCAGGTGATCAACTAGAGACAAAGGAACACGGTTCTTAGGTGTTGTCACGTCTGCTTATTGGGTAAGCCAGTCCCTCCCTGGGGTCGCATGGCCCTCAGCAGCCCGTTCTTACAGCTGCTTTTAAACAACAGGGAACAATGCACCTTCACTTAGAAAGTACAAGCTTTCCTTGAATAACTTCGTTTTCCCAGATATGCCCGCTCAGGCTCACTTTATTCCAACATCTGTTTTATGCCAGGAAAGAGCCCCATATACTTCCACAAAGATGTGAAAACAGCTGAGAACTGGGGTCCCTCCAGGTAGAAGCCAAGTATGAGGTGCTTCAGAAATGGAATTCTTCATTTGGATAACCTGGTAGTAAGCCAATCTGTCTTTCAGAAAGGGAGTCAAACCTCCTCATTCTGACTCCTTCTCACCCAGGGAAGAAGTATTTCTCTATAAGCAGCGTGGCTTAATCACTGGGCAGACGAGGACGTCCTCTTCCTCCAGGAGTCCCTGCTTCTCCTTTGCCAGACCCTCAGTCCCACAGTCGATGGTGGCTGGCTCTCTGCAGCAGAGAGGAGGCTCAGCACACTCAGAGCAGCTGCAAAGAGGGAACACAGGAGGGAAGCCATCATTCTTCATGTCCCTCCTCATTCCAAAGTGTTATAAATAACTTCCTTATCACTCTCGACATGTGCAAAGGCACACAGAATGGACTTCCAAACAATATTTATACACAACAAAGTTAATGTAAGACACGACTGACTTCCTTTCACCATAGTAATGTCAGAAAACAGGAAGTTGGATATATGTGTGTGACTTATGTCATTTGTGGAACAGTCGCTTGGGCTCCTCCAGTGCTCCAAACTTCTTAGCTTACTCTATCATTTAAGATTTATAATGAAAAAGACTGGATCTCCTATCCCAAGGATGCTGGGTAATTCGTCATTCCACCTCATCTTTTTTTTAAGACGTCTCACTCTGTCACCCAGGCTGGAGTGTAGTGGCAGAATTTCAGGTCACTGCAACCTCTGCCTCCTGGGTTCAAGCGATTCTCCTGTCTCAGCCTCCCGAGTAGCTGGGACTACATGTGTGCACCACCACACCCAGCTATTTTTTGTATTTTTAGTAGAGATGGAGTTTTGCCATATTAGCCAGGCTGGTCTTGAACTCCTGGCCTCAAGTGATCCGCCTGCCTCAGCCTCCTGGGATTACAGGCGTGAGCCACCATGCCCAGCCGCCCCACCTCATCTTGAAGGATTTTTGGGTGTCTGCGTCACTGCAGGTCACCTCTTGCACTGACTCCACTCCCGCCGAGTTCTTGAGTGCTCCCCTTCCCACCATCCTCACCCCCTTCAGGATAACTTGCCCATCCTTCATTTCCCTGGAGTTCTTCTAGCCCAAGGCTGTGTGTGTAGCCAGCTTTAGTGAAGGTTTTGGGGAAGCAGAGAGAGATTCTAAGTCACTGTAGTACAGGATGCAATTTTGTATGGGCTCCTGGCCTCATCGTTCTCAGGATCCATCTGACATCCCTGCACCATGGGGACTGTGTTGTTGTCTGGGCCTCCCCATAGGCATTGTTTGCTACTGTATTTTGGCCCTTCTCCGCCTGGTCACAGCCTCACTGTATGACCCTGTTCTTTCCTTACTGCCCCTTCCCCCACCCCAGTCTTGGCCACTCCCCAGCTGCTGCCAATTGGGTTGGCAGAACAGATAAGCTCTTTCTGCTTTCCTTTCTCTTTCCTGACCATATCCTGCAGCCTCTTCTCTCTCAACCAAGAGGCCTGGCAAGGTCTTTTTCTATCCAGCAGGACCAGCCAGCCCAGACCTGAGTTGTGCCCTTCCCTAGAATTCAGGCGTTAAGGCAGGCAGTGTTTGGTTTAAAAAGAAATTGTATTTTCTTCTCAGCACCTTCATTTCATACAAGGAGAAAATGTTTCTGGAATTGTCAGTGATAGCGTCTCCCAGAGCATGCGGGTTCTCCAGTGATGGCTTTTCCTTTTGCAGAACACGTTACAATCCCATTCTGTGCACGTGCTAGAGAGCATCAAAGCCCATTTTGACCCTGCCGTGGCCCTGACAGTTTAGCGCATCTGGACTGGAGTGGCTGCTGTGGAGGCTCTCGGAGAAGCTATAGGATGATGAGGCTTTATCGAAAGCAGCTTTGTTTTTCCCTTTTTAAGGAAGGAGTGTGATGTTGCTTCTATCGATTGGGCAACTGGCAGCCGGTGTTAGGAGATGACCTTGAAAACATGTGCTAAGAGGCGAGGGCGCTGACAGGCAGAGGAAGCTCCGACAGGCCGGCTAAGCACTGGGAGCCGCTTCTCTCCGCCAGCTCTTCGGGACCACGATGCTTTCCAGGAGCCACGGGACTGTAGGAAGGACCTCACGATTCCAGTTTGTGCAAAACCATTCTCCCTTTCCAGAGAGCTTCCCCAGGGCCGGGCCACATGGTTAGCTCTTGCACTCTTTTGTAGCCCCTCCTGCAGCCCAGCCCTTCCAGGGAAGCTTCCTCCCGCAGGATCATTTCATCTATGAAATGGCCCTACCAGATGGGCACCATTAGGATTACACCCATTTTTACAGATGGGAAAACAGGCAGGATAGGTCGCTTGTTGAAGGCCACACAAATAGTAAATGACGGGTGTGGGAATTGAAGAGGGCTCCAGGTATGTACTGTGCTGGTTTCAAGCCCCTCTCCATGCGGGAGAGTGTCTCGTTTGCCACCTCTCATAACAAATTCATGACGGACCACGAGGGTTTATCAGGCTCCACTGCGTGCCTATTTGTATTCAAACCAGGCTATGTTTATGGTTTGGTTTTTAGATATGCTCAACTTTGGAAGGACAGATATTAAGAGAAAGAATGCATCTCCTGGGAAAATAATGATAGGGCAGGAAATCTACACCAGCCCCATGGAAAGCAGGTAGCTTCAGTATTCGGATAAAACACTCTGGCTTTTTCCCCTGTGTTGCACTTATCTAAATTTTTTTTTTTTTCCCCCTGAGAAGGAGCCTTGCTTGGTCGCCAGGCTGGAGTGCAATGGCGCGATCTTGACTCACTGCAACCTTTGCCTCCTGGGTTCAAGTGATTCTCCTGACTCAGCCTCCTGAGTAGCTGGGATTACAGGCGCCCACCACCATGCCCAGCTAAGTTTTGTATTTTTAGTAGAGACGGGGGTGTCACCAGGTTGGCCAGGCTGGTCTCGAACTCCTGACTTCAGGTGATCCACCTGCCTCGGCCTTCCAAAGTGCTGGGATTACAGGCGTGAGCCACCGCACCTGGCCACACTTATCTCAATGTATTCATAGTATGTATTTGCTTTTTTTTTTTCTCTATTCCCCAGCAGATTGCAGGTTCCTTGAGGACAGGGAACAGGCCTATTTTTCCCCCACTGGTGATGGTGGTATATAAATGACACAGTATAATTCTGGTTGAATGAATAAGTAAATTAGTTTAAAAGACATTAAAATTTATGTATTTATATTTTAAGATGTATCTTCCTAGTCTTAGACCCTTGCTTTCACAATGCTTAGGCCCAAAATGTGACTTGGTTTCTGTTGAACCAGATCAATGCCTATCAAAATGGTTCCATCCAAGATGCTTCTGGTCTTGTTTCTTAAAAGCATATGAAGCACAAAATACAGTTACTAAATTTGATAATTTTTAAAAATTTATATCTAGTTCTTTATTACTAAATAGCTTTTACTAATTTTTAATTTTTATTGATGAGGCTTCCCTTAGGTTTAGTTATAAGATGTAATTTTATTCCAATGAACTTTGAAATGAAAACAAATCTATATTGACTATCAGTTAAGCATTAAATCTTTCTCTCTGCCCAGAGTTTCTAAGCAGAACATAGCCATATAAACTTGTTGAGTGAAGCAGAAGAAAGGTGCTCTTTGACGAGCAATTAAAAAGTCACAAAAAGAAATAAAACTTTTAGCATCAGGGGACTTTGAAGAACTGATTTCTGTTTACAGCAGAAATTATGAGGCCAAATGTTGTATTATATAGGCTGTGGACACTTGTGACTCTAACCTGAGACAGCATATTCTTCCTAGAAACAATGTCCAAGTGTATTAGTTGGACTCATTCATGGCAAGTGGCAGAAACTCAGCTGAAGTCCCAAGAAATTTGTTGGTTCATGGCATTGAAAATCCTAGCTCTGCACAGCTGGATCCAGGGGTCAAAGAACATTCTAGGTCTTCTCTGTCTTTCTCTCCCCTAAGTTGCTGCCTGGCTTGGCCTCATTCTGCATAAAACTTCTTCCACATGGCTTGCCAGGCACCATGGCAGCTCCAGACTCCCATGAGTGGCCCTTAGGGCTTTGATGCCAGAGGAAAAGAGAGAGACAAAAGAGCGAGATGGTCTCAGAATCTGTGTGTCAGCTCTCTGGGAAGCCTTTCATTGACCCCATGTGGGAAAGAGGTCTGCATCTGAACCAGTAACTGGGGACACGGGGTGAGCAGACCTGTGTCTCATGCCTATCCCATGGTGGGGATGAGGGAATGCTTATGGATGGTGCCAATGGGAAAATGCAGGAAAAACTCAGGTGAAGGTGCACAGAGGCAGAGCAGGCAAAATAAACCATTGCCCACTTCACCCAGCTTAGGAGAACAAAAAAGAGAAAAGGAAGAGGCACACTAGATACAGTGCCTGTGAGATAGAAAGGGCTCAGGCATTCCTTCCAATTGTAAAGTAGGAGAAATGAAAGAATGCCTGCATTTTAAAGTATCTGGTAAGATTTTATGGCATATTTCAAATGTTATTTAAATAACTTGGATACAAATTAATTCTGTTCTCTAAACTACTGAAAATAATGATTTATTTTCTTACTATAAGCTCCGAAAATATTTAGTAAATATTATATTCTAATTCATTGTCCTGTTTTAGTTATTTAAGAGTTTCTCTCATTCATATCAATTTGTTAAGACCTAGCCATGATTCCAGTGTTTTCTTTAACTCTTACTTTTGCTCTTCACAAGTTTTTATTTGCTTATTCAATGAATCAATGAATCAATATTTATTGAGTCGTAACTGTTATCAGGTATTATTATATTAATCTGAAGGAATTCAACGATGAAATGTACAGAGAGACAAACTTATAATCTAACCATAAGATCAATAATCAAACCACTTATAGGGCAATGATTAGTCAAAAAATGGCCAATATGACTTCATTAACATTGGGAAAGGGAGAACACAGCCTACAAATGACCTGCACAAATGCAGATCCTGCACAAATGACCTAGCAGAAAATTCGGATTCAGAGAAAAACAACAACCTCACTCCAGCTGCCTTTGGTTTAGCCAAGCTTATGCATGATCCTAAAAGATTTGCATCACATACAAGGCTGCATACAAGGCCAATTGTGTGGCACAGTAAAATGTTTTGTTCCGTGATTGTCAATAATTATTGGAATAATGTAATAATGAAAGACTTGATTGGTGAAAAAAGTGTAGATTGTAAGAATGAGTAACATTGTATTTGTAGGGTTCATATATTAAGAAAACATGTGAACGGCATGTGACCCCCGTTTTAGCGCTGGCAATCCATGAAGAAATTGGCCAGGAAACGTCCTTTTATAGCCTCAATGGGGCATTTAGGAAGAGATCCCAGGGAGCAGAGAGTCGGGCATGGGAAATGAGAGAGAGAAAAGGACCCACAGGCAAGCATGCATGATGGTGCCAGACACTCCCATGGCAACTGGGGCAGGATACAGCCAGAATCTTCTGGGTGTCTCATGAAAAGTGTTTCAGAACGGTCTTTTGGGATAAAGGAGGAAGCTTTTTCTCCATCTGGCTCCCGCTGGCCAAAGGCGGCCTGAGAGTGTGACCTCCCCGCTCTCCCAGGTAGTGCACCATGCAGCTTCTCTTGGGCAGCCCAGGGAGGAAGCCAGAGGTGCTCAGTGCAGACCGATGGACATGCTGCCACCAAGGCCTGCATGCCCCTGGAGGAGGCAGCCATGGCTGGAGGGGGCAGGCTGAGGGAACATGCTGGGGACACAGAGGGGCCTGGTTCAGGAGGAGGTGGGAATGGACAGGTGGGAGGTATGGCCCAAGGTCCACTGACAGGTGACCACATGGGGGCCAGAAACCAGTTCCCTGCACTGTCTAGTGGCCTTGTCTCCCACAATGCAGCCAAGCTCTGCTGACAAGGAAGTAATTGCCACAAAATCACAGGATCTGCCTGTTTGGATGCTGCTCATGCCAACAGACCTCTTCATGCCGATTAATTTCACACCGGCTATATTCTCTTGAGTGATATGTGTATGGAAGAAATTAACATAGTAAGTACAAACATTAGCAAATAAGCAGTACAGAAGAGATCTCCCTCTAACGAAAGGTCTGGGCAAAGAACAGGCATTCTGTTTTCTAACAAAACCAGGAAAATCATTGTTGGTAGCTGTTGTAGTTGGTAAAACTTTGTACAATCTTCAGAAGTATAAGGTGCTTGCAAAAGAATGAAAATAAATGCAGCTATTGAGAAATATCTGAGTAAAGTGCTGACCTCAGAAATCAGGGTGAGCTCTTTTCTAGCAGTTTGATTGCACTTAGCTAACGGGCCTTCTTGTAAACAGGGAGGCAGAGCTCAGGCTAGGCCGAGAGGAGTGAGGTACTCCTCTGGGGCACAAACTTTATTTATTTATTTATTTATTTATTTATTTATTTATTTATTTATTTGAGACAGAGTCTTGCTCTATCACCCAGGCTGGAATGCAGTGGTGCGATCTTGGCTCACCACAACCTCCGTCTTCCAGGTTCAAGCAATTCTCCTGCCTCGGCCTCCCAAGTAGCTGGGATTACAGGCATGCGCCACCATGCCCGGCTAATTTTTGTATTTTTAGTAGAGATGGGGTTTTACCACGTTGGCCAGGCTGGTCTCGAACTCCTGACCTCAGGTGATCTGCCCGCCTTGGCCTCCCAAAGTTTTGGGATTACAGGTGTGAGCCACCGTGCCCAGCCAGGGCACAAACTTTAAAGAGCTCCAAAAAACTCGGCAATCAAGACTTACAATAATATAATATTAAAAATAAAAACTAATGCAAAAAATCCACTATGCATGAAATAGCAATTCTGTTTTCTAAATAAAGGGGTGGCATCACTGATGCTTCCTCTTGCCTGAAGTTCCAGTAGGATTTGACACAGCACACTAAGTTGAATTCATTTTGATTTTTAAAAATATTATGTATTGATGATTGAGCTTCTTGGCATTCCCTAAAATTTTGTATCCAAGGTGAGATCCTCCCTCTCCTCACTCTAGTACCCACCTGCCCAGGAATATTACCGGGAAATTTCTAGACCAGTAATGGATACTCTGCCGGTTGGCCCCATGCTATCCTAGGATTTTTCTCAGATTAATCTTGGGCATTCATATTTGTTGTTTCATTTTCCACACATTCTACATATGAATAGCAACTTTGATTTTCAAAATTCCATCCAGTTTCGCCCCTCAACCAACAAAGATTTTGTGATTCTGTTGCCAAAATAAGCAAGGGACAGAGGTCCCAGGTAGCACAGCTGACCCTGGGGTGGCAAGTGATGTGCTGTCCGTCACCTGCCAGGCCACCTTGTCTCCATCAGGAGATGGTGGGGAGGTGGCCCTGGGCTTTGCGAGTGCGCTAGAGCATCCTGCGAAGGGGGAGGCGGCCTTCCTTGGGCTCTGGGCACAAGCCCAGCAGGGAGTCCAGGGTCAGGGCACTGAATGGTTAAAAGTATCTCTTCGACGGAGAGACGATGCCGAAGGAGTGACGTCAAGGGGAAGACGGCTGAAACGCGGGCATGATTGAAAAATGAGGATTCCTCGCGTGAGGGATGCGCGCTTAGCAAAGGGCAGCCTGGCTGTAGCCCAGCGCGCCTTCCGCGTGAGGAATGGGTCATCTTTCACCTTCCTGCCTGGGAGGACGCAGCCGGCGCACGGGCCTGGCTCCCAGGCTCACCCCGGCAATGAATTTGCTGCTTCTTAATGTAAAACCGGCCTTTTCTGGTCATTGTGCCATTTTATTTACGGCCTGTCTTTGGGGGGCTCTTGATCAATAGATTTAGTCCCACAGTATATTTCTTCCTTTCAGTTGTTCCTGGTTATGTTTTTAAATTACACGGGGCTGCTAATGATTGTGCTGCTTGCCCTTGAGTGAACCTGGGCTTTTGCCTGCCAGGCGGCCGGGTTTAAAGGCGTCTTGGCTGCAGGTTAACACCAGCCTCCCAGATGGGCCTGTTTCTGGGAGATGAGGGTGCTTGATGCAGGCTGGCAGTGTGTGGGCAGTGTGGAGGGGTGCCGTGTTCCTGGGGACTGGCCTTCCGTCTTGGGCCCTCCAAGACCATCTTGGGAGTCAGAGCTGAGTTTGAACAGTTAGAAAGACTGAGGCCACGATGCGGAGGTCCTTTGGTCCACTTGCCCGCTGCCCTGGGCTGTGTCCTCCCTGACATGGTCAGGACAGACTGGTGAGAATCTCCAACACAGCCTCCCTCAGGGGGGCCGTGCCTTGGTGAGGCGGATGAACATCGCCTTGTAAGGGGCAAGCCAGAGCCTGGTGCGGGGCGGGGAGGGGTGTTAGGGTAACAACTGCTTATTGATCCCCCGGGGCCACAGCCAGGGGTCATGATTTCTGCCTAATTTGAGCACAGACAACCCAGTGTGGCAATAGTATAGATGCTGATTTGTGTGATTCAATTAAATTATTGTTAGCATTTTCATGCAAATGAAGATAAGTTCTTTTGGCACGTGAATTGTGCGTTTAATAAAAGCTGCAGATTTTGGGCTGCGAACAGAGTGTGTTAACTTGGGTTTCTGGGGGTAATCCTGGAGCCCTACGCTTCCAAGAGCTTCCACCGACTGGAGCCGGCTAATTCCCACTGATTCAGTAATTCATGGGCAAAGTATTCTCACACCTCCCCTTCATTTTCCTCTCAGTATTCCACAGAGCAGCCTTATCTCCACCTATCAATTACTGCAGTATTAATTTATTTCCCTGTATCTCTCTCCCTGTGCGTGGTGGGGGCACGCTCACTTAAAATATATATATATTTTTTCCCCTTGCTGGAGGCTCTCGTGAAACAAGGCTAATATTCGGCACTTGGGATTTAAGCCGCTGCATTTCACAAAGTTTGGATGTATTAACGAACAAAAATAAGAGTGCGGAGAACCTGGAAAATTAGCAGCCAGCAGACAGCGTGCAAACAGGAAACTGTCTGATTATGCGCACGGGTGCAAAATTAGTAAAAGAATTCGAAATTGTCTCGTGCTCAGAGATTCTATTGTTTTCAAAGAATAATTCCATCTATTTTAACATTTTCGAGTGTAATTCCGTGGGTAACCGCTCTTCCTTTGATTGTGAGCGATGGTAATTGAAAGGTGTGGCTTGGCGTCTGTTTTGGCAGTTAGTTAGACTCAGATCTTTTGTTGAAGAGCTCAAAGTGCTGGCTTTCCTGGCCAGCCTCCCTCCGTGTTTCTGTTTTGGTGATGTGATGACAGACTTACAGTGTGTTTCCTTGTGTGTATGGTAACAGATGTTTATGTGAATAACAGACTTTTTTATGAAGCCATACACTTTATAGCCAAATACTAATTAAAAATAATTGCATGTAAGCATTTTTGTTTATTCCCCGTTGTGCATCTTTAATCATTTGGAATCACCTGCAGTTGAAAATTGAGGCAAAGATTTGATACTGCAATTATAAGAGGCCATCTGACTATATATTAGGTAGAAATAGCAACATATTTGAGAAAAAAATATTAAACAAGCTGAGTGCCAGGTCATTCTGAAGTCTCTTGTATATCGGGTCAAAATACTAATACATTACTTTGTTAAACTAATAGGATTTTAAGGCATCATTCAGCCACCAAAACAACTGCTTCATGAATAATATCCGATACCTGACACATTTTGTGCACTAACAAGCTCATTACAAGTGGGTTTTAATTAGAGGTGTAACAGATGGTTCCCAATAAATATGGGCAGCGGCGACTCCTTGGCTTTTTTTTTTCCTTTGAAAGACAAAAATTGCAGGTAATTGAGAGACTCAGAACCTTAGTTTGGGTTTAATAGTATGTGTTCAATTAAAACAAAGTGCCAAGTGCCAGGAATGTGACTCAGATAGTTGGACACTGTAAAACAAACAAACCAGGGTTAAAAATGCCTTTCCTGTTTAGAAGTGGGCTTCCAGATGCCGAAGCGGGGACAAGCCACGTGCAGCCCGTGACTCACCACAGCTTTCTTCTTGGGGCTTTGTTTTTAAGCATTGCCTGTCGATGCGTTATGAAGAATTAATAAGACATTTCGGAGTGTTCTTGAACTCCAGCACTGAACCTTCTCGGCGCTGTGACATTTAACAAACACATTTAAGCAGAAAATAAAGGGAAGGTTCTAAAAGCCACCAGTGCCTCTCTCGCAAGCATTTTAGTACTATTTGGGGACATGAGAAGAGAAGGGGAACAGATAAACTGGGCAATGAGTTCCACTCTGAGAGTTTTCATTTTAAATGAACTAGATTTGACATTTGTGTTGTGTATGGGATAAGGAATTTGGTAAACTTGCATAGGAAGAAGGCTTATGTTTTGAAAGAAATCATACGTTTTTTTTTTAAAAAAAAAAAACTATTTGCTTTTGATGTAGAGAAAATTCTTACCTAAAAGAAAAACCTTAACACGCATAATAAGAGAAATTTAGAAATCAATGTACAAGAATTTATAAAAAGCATCATTTCATCTTTTGAATATGCGTTTTTTGTTTAAGGGAAGAGGAGTTGAGAGGCATCTTCAGCTCCTAATGAATGCTAGTGGCTGTGCGACCTTCCACCTCCCTCTGAATACACGGTTT